>NC_000006.12:29453939-29756969 GCF_000001405.40 Homo sapiens
ACAAGGGAAACTTCTGGGATCCAAGATTTTAAAATATGAATTTTTAAGAGCTAGGTTGAGACCATGGAAGCCATAAATGGTGGAAGATACACAGTCCACAGATTATGTCCAATAATGTTAACAAAATAATTCTTAGAAAAAAATAAGAATATAAACTTGTCAATATAGTATCTAAAATGAGACATGCAAAGAAACAGGAAAGTATAATCAAGTCTTAGAGAAAAGACTGCAGTTAATGGAAACTGACTGTAAGTGGGACTGCTGTTGAATTTAGCAAACAGAGATTCAAAACATCTAATATAAATAGTTAAATTAAAACCATTTTTAAAGAATTCATGGACAATATAGTCTTTCATTGGGTAGGGAAGATCCACTATCAATATAGATGGGTATCATCCAATCAGCTGGGGCCCAGATGGAAAAAAAAGGCATGAAAGGATGCTCTTTATCATTGGTTATTAAGAACATGAAATTAAACACAATACTTACAAGTCTACTAGAATGACTATAATAAGAAACTGATGGTATAAGATGTTGACAAAGATGTGAAATACTGATTAAGTGTTGGCAAGAATATGTCAAAATTGACAGAGCCACTTTGGAAAACAATTTGGCAGGTTTTTTATAAAAAAAATTTACTATACAACCCAATAATTCCACTGTCAGGTAATATCCAAGACAATTTAAATCATATGCCTTCAATGACTCTTCATAAGAACATTATTAGTAACACCCAAAAAGTAGAAACAATCCAAATGTCATCAACTGGTGAGATCAGTGGAACTGAATAGAAAGTGCAGAAATAGAGCCAAACACATAAGATCTATTGATTTTACACAAAGACACCAAGATAATTCAATACAGGAAACGATATTCTTTGCAACAAATGGTACTGGAGGAACCAGATATAGGTATAAAAACTGTACCATTATGATTTGTTTAAAAAAGCAGCCATTTTTTTTATCGCTTCTCGGCCTTTTGGCTAAGATCAAGTGTAAAAAAGCAGCCATTTTCATAATATTTTATTATATGTATGAAAATGAATTATGACTCCTATATCACAACATACAAAAAAATTAACATGGGTCATATAAATAAACATATAAGCTAGAAATTAAAAGCTTCTAAAGAAGAACATAAAAGAAAATATTTATGACCTTAGAATAGGTAAAGATTTCTTAGGATTCAAAAAGCACTTAACTGCAAAAAGATAATTGATGAATTTTGAGTTAATCAAACTTAAAAGCTTCTTCTCCTTTGAAGACGCCATTCAAATTGAAACATCAAACCACAGACTGAAAAAATAGCACAGTGCATTTATTTGACAAAGGACTTTTATGCAGAATATATGAAGAACTCATATACTTTTATCATAAAAGGAAACACTATAAAATATGGACAAATGACTTGAACAGACACCTCACAAAAGAATATATAAATGACCAATGAAAAGATGCTCAATGACTTAGTTGTTGGATAATTGTAAATTTAGAAACTACTGTGAGATTAATAAGTCTAGAGATCTAATGTATAGCCTGAGGACTACAGTTGACAACATTGTATTATATACTGGAAATTTCTAAGAGAATAGATTTTAAGTACTCTTACCACAAGAAAAGTAACTGTGAGTTGATAGATATGTTAATTGGCTTGACCATAGTAATCATTTAACTATGTATATCAAAACATCATTTGGGAGGCCGAGGCGGGTGGATTGCCTGAGCTCAGGAGTTCGAGACCAGCCTGGGCAACATGGTGAAACCCCCTCTCTACTAAAACACAAAAAAGTGGCCGGGTGTGGCAGCATGCGCCTGTAATCCCAGCTACTTGGGAGGCTGGGGCAGGAGTATCGCTTGAACCCAGGAGGCGGAGGTTTTAGTGAGCCGAGATCGTGCCATTGCACTCCAGCCTAGGAGACAGAATGAGACTTGTCTCAAAAAAAAAAAAAAAAAAAAGGAAATCCTGTATATCCTAAGCATATACATATACAACAAAAAATTTTCAAAATTAGCCTGGCTTGGTGGCTTACACATGTAACTCAGCACTTTGGGAGGCCTAAGCAGGTGGATCACCTGAAATCAGGAGTTCGAGATCAGCCTGGTCAATGTGGTGAAACACCGTCTCTACTAAATATACAATAATTAGCTGGGCATGGTGGTACATGTCTATAATCCCAGCTACTCAGGAGGCTGAGGCAGGAGAATCACTTGAACCTGGGAGGCGGAGGTTCCAGTGAGCCGAGATCACACCACTGTACTCCAGCCTGGGCGACAGAGTGAAACTCAGTCTAAAAAAAAAAAAAGCCGGGCACGGTGGCTCACGCCTGTAATCCCAGCACTTTGGGAGGCCGAGGTGGGCGGATCACGAGGTCAGGAGATCGAGACCATGGTGAAACCCCGTCTCTACTAAAAATACAAAAAATTAGCTGGGCGTGGTGGCGGGCGCCTGTAGTCCCAGCTATTCGGGAGGTTGAGGCAGGAGAATGGCGTGAACCCGGAAGGCAGAGTTTTCAGTGAGCCGAGATCGCGCCACTGCACTCCAGCCTGGGCAACAGAGCAAGACTCCGTCTCAAAAAAAAAAAAATTAAATTAAAAAGCTATAAAAGCTATAATGAGATATCACCTGATATCCACTAGAATGTCTATCACATGACCCTGAAATTCCACAAATAGGTTTTGACCAAAGAGAAATGAAAATACACATACACAAAAGACTTGTACATGAAAGTTTATAGCAGATTGATTCACAACAGCAAAAACTGGAAACCACCCCACACTGTTTCTCTATTACAGCATAAAAAGTTATCCCAAAACTTAATGGCTTCAAACAACAAATATTTATTATCTCACAGTTTCTATGGGCCAGCAATTCAGAAGCAGCTAAATAGTAGCTGGTGATTCTAGCTTAGGATCTTTCTTTTAACTTTTTAAAAACTTTTTGTGAATACATAGTAGATGTATCTATTTTAGGATCTTTCTTGACATTGTAGTCAAGAAGTCAGCTGATTGTATTTCTAAGATTTGGATGAAGCTGAAGGATTCACTTACAAGATGTCCCAGTCACATGTTGCACGTTTTTAGTAGGGAGCCTTAGTTTCTCCCCATATGTGTGTTTCCATTCACTGCTAGGATGGCTTCCTCCAAAGTAAACAATCCACAAAGAAGAAGTCACAATGTTACTGTGACATAGTCTTTGATGTCACATCCCATCGTTTCTACCAGATTCTATTTGTTAAAACTGAGTCACTCAGTACAGCTCCCATGCAAAGGTAAGGGAAGTAGGCTCTACTTTGTGAAGGGGATATAAGAAAATTGGGGGCCATATTTTAAAACAACCACAAACCTGAATGTTCATCAACAAGTGAATGGATGAAAAAATTGTGATATATTTAGGCAAGAGAATACTACTCACTGATATTTTTAAAAAAGAATTGGACTATTGATACACAAAACAACAGGGATGATTCTCCAAACTGTGGTACAGAGCATAACACACCAAACACAAAGAGTATGTGCTGAATGAATCTTTTATGTGAAGTTCTGGAAAAAGCAAAACAAAATGATAGAAATCAGAGCAGTGGTTGCCTAGAGCATGGGGAGAATTATTGTAAATGGGCATGATGAAATTTCTGGAGTGATGGAAATGTTCTATATCTTCAGTAGGGTAATGGTTGTCTGGATGTATACATTTGTTCACATTCAGTGAATTGTCCATTAAAATATGTGCACTTCATTATGTAAATTATACCTTAATTTTAAAAAGAGAAAGGAAATAAACCAAAGTCAGGGGGGATTGAATGAGCACATTCGAGGCTTGAGAGGAAGGCTGGAAATATGGGACACTCAGAAGGTGTGGATCAGGAGAGAATAGTGCCCTTTTACTCCCCAGTGACACGGAGAAGCAGTGGTGACCTTTTTATATGCCAAAGGGAACTCAGTTGCTGGCACACTTCCTTTGAATCTTCACATTCCTTCTTAACCATTAGTAGCTGTGGCCAATTAGCTGTCTATAGGTTATGGGGCACCTAGTCTTGGCAGAATTAATGAGCTACTTCTCTCTATGGGATGGGAGTCTTGGGATTCCTCCCCCCATCATCTCACTATGCCTTTTTTTCTGCCTTTAATGTCACTAAAAGAGAGGTTAACTTACTGGATTGAGGAAAAGAAGTCGTTAGCAAGAGTTCCATAGTAAAGCGCTAACTCTAGCTCATGTGTCTGGCAGAGCAATGGTGGAATGTGGTTAGCGCATAGCTTCTTCAGCCAGCCCACCTGGGTTAAAATTTGGTCTTTGGTGCTTACTAGCTATACTTTCCAGAACAAGATATTCAACCTCTACATGTCTTCAATTATTGATCTGTAAGGGAAGGTAATAATAGTACCCACCTTTTGAAGTTATAAGGAGCCGTAAATATGAAGCGCTTTTTTGAGTGCCCATGGAAGTAAGCACTAGCAATCAATACTCTTAACTGAAATCCAAGTTCCAATAATCATCAAGAGTATAACATTCCTCTTTAGTTTGCTTTTAGTTCTCATTGTGAGATCACAAGTGGAGGCTCCAACCAGTCCAGAAGTTCCTTTCTATGGGGAAGCTGTGGCAGCAAGGCCGTGAAGAGAGTCTGACTTAATTGCAAGTAAGTCACAAGTTTATTCCCCTACAGCCCATCAATTTCCACATGTTCTTAAGACAGTTCTGAATCAAACAGGGTCTACAATCCTGGCACTGACACTCATTGGCAGGGTAACCCTGGGCAAGTTACTTAACCTCTTTGAGACTGTTTGTTCTTCTGCAGAGATATTAACTGTCTAGCAGGGTTCTTTTAAGAAGCAGATATTCCAGGAAATTATTTAGCACAGTGTTAGTATATAGGACATCAACAGATAGTAACTGTCAAAACTATAAGTGGTTATTATTATTGAACTGTAGGGCAGAATTTGTCTCATAACTTTGTAGCAGTTAGTACATGACTGGCTCTTTGAGGACCAAAAAAGAATAAATTAATGTGCTTCTGTGTGGAGTTAATGGGATGTAGGGAAAGTAGTGCTTGCCTATTATTGGTGTCAGAGAAAAGGACCAGAAGAAACAGGGTAAGGAAAAGGCATGTTATTAAAGATAGAAAATAGGAGAGTGCAGAGGGTCAAAGGAAGATATAAACTGAAGAGATTAAGAAAAAACATACAGTGAGACAAGTTGCCAAGAGAGTAAGAATGTAAGAAATGCTGCAGTTTATGGATGAATAAAACTCTGGACAATTGCTGAGACACAAAAGATATGAGGCTGCAAAGTTTAAAAAGGAACGATACATTTAAAATAATCAGAATAGTGTTTACTTCTTCAGTGGGAGAGAAGGAGATGTGATCAGGGAGGAGAACACAGAAGACTTCTAAGATACCAGTAATATTTGATCTGTTCTTAAATCAGGAGGAGATTCAGGTACACCATGTGTTTATTATTCCATAAAATCCATAGATGTGTTTTATATACTTTTTGTTTATATGATTTTTAAAAAATTAAGGGAACAAATCTTATCCTCAAGGAGAGACGTAATGATGGAGGAAGGAATATAGAAGGAGACAAAAAGGAGGGAGTCTTGATGAAAAGGGAGATGGGAGGCAGCTTTTAACACCAGACAGGGTCCTGTGATGCAGAGGTGATTGTGCCATCCCATAAAGTCCCAGGGCACTGTCTGCCAATGAGACCACCAACTTGCTTGCCCTAAATGGCCACATCCCCTAAACGGCCCTCCTGCCATTGTCTGTGCTCAGAAAACCCTCAGTTTCTGCCTCTTACCTGCCAGGGTGGTGCCGCATCCCACCCCCATCATTGAGCTTGCCTCATGTGTCTCAGCACAGTCTTTTACAGCAAAAATGCATGTCACCTCCTCCTAAAGGCTTTCCGTGGCCCACCCACCCAGATTCCTCCTTTATTGTGCAGACTCTTTCCTAACCCACACCTCATCTTAATTTATTTGCCTTCAATTCTGGGCGGCGGTGTTGGGGAGGGTCTCAATTTTCCCATGTATTTCCCAGTGTTTATTGAATACATGAGGCCATACTCTTCTAGTCTCTCTGCTTCTCATGCTAGGAACTGAACCGACCAGCCTATACTTTAAGGCTTGTTATTTCACTGACTAAGGAAAGGCTACTTAAGAGGGCAAGCTCAGACATACATAATCTGGAGTGGATCTTCCATGGGAAAACACGTATATAACAGAAATTATTGGCAAAACTATAAGTATGGTCTACAGAGTAAGTAATAATATTTTATTATTTATTTAGTTAGTTTTGAGACAGAGTTTCTCTCTCGTTGCCCAGGCTGGAGTGTAATGGCACGATCTCAGCTCACTGCAACTTCCACCTCCCAGGTTGAAACGATTCTCCTGCTTCAGCCTCCTGAGTAGCTGGGATTACAGACACCCACCACCACACCCCGCTAATTTTTTTTTTTTTTTTTTTTTTTTTTTGTAGAGACGAGGTTTCACCATGTTGACCAGGCTGATCTCAAACATCTGACCTCAGGTGATCCGCCCGCCTCAGCCTCCCAAAGTGCTGGGATTATAGGCGTGAGCCACCACACCCGGCCAATAATACTTTATCAATGTTGGCTTTCCTGTATTTAGTAACTGAGCTGTTTTTACACTAAAAAAAAATTCTATCTTAGAAACATGAAGAAGTGAAGAGGCATTATATATACAACTCACTGTTCAGTAGCTCAGGGTAAATATAATTGCATATGCAAAGATAAAGATGTAATGATAAAAATGTCAAGTGTTAGCACTTTACTAATATAGATAAAGAACATTCAGAAATTCTTTAAATTACTCTTAAAATTTGGGGGTATGAATTTTTATAAAAATAATGTTTTAAATCTTAAATAGTGAATAGAATTAAGAAAGTAACAAATTCTAATTCCTTCCTTTTTTTCTTTAAATTCTTCTAGATCCTGAATAATTTCTACTTAAACGTCCCAATATCAACTCTCTATTTTGCTATTGACATAATCTTATTTGAGAGGCAAAAAATTTTAAAAATTATATCATCTTTTTAATTTCTAAGCCCCAGAACAAGACAATTGGCAGCATTTTTTTCATGTCATTTTGCTACATTCTACATAATGTTAAGTTGAGGTTAGGGATTTTCATTTGTGGAGGAAGCTCTTACATTTAGTTTAATGAATCATAATTTTTTTAATGGAGAAGGAACAAAATACCTCATTGATTTTTCTATGAGTGGAGTTAATACACACAGCGGAGAAATCTCTTTGTTAATTCTACACTCTGCCTCTGATTGACACCTCTGCAAACAAAGATAAAGTAGATAAAACATGAATAATTCCAGGAAACTTATGCCCCAGAATACAGAATAATTTTGCATACATATGAATAGTAGGGCAATTCTATCAAATGATTCTTTTCTAATTCTTTATGGATGTACATAATGAAATATTCAGAACTACCACAACATTTAGAATAAGATAGAGCCTAACAATTTATTGTTGAATTAATGAAGATCGGTTAATTAATCCATGTTTTACATCAGCTTTCTTTGCCCTCAACCAGGAAGTCAGAGGCACCAATGTGAGGTTCCACCTGCTTTCCAGCACATTCTTGGTTTCCTCACTTCTGCTAGACAACGTTTGATCAGAAGGAACAGGGAACGAGAAGGAGCTGCTGGATGACGATAAGCCTGGGAAAGGGAGGCTGGGTGAGCAGAGACAGAAAAGAAACACCTACCTGCTGTGACCTCACAAACACCCAGGCTGAGTTTTGATAAGACAGGTTGAATCACACTGGGGTGACAGCCTCATCCCTCCAGGTACAAACAAGAACAGGCCATGGTTAACCAAAGCTCCCCCATGGGCTTCCTCCTTCTGGGCTTCTCTGAACACCCAGCACTGGAAAGGACTCTCTTTGTGGTTGTCTTCACTTCCTACCTCTTGACCCTGGTGGGCAACACACTCATCATCCTGCTGTCTGTACTGTACCCCAGGCTCCACTCTCCAATGTACTTTTTCCTCTCTGACCTCTCCTTCTTGGACCTCTGCTTTACCACAAGTTGTGTCCCCCAGATGCTGGTCAACCTCTGGGGCCCAAAGAAGACCATCAGCTTCCTGGGATGCTCTGTCCAGCTCTTCATCTTCCTGTCCCTGGGGACCACTGAGTGCATCCTCCTGACAGTGATGGCCTTTGACCGATACGTGGCTGTCTGCCAGCCCCTCCACTATGCCACCATCATCCACCCCCGCCTGTGCTGGCAGCTGGCATCTGTGGCCTGGGTTATGAGTCTGGTTCAATCGATAGTCCAGACACCATCCACCCTCCACTTGCCCTTCTGTCCCCACCAGCAGATAGATGACTTTTTATGTGAGGTCCCATCTCTGATTCGACTCTCCTGTGGAGATACCTCCTACAATGAAATCCAGTTGGCTGTGTCCAGTGTCATCTTCGTGGTTGTGCCTCTCAGCCTCATCCTTGCCTCTTATGGAGCCACTGCCCAGGCAGTGCTGAGGATTAACTCTGCCACAGCATGGAGAAAGGCCTTTGGGACCTGCTCCTCCCATCTCACTGTGGTCACCCTCTTCTACAGCTCAGTCATTGCTGTCTACCTCCAGCCCAAAAATCCGTATGCCCAAGGGAGGGGCAAGTTCTTTGGTCTCTTCTATGCAGTGGGCACTCCTTCACTTAACCCTCTCGTATACACCCTGAGGAACAAGGAGATAAAGCGAGCACTCAGGAGGTTACTAGGGAAGGAAAGAGACTCCAGGGAAAGCTGGAGAGCTGCTTAATATACTTTCGAAAGTAAGAAGAGTTTCTTCAAGATTTATGAACATGTTAAGTTTTCCAGACTACTACCCTTCCCACATACACCTGAGCCACTGTGGTGGGTCACAGTGTGGCTATGTTATCTATGAGAGGGAGAATGAGAAAGAGAGGGACAGAGAGATAAAAGAAATTGGGTGAGAGGAGATAGGTAGCTCCATAAGGCACACAAATTCAAATATTATCATTCCTATCACTGTCCATTCTTAATATTTCTATCCTCCATTCTGTTCTTTTTACTGTCATCACTTCTATAGATTTCCTAACTCCACCATGCCTATTTCTGGTTATATAATTGCTCTCCAATTGTCATGTCAGTGTAGGGGAACTACTCCATCATAGCATTCTGGACACCTTGCATGTATCTACGTAGGTCATGTAAGCAAAGGCTTGAAGAACAGCTAATCTGAGATTTAGAAGAATGCTTTTTGATCCTCCTGGAATATGAGAGGATGGGAGGCCCTTTAGAACCTGCCTCAATGCCATCTCTCACTCTCCTTCTTATATCCCTGGGAGTATGTCATGTGACAAGTCTTTACTGTCTCCCAGGTTTTGGATGGAGCATGGGGTTTTCTGCCCCACACCCTTTAGGATATAGCTGAAGAATATAATGAGGAATAGCTGGATTCTAGAACTGACTCCTCACCAGTGGTATATTCCACAACAGTGTCACAGTCGTCTGGCCCCTTTGGTTTCCGTGTCATCCTTTTTGGTGTGTAGGACAAGGAGCCAGGGAATTGGCACGTTTGGCTTTTACTTCTTTTTTATATGTAAATAATAAGCCATCTAAGTGTAAAAGTGGCTCATATCTTCTCCAGCCAAATCAGCTAGGCCATGGCCTTGCCTTGCTTCTCATGAGTGTGCTTGACAGTCATCACCGTCACTCTATCTTCATTTCTGGTTCTTACCGTGTTAGCTTAGTTCATTCAAGCTACTATCACAAGCTACACATAAATTGGGTGGTTTATAAATAACAAACATTTCTTTCTTACAGTTCTGGAGGCTGGAAACTCCAAGATTAAGGCAGATTTCATGCCTATTGAGGGCCTGCTTTCTGATTATAGAAGGTGACTTCTTGCTGTGCCCACACATGGTGAAAGGGACTACCAACTCTCTGGAGTCTCTTTTATGAGGGCACTAATTCCAATTATGAAGCCTCTTCCCTCATGACCTAATCACTGCCCAAAGGCCCCATGTTCTAATGCCATCATCTTGGTGGTTTAGGATTTCAACATATGAATTTTGGAAGGACATAAGCATTCAACCCCCTGCACATGTCTTCTTTCCTACTTCCTCAAGGTTCTTTCTGTCCAGTTGCTCCTTCTTCTATTGACCCTTTTTTGCCTTCTCTTTCTCCTTCACTGCCTCAAGTTACAGCCAGAGGAAAGGAGGAACTAAAACTTAGCAAATCTATAATCACATGCAAATACACAGAATGGATTGTTACAACCAAAATGCAGGCTCTATTGTTTTCAATTTAGCAGCCTTTCAAATGTATATGGTTCTGGCCACATTAAAGTTGCAAATAACACTTTTTTTGAGACTGAAATAAAGGTGAAATATTGGAAGGAAAAGTTTAATGTTTTATTTGTAGTATTTTTTTCCATTTTCCACTAAAGAGTCCAGAAAAAAAAAGCAAACATAATATAACCTTTGAGTTATAACAGAATATTTCAACAAGAACTTTGTTGCTATCAAGTAACCATATAGTATAGGTTACACAGAACTCCTATCTTCTGGATTAAGACTCCGTCTTCAAAGTATTTGGGCACCCTGGTTACTGAACATGAGCCAGAAGAAAATGAACTGCTTTTCCTTAAGCATCTCTCTACCCCTGGGTCACCTCCAGTGGAGTGGTATGTCAAGAAATGTAATTTGTCCTTTCTGATGCCATAATCTACCATATTTTTTTAAATTAAGTCATGCCAGGAGGAGATTTCTCTGCTCCTCATCACATGTTTCCACCAGAAACATGGGCAGCTCCGCATCTTGGGCTTCACCACCTTTAAGGTGAGGTGGATGGTCTTCTTCTTGGAAATTTCATAAGACGATAGCATTTTCTTGGGCTTTGGGGTCTTAAAGCCCAGCAGAAAAACCAAGTCCTGCATGGGAACCTTGGTCTTAGACCAGAGCTGTTCACCTACCTTCTTCACTCCATTTTAGCAGCCAATGTCATTAATTCCCATTCCTCACAATTGACACTCATTTAGGCAATTCTATATAAAGTTAAAATATTCTTCAGAAACGAAGATGAAGTAAAGATATTCTCAGTGAAAGTAGGTATCACCAACTCATCTGATTTAAAAGAAATGCTTTTAAGCATGGATTGCACTGCTTCAGGCAGAGAGGAAATAAAACCAGAGGGAAAATCAGAATATCATGAATGAAAAAGGAACAACAGAAAGAGTAATTATCTGGGTAAATGCAATCGTATATTATTCTCTTTTTGAATTATTTAAAATATGTATCTCTGTTGGAACTAAAAAGTACAACACTGATGGGGATTCATACAAATGTAATACATATGACAATTACTGAATAAACTAATAATAATAAATGGATCTATTCATTCTAAGTAGACCATGAAAGGGTAAATATTTATATCATAATCCCTAAAGCAACAATTCCAATAAAACAAAAAACCATACTGTTGTTATAGGCGTTTGAACCAGAGTGACTCCATCTTGAGTAGTGGCTGGGTAAAGTAAGGCTGAAACCTGCTGGGCTGCATTCCCAAAAGGTTAGGCATTCTCAGTCAGAGGATGAGATAGGAGGTTGGCATAAGATATAGGTCACAAAGATCCTGCTGATAAAACAGGATGCTGTAAGGAAGCCGGCCAAAACCAAGATGGCAATGAAAGTGACCTCTGGTCCTCCTCACTGTTCATTATACTCTAATTATAATGCATTAGCATGCTGAATGACACTCCCATCAATGCCGTGACAGTTTACAAATGCCATGGTAATGTCCAGAAGTAACCCTATGTAATCTAAAGAGGGGACGAACTTTCAGTTCTGAGAATTGCCCACCGTCTTCCCAGAAAACTTATGAATAATCCACTCCGTGTTTAGTATATAATCAAGAAATAACTGTAAGTATACTCAGTTGAGCAGCCCATGCCACTGCTCTGTCTATGGAGTAGTCATACTTTATTCCTTTACTTTCCTAATAAACTTGCTTTCATTTTATGGACTCGCCCCAAATTCTTTCTTACATGAGATCCAAGAATCCTCTCTTGGGGTCTGGATTGGGGCCCCTTTCCAGTAACACAGTGACATCAACAAAAATAACAGAGTAATGACTTCCAAAAATGACCTACTTCCTAAGAGTAAAATGAACTATGGAAGAATTGTCAGAATTAATATTGTTTAGAACTCTAGAAATTAACCAAAGGCTTGCTGCAATCTGGGGAGTGTTTGTTCAAGAATAATAGCTGAATCTTGATAAGAACAGTGAGCTCTGTGATGTTTTAACTGGTTCCACTCCTGTTCCTTCCTCCTCAGCTCTTAAAAACCAACGGTCCACAATCATGGTGAAAACCAGCAGACATGAAATCACTGGAGGGGACACAATAGGGTTACAGATCCTTTAATCCCTTATTTCCAGAGGACTGTTATTATTTTACCTGTCTGGTTGTTCCCTAGAACTCACAATGCTATCCTTATTTGACTTGACTCAGAGCTATCCCAGAGAGAACAATGTATTTCCTGGGGAAATGAGTAAAAAGAATCATAGGCAGTTGTTGAACATCATGGTTGCCGACGGTCATAAATAACAGTTGGAACAAACAATAGCCTAACCAAGAACTTAAAAACGAAATGTCAGGGAATGAGATGCCCATAAAGGGGATTGAAAAGCCTTAATATACTCCAGAAAGTTCCGACGGCCACATGCATGCATAGATGTGGGCATGACAAGTGCTGCATATATGCTTTGAACAGACCTGAGCAGGCTCTAAGCTCTAACCCTGAATAAGTTTGAGGCACTGCACAGACAGGAAATGAAGGCTAGGACACAGTGTAAACTGCTTGGTTGGGCTTTGAAGACCTGTATCTACCTGCACACAGAGCCTCTCTACATACACTGGGAGACATTACTTCCAGGAACCTAAGGAAATCTTTGTCCAGTCTTTACCTGGCCACTAAGCTAACCAAGCAGAGACTTCAGTGGCCACGTTGAACAACAACAACAACAAAAACAAAACAAAACAAAAAAACAAAAAAGAACAGACTTGACAGATAGTTTTTAAAAACCTGATCAAAAAACATCCACTAGCAATAGTAAAATCTGGGAACAGAAAAAATATGACTTCCAGAGTTGCCACATTATACTGTTTAAAATGCTAAGTTAAAAAAGAAAGAACGAAATAATACAACATGCAAAGAAACAATAAAGTAAGGCCCATACACAGAAAAACAAGCAGTTAGTAGAAACTGTCTCTGGGACCAGGCTCTGAAGGAGGTGTCTGCCTCAGTGCATCCAAAACAGCCAGGTAACCTTTGCTTTGGGACTGAAGTAATGGCTCTGATTCTGAGATGAGAGCTCACACTAGCCCTTAATTTAATCTTTACTTGAGGTGAAATTCAATGGATTATTAGAATGGGCCCTAATCCAGTAGGACTAGTGTCCTTATAAGAAGACGAGATTAGGATACAAACACCACAAGGGACAACGATGTGAGGACACAGGGAGAAGATATCCATCTAGGAGCCAGGGAAAGAGTCCTCAGAAGAAACCTATCCTGCCCACTCCTTGATCTCAGACTTCCTGCCTCCTAGAACCGAGAGAGAATAAACTTCTGTAGTTTAAGCTACTCGGTTTGTGGTCTCAGTCACGGGAGTCCAAGCTGATGATCACAGTTGTGATGAGAACTTTACAAATTGAATCATGGGAAGTCTTGCAATAGTGAGATCTACGACCTGGTAGATCCTATAATCCTATAATCTGAGATGCTGATTCTACAACTCTGAGCTGCTAACGCTTTGCTTCTGGGTCACAGAAGCTTCTGGAAATAAACTTGTCCCACAAACTGATAAATGCCTGTGATTTTTCTAGAAATATGCCACAGGCAACCCTGGCATCTGCAGTCACATGTCAGTATATCAGTGGGGTTTCAGGAGAAGTTTAGGGATCAGCTCCAAGTGAACCTAGTGTTTCAATCTTCCCTCCTTGCTGGGATGATGGAGTCCCCTTCAGTCAAGGCTCTGTTGAAATGAAAGGGTCTGTTCCCAGTTCCACTCTTCCCACCCAGGGTTCTGGACTGTTAATGGTTGTCCTTTTTTTGTTTTCTTCCCGTTGATTCTTTTACCATCTTCCTCCTCTTACTGATTTTGCGTGAAGGGGGGTTTTGATGGAGGTAAGGTAGCTGATAAGAAATGAGGTAGTGAGAAAACTAGTGAGGGGTCTTCTGGCTGTCCCCAGACAGTCCTCGTGTGGTCCCCAGCCCAGCCTGCAGGTTCTGGGCTGGCTACCTCTTGGCCTCTGTGCTGTGTGTCTAGAGCTGGCCTCTAAGGGAAGGGCCCTGTGAGACCTGGCAGAACAGGGTAACTGGTCCAACAAACATCCCTCCTTTCCTCTGGCTCCACAGCTCAGGATTAGATCTAGATAGCATGTCCAGTAGGTGCCAGACTACCTCATTATATCCTGTGAGATGGGCCCAGAGGGCCTTGAGGTGGGTAAGCTTGAAGCTGGGCACCCAGAGCCTGAGACTGACAGTTCCTCCCTCCCTGTATCCTGCAGGAGGGGCCCTGTCCCAACAAGAGCCCCAGGGCCTGGCCTGAGGGTGTGGATGTGGGGAGAGGAGGGTCTGTGGGCCCAGGAGGGGGCATTTGTAGGGGACATTGAGTACTGCAGCTCAGAAGACATGAATGACAGGGTGGGAGGTGTCTTCCATGTCTGTCCATGGCACAGCACCCCTGTGATTCCCAAGGGCTGCCAGGGGCCCATTCATCTGAGCTCTTTATAGATCCTACATATGAGTCCTTCATCAGATGTGAGATTGAAACCACTTCCTCCAGCCTGGAACTTGCCTTTTCATTCTCCCCACAGGGTCTTTCAAAGTGCACACATCTTATATTTTGATGAAATCCAATTGATCAATTTTTTCTTTTATGCATCATACTTTTTGTATTCATCCAAGAAATATTTTCCTAACCATAAGTTACACTGATATTCTCTTTTCTTTTCTTACATACAGCTTACAGCTTTAGGTCTTACATTATGGTTTATGATAAATTCTGAATTAATTTTTATGTATGATGCCACGTATGGATTGAAGTTCTGTTCATATGTGCATATGTATATCCAATAATTCTAAGGACCGTTTGTTGCTAAGATTGTCCTTTCTCCACTGAATTTACTTTACACCTTCTTCAAAATCAATTGAAGATATATGTTAGGGTCTATTCTGGACCCTCTTCTGTTCTGTTGACCTATTTGTCCATCCTGTTACCAATATCACACCATCTGGATTTCTGAACCTTTATAATAAGCCTTGAAGTCGGGTATTATAAACTGTCTCACTTGCTTCTTCTTTTTTCAAAGTTTTTTTTTTTTTTTTTAACTATTCTAGGTCTACTGCATCGCCACACACAGAATCACTTTCTCATGAACATACATACATGTGCACCAGAAATATAAATATATGCACATCAAGACCAAGTGAAATTTATCCCAGGGATACTAGGCAGGTTTAACATGAAAAATGAGCCAATATAATTCACCACATTAACAGATTAAAAGGCAAAAACATTATTTCAGCAGATTCAGAAAAAGCATTAGACAAAATCCAATAGGCTCATAAAAAATTTCAGTCAACTAGGAATAGAAACGAAGTTTCTCAAAATGATAAAAGGCAGCTACCAAAAAAAAAATCCTATGGTTGATATTTAGTGGGTATTACCCTTAATAATGAAAGACTGGATGCTTTCACCCCAGATGAGGAACAAGCCAAGAATGTTGGCTCTCACCACTTATTTCAGCGTCTTAAGAAGATACCATCAGGGCAAAGGACTCCTTCCTTAAATAGACACAGATTTCCATGTGGAGTCATTATTCTCTTGCTGGATGTATGTCTTTTACCACTTCTCAGTCTGCATATCTCCTGGTGATGATTTGTTTCATCTTTTTTGTGTCTCCAAAAACCTCTTTATTTTGCCATCTCTTTGGGAAATATTTTGACTGTGTAAAAAATTTTAGGCTGACAAATTTATTTCTTTTAATATTTTAAAGAATTTTCTCCACTGTCATACAACTTGCAACTTTCCAACAAGAAATCTGCTTCATTCTTATCTTTGATTTTCTGTACATATATGTCTTGTTCTTCTCTGGCTGTTTGTAGGAGGACTCAGTTTCCTGGGCATAGATATGCACGGGAAAGATGCAGTAACTACATCAAGTGTGGTGTTGTCCAAGGGTGGATAAATAGGCCAACAGAACAGAGCAGAAGGCCCAGAGACAGACCCACATAAGTCTAAACATGATTGATAACCAAAAATCAGAACAATAGTGAAGGACTATATTTGTTATAAATGTGCTGGGACCATTGGATAACAATCAGCTAAGTGGGCCAAGCAGCCTTTTGGCTTAGGCTGAAGCAGGATAATAATGTTACCTATTAATAGAGTGTGAAAACTGGCTTCATGTTTTCACAGTGATTAGAGCAATATTGAGATACAGTAAATCATCAGTGAACATATTTGCTCTAGTTGCTATTGCTACTATTCATCTTCCTGTCCCGTGCAGCGTCTTATGGTTACCATGATTCAAGTGCCTCCTGGTGAGGCCGAAACTCCACAAGACACTCTGGTCAGTCCTGGGGTACAGTTTCTTCCAGGTGGCAGAGGCTCAGTCCTGGTCACCCGCTGATCCCTTCTCAGGATGTGCCACACAGTTCTGCCCTACTGCGGGGTGAATGCTGGGATGCCTCTCTCTTTAAAAATTCCAAACAAGGGAACTGGTGTGAGAGGGTGGGTGCCTCCACTCCCTCAGCCCTTATTTCCAGGTGGGGATCACCCCAGAGGAGTAATTCTTGAGATGTGGTCCCCAACACCTTTTTAGGGGAAGGGAGGCCAACATAATCTTCAGGTAATACTTGAAGTATTGAAGTGAGTCTGTGTTTCTCACACTCATGCACTCCTGAGTGAAAGTGGAGTTTTCCAGAGACTGTATGAGGTGAGATGAAGCCGCCAACTGGAAAACTACACCAATGCAGAAGCAGCTGTGAATGTCCAGCTTGCTGCTGGGCCTCTAAGAGGTCTGCAAAATACAAAACCATCTTGCTCTTCTCAATAACATAACTTTTTAAAGAAAACATAGTTATTTTTTCTAAAATTTATTCATGTTTACATGGAATAGGCATACAATTTATGTTCTAAAGGAGTTAATAAGTAAACATTTGTAAAGTTCTGAGTTATAATTACTAATACTGTAAATATTGAAAGATACAACCCTGATCCACAAAAGTTCTTTGAGCTGCTCAATACTATTTAAGACTGAGAATCTCAGGTCTATTTTAAGCTCTGGGCTCTCTCTCTTTCCCCGCACTTTTTCCCTCCCGGGGAGAAGGAAAGAAACTGATGAGTGAGTTTGGAAGAATAACCTGGAGTGAGTGCTCCCTTCACCAGTGGGTGGTGAGTTCCCCAGAAGGACTGCTTTCCTCCAAAGAGAGATGGGCAGGAAGAGGGAGGAGGGATGGGATCCTCTGGAGTAGGTACCATTTAAGGGGCACTTTTGAAAGTCAGTTTTTTAGACATCCAAGCCCCTTTCTCCAGTTCAATTTTAGGAGCAATAGAAGTAATGCATTGTTCTCCATCTGACACTGTCCTCATTCCTTCATTCACTTTCATCAGTAGTTCTCAATTCCAGAGGGAAGGAAGGGGATTACTTACTAAACTGTAATAGTCCATACCTAGCCTTGACATTTTTGTTTTTCTGAGTGAGTGAGAGAATTCAGGAAACTGAGGACTGTCTGTGTTGCCAGGAGCTCATCAGCTGCAAGGATAATAGAGACGTTTCCACAAAAAACTAAAGAACCATAAGCCAGATGCTCACCTCCAAGGGAACTGTTGGCCCAGGGTAAAGGCACATAAAATGCCCAAATTGTATCCCCTGCCTGAACATAGCAGCAGCCCAACTCTGTGAGATCAACCTGCCTCTTACTTCCAGGCATCCAAACTTCACGGGCTAAAGTCCTAACCCTGAATGTGACAATATTTTGAGATAGGGCCTTTAAAGAGATAATTAAGGCTAAGGAGCTCATAAGACTGAGGTCCTAATCCTAAAGAATTAAAATCCTCATAAGAATAGAAAGTGTCCCCAGGGATGTGGGTACACAGAAAAAGGCCATGTCATGACACAGGGAGAAGGCGGCCATCTCAAGTCAAAGAGGGAGGCCTCAGGGGAAGCCCACCCTGCTGATACATTGATCTTGAACTTCCAAGCTCCAGGACTCTGAGAAAATAAATATCTGCTGTTTGTAGCCTAATCTATGGCATTTTGTTAGAACAAAACACGCTGACTAAAGACAGGCAGCCCGGATCAGCCCTTCTGTGCTCTAGGGCCAGGGTTTCTGCCATTCACTTATCAAAGGACAACATCAAATTATGTAAATCAAACTCTGTTTCAAATTCTAGTGTGATGTGAAACAAACTAATAGGAGATATGAACATGTCCCTATCAATTTTGTCATTTACACTAGGCAGAAATCAATATGATCCAAGTAACAGCATTTAAAGAATTGCTGTAATCTAAACATCTCAGAATTGCTTTAGAATGTATCACATTGAATATCTAAAATAAGAGAATGTACATTGCTTACCAGTATCACTGGCACATTTACAAACCTGAGCAAGTTTTCGGCAACAGAGAAAACAGTGTGAATTTCACATAACAGTCATAGTATTATACAAGTGACATTTTCCAAGTGAGTAAAAAACTGACAAATCAATTACAAGAACACTGGGAACAATCTCCAAAGACGTGTTCGTCGAATTCTAGTTAGAATATGGTTGGGAAGCCTCAAGAAGGCAGAGACAATGAAAACATGTGGAAACATGCAAGGTGGAAAGGTGGACTAGTGAGCGATGGATAACATCAGATGATGGGGGGTTAATGTCAGACTTGCAGGGCATTTTGCTACTTGCTGGGAATTTGCTAGGGTAGGAGGAAGGTGTGGCCTCTGCCCTACTGGGGCTTCAAGTGCAAATGAGGCAGGAGTACAATAAACTGATAACAACACACAACACAGAATACATAGAAAATAATTATAGACAATTATCTTCACATTAAAAGAAACAAACCTTTTAGAGAAGAGTCAAAAAGGGGTGGAGATTTAAATGGGGTGGTCTGGACAAACATCTTTAAGGAGTGAAGGGTGAAAAAGAGTAAAATGTACAGATAGTGTTGAGGGAGTGCTCTAAGCAGGGAAGGGAGAAAGGGACCTTGCAAGGTTGGGCGCGAGTCTGGTGCAAACAAGGGAGAGAGTGAATCCTGTGTGAGGATGTCATGGGACAAGGTCAAATGGTGCACCTGAGGACAACTCAGGGGGTGGACACCATCCTGAAATCTAAGAGTTACGCTGGCTGGGGTGCAATTGAACAAATGAAGCAGGGTGATGTGCTGCTGTGATGGCTATAGAGCATTGACGGGATGGAGCTGGGGCTGGTCAGGGGCTCTCATTAAGGTTCTGACCATGGTGGGTGCCGGGCAACACCCTGGTCAGGGTGGGGAAGAATGCATGACATTCTGCAGGGTGGGATTCCTGTGAAGAAGCACAGGCGCTAGATTGTGTGATGAGTCTGGGAAAAACACAGAGAGTAGCCTGTGCGTGGAACCTGGAATGAGCAGAGTGAAACAGCTTGGAGAAACCAGGCTGTAGGCCAGACTGCCAGCGTTAGATCTCTCCACAGTGAGCAACGCCAGAAACAACTTGTTATGGCACTCTTACTGAATCGCTTTCCTGGCTTTTGTAGGAAGGGATGGATGGAAACTTGAGGCCATAATGGTGGAGGAACATCAGGATCATGAATCAGTCTCTGCCCAGGGGTCCCCAGGAAGGATGGACTGGGGTGACAGAGGACAGAACTCCGAGCAAGGTGACTGAATAAGGATGAATGACACTTGTCACTCTCAGAAATATGGAGCTTGCAGAAGCCAGGAAGGTTGAACTAGTTTACAGTCCCACCAACAGTGTAAAGATGTTCCTATTTCTCCACATCCTCTCCAGCACCTGTTGTTTCCTGACTTTTTAATGATCACCATTCTAACTGGTGTGAGATGGTATCTCATCGTGGTTTTGATTTGCATTTCTCTGATGGCCAGTGACTATAAACTAGTTCAACCATTGTAGAAGTCAGTGTGGCGATTCCTCAGGGATCTAGAACTAGAAATACCATTTGACCCAGCCATCCCATTACTGGGTATATACCGAAAGGATTGTAAATCATGCTGCTATAAAGACACATGCACACGTATGTTTATTATGACACTATTCACAATAGCAAAGACTTGAAACCAACCCAAATGTCCAACAATGATAGACTGGATTAAGAAAATGTGGCACATATACGCCATGGAATACTATGCAGCCATAAAAAATGATGAGTTCATGTCCTTTGTAGGGACATGGATGAAGCTGGAAACCATCATTCTCAGCAAACTAGTGCAAGGACAAAAAAACCAAACACCGCATGTTCTCACTCATAGGTGGGAATTGAACAATGAGAACACATGGACACAGGAAGGGGAACATCACACTCTGGGGCCTGTTGTGGGGTGGGGTGAAGGGGGAGGGATAGCACTAGGAGATATACCTAATGTTAAATGATGAGTTAATGGGTGCAGCACACCAACATGGCACATGTATACATATGTAACAAACATGCACGTTGTGCACATGTACCCTAAAACTTAAAGTATAATAAAAAAAGAAAAATAAAATAAAATAAAATAAAATAATTAGCTGGAAAAAAAAAAAAAAAGAAGAAGCCAGGAAGGTCTGCTTTGCTCCTGACCTGCCTTTCCAGAGGGTTTCCATGGGAATTGAGAATAATGGGCTATCAACAGAAGCAAAGTAATTTTGTCTTGAATTCAGTCAGAAATCTGGTTACTCTGAAAATACACAAAGGTAATAAATAATCTCAAGAACATTCACCCTGCTCCTTGGAGGATCCAGCATGTTTTCCAGACATGATCCCTTTTACAGCCTTGTGCATAGGCAGTCCCTGCCTTTGTGGAGGAGCTGAGCCCCCTAGAAGAGCAGTTTGTTTCCAGCTGTGAGGCTGAAATCTGCCCTGGGATCGGGGGCCTGAAACGCCTCATTTTATCCATGCCTCCATCTCACTCAACAAAGCCCTCTGAAAAACAGCCTTTAGGGACTCCCTGTGCCTCTTCCTGTAGAGTTACTCAGCCAAGAAGTAGATGACTAGGTGAGGCATGCTGACCACAATGGACAGTAGCAACAGGAGGTCAAAGGCAAGGGTCAGAAACTTTCCTGGCAGGCACACAAGGACAACTAAGGGCAGGACCCAAAGGAAGAAGCTGATGATCACAAAGCAGACAACATGATAGGTCCTGATGGGGGAACACCACTGGGGACAGCACAGACCCCAGATGATCAGGATCAGCTTGGACATGCCCATTACAAAGCAAATAAGTACATGACATGTCATAAAGCCTCATGAAATTGGTCACATGCCAAGCACTTCTCCCAGTACTCACAGACCTGGCTAACTGCATACAAAGAAAGGGCCAGGGCCCACCTCACCATGGCAGAGGTGTGCTCTGGGCGGTGGCAGCACCAGGTGGGACAGAGGGCACAGAGAAAGCTCTCAATACTCATGGCCACCAGGAGACAGAGACCCACTGTGTCGGAGAAATAGGAGACAGGATCCAGAAACACAGCCACCTGCAATGCCGCCTGGTGATACAGCATGAGGATTTTCTCCAGCAGGATCACAGTTACACAGGAGAGGTTGACCATATCAACAGTGGCCAGGTTAAGGATGTAGGTCACATAGGGGCTGCTCCAGACCTGTGAGTAGAGAAGCCAGCAGATCACATCATTGCCTACCAGTCCACAGAGGGCCACCAGCACTGTCAGGGAGAAGACCACCTGCCTGTCCACCAACCACTCACCTCCCGTATGGCTCATGTTCACATGTCCTGAGGTCTCAGTCTCATTGTCCCAATCCAGCTTTCCAGAGAGGGTTGCGAGAAGCTAGGCTATGGTGGGCTACCTTTGCTGCCTGCGCACATCCTGCAAAAACAAAGGCTGGTAACATACCAGGTCTGGAGAGGAGAGTCAGGGTTGCCCTCTGTCCTCAGAGGTTCCTGCTGAGCCTCATGAGATTGGCAGGGATTCTGCAGAGCAGAGTGGAGGAAAGGAGCAAGCTTCTTGTGGGAGACCCATCCCTTCCCTCCCAGATTCTCCATTGCAGGATGCCCTCTCATGCATACCCTTACCCCTCTCTCCACCGCATTCAGTTATCCCTGATGCTTCATGCTGTGCCCAAGGCCCAGTGTGTATCCCGTGCACCCAGATTATCTATAAGGCTGCATAAAAAAATACATTTGTTTACATTAGCCCATAGGGATGGTTCTCCAACTTTCCCACTGGTACAGGCTGTTTTTGTGACATCGTTTTGGTGGGGGCACTGAGTGACTACTTTACCTTGAGGTTCTGAGACTCCTTGAGTCCTGGATGGGGAGGTTGCTGGTCAGTACTCAAGGGAAGGGCTCCCAACCTTGCTCCTGCTCACCTCTTCTCTGTTAGCTCTCAGGCCTCCTCCCTGGACCTTTGCACATGCTGTTCTCCTGCTTGGAAGAGCCTCTGTGCCTCAGTGAGCTCGGTCTCCTCCTTCCAGTCTCTGCCTCAGGGTCACCTTCCAGGTGATCTTCTGCTGATCAGCCTTTAAACATTGCACTCTTGACCTGCTGGCAGTCTATGATATTCACTTACTTGCTTTTGTGGGAATCATGCCCTGGAATGGAAGTTCCATGAGAATTTACTTTGTCTTTAAAATTCTGTTCACTGCCTTTTCTCCAGCCCCTGGAACAGGGTTTGACACTGAGGAGCTACTTGGGGAGGGTGCCTGCAGAGGACTTAAGTTGCTCTGTTACATGTAGGTGAGAGCAGGGGACCCTGCACACCAGAAGCTGCTTCATGGGGTCCCGAGGGAGACATGCACTTGAGCCATGGGCTCTGTCCACTTCAGGAGCAGGCACTCCGCTTCAGGCTGCCAATCACAGGTCTTTGTGTGAAGAATTGTGCAGGGAGGGCAAAGGTACCACTTTGCCTTAGAATTTCCTAGTTTGTATTCCTGAAAATTCCTTGTCCTGAATATCCCGATAGCCCTGGGAAAACCAAGCTGGTTGGTCACCTAACTAAAAATGAAACGGGAGAGGATCAATACCTCTTCTGGGAACCCACAGCTGAGTCAAACCTAGTAACCTGGGAGTTCAGGCCAAGGGTATGAAAGCTGATCTTATGTGGGCAAATCACAGCTATCTTTGATAAGCAGTGGATCCTTTTCTGCCTCAGTATTCCCAGCTATCTAAGGGTTGCTGTTATTAGCTGAATTGTGACCTTCTAAATTCATATGTTAAGGTCCTAACCCCTAATACTTCAGAATGTGACTGTGTCTGCAGACAGAATCTTTGAAGAGGTAATTATGTTAAAATGGGTCTTTAGGTTGGGCCCTAATCCAATAGGACTGGTGTCCTCATGAGATGAGGAGATTAGGATTAGTTAAACACACAGGGACAACCATGTAAGCATGCAGGGAAAAGACAGCCATCTACAAGCCAAGGAGAGAGGTCTCAGAAAGAACCGACAGTGCCGACCCCTTAATCTCAGAATTCCAACCCCCAGGACTGTGACAGAATAGACTTCTATCATTTAAGTCACTCAGTCTGTGGTCTTAGTCATGGGAGTCCAAGCTGATGATCACAGTAGTGAAGAGAACTTTATACATGGAATCATGGGAAGTCTCAGAATGGTGAGACGAACCTGGTCCTACAACCCTGAGCTACTGAAGCTTTGTTTATGGATCACAGAGGCTTCTAAAACAAAGATTGTTCCACAAATTGATGAAAGCCTAAGATATGCCAGGAAATATCTCACACGTGACCCTGTGATCTGCAGTCACATATTGGTGCATCAGTGGGGTTTCAGGAGAGTGCTAGGGACCAGCTCCAAGTGAGCCCAGTGTTTGAATCTTCCCTCCTTGCCAGGATGATGGAGTTCCCCTTCAGTCAGCAGCTCTGTTGAAATGGAAGGGTCTGGCCCCAGTCTCGCCCCTCCCTGTGCCTGTTGCCTAGACTTTCTTATCTGAGGCCAGGAGAGGAAAGCAGATCCAGCTTATATCTAATCTGGTCATAAGACGAGGCTTGGGGCTTAGTAACATTGGTGTCCATGGAAACATCAGGCTGATGTGCGGTTCTGTGCCCAGGCCAGGGTGTCAGAACTCGTGATGGTGACAGAAGAGAAACTGCAAACAGGACTCCATGGCCCACCCCAGGCCACCAGGGCACCAAGCAGGAGCAGCTGGGCTTTGGTCTCCAACAAGGAGAGGAGATTTATAGATAAAATAGTTTCATGGGAAGAAGTGACTTCCCCTCCAGCCAGAAGAAAAGATCCGCTATGGAGGTGGCATGTGGCCTCAGGGGCAGAGTCATGCTTCCCATTCCTGAGCTCATTGAAACCCAGCTCATGCCCAGAGACGACCACTGAGCCCAGTGACTGAGCAGTACATTCTTCATTGTCACCTAGGA
The DNA here is from genome assembly GCF_000001405.40 of Homo sapiens. Taxonomy (NCBI): domain Eukaryota; kingdom Metazoa; phylum Chordata; class Mammalia; order Primates; family Hominidae; genus Homo; species Homo sapiens. The sequence continues at coordinate 29,478,527 of NC_000006.12, forward strand.
GGAGGAGGCAGCCCTCCTGGGGTGGAGAGGCCTCGGCATCTGGTGTGGCCCCAGCACTGGGCATAGAGACATCCTGGTACTTGGAAATGTCATTTGTGGTCTTGGGAATGTCATTTCCAAGTTGGGTCATGAGCCAGGCTCCCCAAGGAGTAGATACAACAGGCTGGATCCTGGGATTCAGGGAGCCAGCGCTGTTGGAAGTGCTCAGTTTGGTGCAGCCAAAATAGCCAAGTAGCCTTTGCATTGGGATTGAAGTATTTGCTCTGATTCTGAGGCGAGAGCCCACCCTCCCCACTTAATTTTTATCTGAGGTGAAATTCACATAACAGAAATTAACCAATTTAGAGTGCACAGTTCTGCCTCACTTTGCCTCTTCACAATATTGCGCAACCCCCAACTCTATCTAGTTCCAAAACATTTTCATGCCCCATAAGGATGCCCTTAGCAGTTACATCCCTTTCTCCCTCCCAGCTCTTGGCAACCACCATCTGCTTTCTGTCTCTGCGCATTCACCCATTCTGGACACGTCCTATTAGTGGAATCAAACCTTCCGTGACATTTTGTTTCTGTTTCTTTCACTCAGCCTCATGTTTTCATGGCTTGTTCATGGTGCAGCATGTGCCAGAACTTCATTTTCTGTGTTAGATGAGAATTAAATACGAATATAGAAGCTGGGAAATTGGAAAATCTGAAAGGTTACACCCAGAAGTCATAGACCACACCTCAGTAACACAGTGGCTCAAATCCTACTTCTAACAGAAAAACACACCCTCTGCCCATCTACACAGCCAGGGCACCTGTGAACCAGGGACCAGAACACAGAAGTAGCTCACCCACTGGGGCTACCTTGGGAACCGCAGGCCCTCCTTTTTCCAGGAAACTGGTTTCTATCCTGTCAATCTTCAAATGCACCTTCCTCAGTAAAAAAAAAATCACAAGGTTTTAAATTTTTTTAAAAAATGAGTCTTTGAGTTAAAATGCTTTGAAAATGAAAAAAAAGGTAGAGACCTTTTTTCTCATACCTGGGAGGACTTGGACGGACTTGGTATCACAGAGGCCAACCTCCTGAGAGATCAAAGTTCTGCCCTCATGTCAGGAAGCTCTCTAAGCATATCTGCTTTGAACTGGGTCTTGACAAGCAGTTATCAAGTTCCCTGTGTCCCTTAGGTCTTCCTGTACCAGGGCCACTTGCATATCAGAGCCCAGGCCTTTAACTGAAGCATCTTTATCTCAACATCTCACGATATCCCCCAATCCTGTCTGACTCTATTACTCTGTCCTTAAGAACTGTCCCCTGAAACAAAGAAGAATCTTTAAGAGAAGTCAGTCTCTCCACTTTAATGCATCTCCCAGACTGAGGTCCAGCCCAGCCCAACCCATCCTAGAAGGCAGAAGAGGAAAGTCAGGTCAGCATTTTCCCAATGAACTCAGGAATTCCAGTAGCTCAAACGTGCTCCTTGGATTTTGTCATGAATTGAATTGCATGTTTTGTAAAGTAAAATTAATGTAAGAACTTTACTTTGCTGTCTTCTCAAAGATCAATTTGCTCTTTCTTGATTTTCTCTAGTGCATGTTTGTTTTTGTTGGAAAATTAGTCATGAATGATCCATAAACATAATGTAAAGAAGTCTTGGGAATGTTTTTGTGCTGTGCCACTTACCAAGCAGGTTCTGACACAACATATTGGCAAATTCTTACTGAAAGCCAGATCAAGCTCACACTCCATGTATCCTCATGCTATTCCCCTCCGTTCACCTACAGCTGTTTGTGAAGGAGCCAGCTGATCATTTCATATAGACTTTTGTTCACATGTGGCTCAACTTGAGAAAAATGAGATGGATGCAAGGCTCCTTTCGTTGGTTTCTCTAGCAATTCATGCATTTCTAGCTTGAAGTTGCTTCTTATCCCTGCAGGAAATAATCTTTTATTATATTCCCTCTTAAAACCTTGTGGTTAAATGTGATTCACATAGTGGGGCAGATGGTTTCTGTATGGTTCTACAGTGACCAGGAAGGAGAGATATATAAGAATGAAATACACTATGATCAAAGGGTGACAAGATGTTAAAATACACCCCTCCTTGTCCTTCGGTGCTGACTGGCTGTTTACCTCACTGCAGAGATAGAATCTGAGAAGACCTCAAGGTCACATAGGGAATGTGACTTTATGGGACAGTACTGATCCTCCCTACAAGGGAGCCATTAAGGGTCTAGAGCAGCTGTTACCTTTGGTCCTATCTCCTCTATATTTCATGTAGTTTTTATATTCAAGAGATTGTGGATCTTGAATTTTTTTATTATATGTACCCAAATTATTTTTTCATTATTATTATTTTTTAAATTATACTTTAAGTTCTGGGATACATGTGCAGAACTTGCAGGTTTGTTACATAGGTATACATGTACCATGGTGGTTTGCTGCACCCATCAACCCATCGTCTACATTAGGTATTTCTCCTAATGCTATCCCTCCCCTAGACCCCCACCCCCAACAGGCCCCAGTGTGTGATATTCCCTGCCCTGTGTCCATGTGTTCTCATTTTTCAATTCCCACCTATGAGTGAGAACATGCCGTGTTTGGTTTTCTGTCCTTGCGATAGTTTGCTGAGAATGATGGTTTCCAGCTTCATCCATGTCCCTGCAAAGGACATGAACTCGTCCTTTTTATGGCTGCATAGTATTTCATGGTGTATATGTGCCACATTTTCTTAATCCAGTCTATCATTGATGGACATTTGGGTTGGTTCCAAGTCTTTGCTATTGTGAATAGTGCCGCAATAAACATACGTGTGCATGTGTCTTCATAGTAGCATGATTTATAATCCTTCGGGTATATACCCAGTAATGGGATCACTGGGTCAAATGGTATTTCTAGTTCTAGATCCTTAAGGAATCACCACAGTCTTCCACAATGGTTGAACTAATTTACACTCCCACCAACAGTGTAAAAGCCTTCCTGTTTCTCCACATCCTCTTCAGCATCTGTTGTTTCCTGACTTTTTAATGACTACCATTTTAACTGGCATGAGATGGTATCTCATTGTGGTTTTGATTTGCATTTCTCTAATGACCAGTGATGATAAGCCCTTTTCATATGTTTGTTTGCCACATAAATGTCTTCTTTTAAGAAGTGTCTGTTCATATCCTTCATCCACTTTTTGATGGGGTTGTTTGTTTTTTTCTTGTAAATTTGTTTAAGTTCTTTGTAGATTCTGGATATTAGCCCATTGTTAGATGGATAAATTGCAAAAATTTTCTCCCATTCTGTAGGTTGCCTGTTCACTCTGATGATAGTTTCTTTTGCTGTGCAGAAGCTCTTTAGTTTAATTTAATTAATTTGTCAATTTTGTCAAATTTTGTCAATTTTAATTAGTGTAATTTGTCAACTGAACTAAAATTTGTCAATTTTAATTAGTTTAATTTGTCAATTTTGGCTTTTGTTTCCATTGCTTTTTGTGTTTTAGTGATGAAATCTTTGCCCATGCCTATGTTCTGAATGATATTGCCTAGTTCTAGGGTTTTTATGGTTTTAGGTCTCATGTTTAAATCTTTAATCCATCTTGAGTTAATTTTTGTATAAGCTGTATAAAAGGGGTCCAGTTTCTGTTTTCTGCATATGGCTAACCATTTTCGCCAACACTATTTATTAAATAGGGAATCCTTTCCCCATTGCTTTTTTCTGTCAGGTTTTTCAAAGATCAGATGCTTGTAGATGTGTGGTGCTATTTCTGAGGTCTCTGTTCTGTTTCATTGGTCTATATATCTGTTTTGGTACCAGTACCATGCTGTTTTGGTTACTGTAGCCTTGTAGTATATTTTGAAGTCAGGTATCGTGATGCCTCCAGCTTTGTTCCTTTTGCTTAGAATTGTCTTGGCTACACAGGCTCTTTCTTGGCTCCATATGAAATTTAAAGTAGTTTTTGCTAATTCTGTGAAGAGAGTCAATGGTAGCTTGATGGGGATAGCATTAAATCTATCAATTACTTTGGGCAGTATGGCTTTTTTCACGATATTGATTCTTCCTATCCACAAGCATGGAATGTTTTCCCATTTGTTTGTGTCCTCTTTTGTTTCCTTGAGAAGCAGTTTGTTGTTCTCCTTGAAGAGGTCCTTCACATCCCTTGTATGTTTTTTTTTAAGAAACAGAATCTCACTTTGTTGCCCAGACTGGCATGGAGTGAAATGATCTCGACTCACTGTCTCAAATTCTTGGTTTCAAGAGCATCCTCTGTTCCCACTCTCTCATGATACCTAATACTGGTGATTATCAGGCTCAAGTCCTGCCTATAGTCATGTATCTGAAACACAATTGGGATTCTATCCAGGGACTCTTGTCCACAGGACACCCCTAATAAGATTGGCCTCCCCCATATAGTGTATCTCTTATGCTTTTCTACCTTTGAGAACCAGCACTATTTGCTTCTATCACAGTAAAAGCCACACTCAGATAATTTTATAAACATAAATCTAGGCCCTGGTTTAACAACAATGGGCATCAATGTATGAGGCAAGCTTATCTAGTACTAGGATTCCAGTTTGCTGTGTAGCATTCCCATAGAAGGCTGTCTTTGCCTTTTCATTCAAGGATAAGAAAATATTTCCAGTTAGAAATGTTTTTGGCTGCCAAATAGAGAAGCTCAATTAAACTAATTTTAGCAGTCAGTGATGTATAATATTGAAGCACAAGACACCTGTAGATAGGGCTGCTGCAAGATGTTCAAGTCAGTGGCACAATGTCTTGAAAAAATTAGAATTATCCACTTTTACTTCTGGCATCTTCAGAATATTGTCCTCATTCCTCACTGGGCATGTTTTCCGAATGCTTAGGATATGACTTCATACTCAGAATATGATATAAAAAATGCGAGAAAAAAGAACTTCCTTTCCTTCCATCTCTTTTTATATCTGTGAAAACTCTTCTTAGAGTCATACCACATAGAATGTCCTGCGATATCTCATTGGAATGCCCTCACCATAACCAACACTTAGGCCTTTTTCACCTACCCCCAAATTATATACACCTCCCTCCCTTGTCCAAGTTAAAATTAAAATATTTGCATCTATTTGAAATGCATTCATTATTTTGTCAAGAACTGTATGTACCTAGTATCATCTTGTTACTGCCTCTAGCTCCATTCTGGCACCCACGTGACAGGCATTTAATTCCATTCATTCAGTGAGTGTCCTTTCCAGCTAGACATTCTTGGGTAAAAGAACAGACAGAATCACACTTGTTGTCAGGAAAGTAAGTTCCATCACTCTCAAGCTCACAGTTCTCTGTTCTTCTCATTGGAAGGATTCACCTAATCTATTTAGTGAATTGTCCATAGACACTGGAACTTCCCTCTGGGAGATTTTCCTTATTTGGTTTATTCCGTGGCCACACCTGGGTGTTTGAGGTGAAACACCTTTCTAATGTTTGTTCATATTTCACAATCCCATTTCTTTTGGCAAAAGGTCAGGGTTCAGGTTTGGACCTTTGGGTCTGAACATATGATGTTATTGGCCATGTTATTTTCACTTATTAGTTTGATTTTATTTGTTTTATTTTTTCCTTTTATTTTAAGAGGTGGGGAGTAGTAATTTCATTAAAAACTTTTGTCTTACAAATTCCCTGGAAACAATCTCATGAAAATATTTATCAATGTAATTTGTGTGTGTGTGTGTGCGTGTGAGAAGATTCCTGTTCCTAGCTATGGGCACCAGTTCCTGCTAAGTCCTACTTCATGGCTTTGCCTTGGAGAAGTACATAACAGCTACAGGTGTGAAAGTGCCCAGTCACCCAATCCCTCCCAGATGCATCTCTGCAGTAGGGACAGTGGGATTTTCTGCCTTGGGAGCAGGTAAAACCAGTATTGTTGCAATAAACACCCTGTCACGGATATCACTTGGTAACACTATTTTGTCTCTGTAAAATGGAGCAATAAAACTTTAAACGTTGATTATAAGTGTATGTGTGTTTATAATTTTAAGGTACAGTACTCAATTTTTCCCCAACAAAAGCAATAACTTAAACTCACCACTTTGGTTGCAGAAGACATTAAATCCTCCATATTCTTCTGTGTGTCCAGCCATTAAAGCTTATTAATAACAGGGGTAGAAAATCATATCTCATTATGCAGTGCTCCTGATGACTAACAAAGTTGAATAATTTAACCGTTTAACAAAAAAGATTAAAGTGGGCTTATACTTCACACTATCCTCCAGTAAAAAAAAATCAAATTGATCAAATATTTACATGTTTACAAATGAAATAATTTAATAGTATAAGACAGCATAGATTCATTTTATATTATCTCATGTAGGTAAGACTTCTTTAATCATAACTCAATACATAAGCCATAAAAGACTGACAAATTCAAATTTATAAAAACGGTGTGCTTGACAATAACATGTTTTTAAAATCATAACCGAAGTAAGTGACCAATGAAAATGTTGGAAATTGTATCTGCAGCTCAGACAACTGAAAAAGGACTAATCTGCTTATAGATGGAGAGCTAACAGAAGTGGAGAGACAAAGACCTGTCCACGAGAAGTCTCATGCCCCTTCCTTCACTCTGACACCTCCTTAACATGCTCCTGAAATGTCAGCATCATGAGACATGAGCTACACAATGATGCAGTATGGGAATTAAGAGGTAACCATATATTTTAATATCAGACTTGAATGAATCTTCTTTGTTTTGAGTAACATGTACACATAATTGAATAAGCACATATAGAAATCATTAAAAAAAGTTATTTGACAAATTACACCTTAAAAGGAGACTATACATTATTTTAAACACCATGGTGGACAAAACTGACCATGTCTTCAGCCACAGAGTAAATCTGAAAGAAATACAAATAATAATATTAATAATAACATTTTGTTGGTTATATTATTTGACCACAATAAAATAATATATACAATAACTAGAATTTAAAGCATATATATATATAAAGCAATATTATAGAATGGCAATTCTAGTCCTTGAAGGATTGTCTAAAATCACAGATATAAAATTAATAAGGCTTAAATAAAGGGTATGTACTTAAAGGGAATGCAATTTTTATTCAAATTACAAAGAGGTATTATTAAAACAACTTATTATGTACAAAGCACTGGGACATTAAACTGAATCATGAAGTAATGACTTCAACCTCACAAAACTTCTCGTCTTCTAGGGGAAGCTTAAAATAAGACCAAAATGGTGGAACCATTACAAATTACAATAATGTTGTAAGAAATAAAAGATCAATAAGACCAGCCAGAGAATGTGATCATAGAAATGCTCTTAAAGTTGACCTTTTTAACTAGAGATAAAACATGGAAAAGGCAAAAACAAGGAAAATTGTGAGTGACATAATTCCTCACAGAGGAAAGAAAATTTGCAAAAAGGATGTGTTCCATTTAACAAAAGAAACCCAATATGAGAGTTTTGTAAGCAATGTAAGCAAGATGAAGAATTAAATGGTATTAAGTTGGAGAGAGGATGAGGTAAATTTGCTTTCTTCAAAGTAAAAGGTTTGGGTGTAAATTCTAACCTAGTGAGGAGGGATTATATTATCCAACGTAATGTTTTTGTACATTTATTCAACACACTGCAACATATTCATCATCCTTACTAAATAATTGTTACACATGTTGTAAATAAAATCCAAGGAGTCCTGTATATTCATAAGGTTAATTAATCCTCACACCAACCATGCATATTAAATACCAACTTTATCCTCCTCTTGCATAAGATGAAACAGAGTTACAGAGAGTTATTTGCCCACAATAACATGCTTTGAATGGGAGAGCCAAAGTTTGGACAAAGGCAATCTGGGTCCAAAACCCTGACTCTTACTCTTATGTGATGATGCCTCTTGGTAATTCCGACAAGCTCAAGCTCTATCTAAGGAGGAGATAGACAAAGGGAGGAAAATCTGTGGCTGGATTTGGAGGATGTTCCAGGATAATGATTGAGAATAATGCATGGCCTTTTGTATGGTCTTTATTTGGGATTCCACAGGTACCAGGAAAGTCTCACTGGGTCCCATTCCCCTCATCGTTGGAACTGGAGCACATTCAAACTGGGCTTACTGCCTAGGAAGGAAGTTAATGTCTCTTCCAACCACAAACAGCAAGGGGTTGTTTTGAAAGTCCATGAAAGCTGAACTTGATTAGAATAAAGCATTGATTTGATGCAGCAGCCTTATGATGCAGAACAGGCTGGGTTACTATGTGTACAATTCCCCAGCTCAGATGTGGGAAATTATGTTTCCACATCGACCCTGTGCTCCCTGGGAAGAAGGTTCTCCACATGCTGAGTAGAGTGTGGTTGCTCCATTGGGTCGATGCCAGCTGCCTTTTTGTTCCTCCCCACCTCTGGCTTATCTGCTAACGCCCGTTGGAGAATCACTCTGAGAGATTCCTTCAGCCTTTTCTTTCTGAGGCTCCCCACAAAGAAATAAATGATAGGGTTGGCGCTGCTGTTTATAATGAGGAACAAGGAAATTAAATAGGAGGTGGTGACAAACATTTTGAAATCTGTTATGAGGGGTGCCACGCTCAGGGGTAGGGCCCAGAGTAGGAACATGGGGGCCGAGATCTGCACCACCGCATAGACCCTGGTGGCCTTTTGCTGCTGGGAGCAGCACAGGAATCTAATGAGTAGAGTCAGACTCGACACACACATCACAAGTGAAAGGATAGCATGGAAGAGCCCAGAAAGCTTTAGAAATATGACACATGCCTTTACATGTTTCCAGTAAGTTAGGAAAAGTGATTTTACTATGTTGATGCAAAAAGGCAGGCCCCAGATGAGGGTGCAGACAACATTAGATGTGTATTTTGGGCGGTGGCATCTGTACCAGATGGGGAAGAGGACACACACACACCGCTCTGTGCTGATGGCCACCAGGAGACAGAGACACACCTCAAAGGAGAAGGGAGACAATATGGCCAGGAAATCAGGGATAAAAAACACGACTCCATGATAAGTTAGCAGAGTCACCTGTAAGAACCCCACTGCCGAGCAGCAAAGATAGATCACGTCAGCAGCGACCAGGTGGAGGATGTATACCATGTAGGGATTCGTGGCCCCACAGCAAAGCAGCCAGAAGACAGTGCCATTCAATAAGACCCCACAGAGGGAGACCAGCACAGCCTTGGGGGCAATGATATTCAAGGGCAGGGCCTGCTGTCCCACTGCCATGCTCATCTGCATATGTATGGTTTCATTCGTCTCATTTTGAAGAAAGACGCCACAGAGCTGAGATACCAGGTTTGGGTTCTGTGCCTCCTGGTCACCACTGTGGAGACAAAGGCTACATGAGAGAGATATCTGTGACTCAGCAAACACTGTCCATCCAGCCCTCTGGCTGAACCAGCAAATTTTCCCCCAGACCATGGGGTGCTGGGACCTGAGTGGGCCACAACATCACAGTCAGGAGCAGTGGTCCATCTAGTGGTGTCCTCTGGCCTCAGACCCCTTGCCTCTACATTTTCCTAGGCTGGAATAGAACACCCATTGTTGGGTGTGCTTTTTAGGAACAGCTGAACATTAACTACATATCAGAGTGGATGGGAGTATCTGCTCTGCAAATAGCTCTCCATGAATTTGTGATCTGTTCTCCCTCCCCTAACACATCTCCTGTTGTACAGGATGCCCCAGGCCTACCCACATAGACCCAATATCTTGTTGTTGGGCACTAATGAGGCACTAAACATTGGGAATGGAGATTTGTGTCTGGTCCAGGTTCTACTCATGAGACACTAGTGTCTCATCTCTTTTTTTTTTTTTTTTTTGAGTTGGAGTCTCACTCTGTCACCCAGGCTGGAGTGCAGTGGCGCGATCTCAGCTCACTGGAACCTCCACCTTCCAGGTTCAAGCGATTCTCCTGCCTCGGCCTCCTGACTAGCTGGAACTACAGGCACCCACCACCATGCCCGGCTAATTTTTTTGTATTTTTAGTAGAGATGGGGTTTCACCATATTGGCCAGGCTGGTCTCAAACTCCTGACCTTGTGATCCACCTGCCTTGACCTCCCAAAGTGCTGGGATTACAAGCGTGAGCCACGGCACCTGGCCATGTCTCATCTCTTTCAAACCCAGTCCTGGGCATCCTTGGGTAGCCATACAGGATGCAGCAGTGCCACAGTATGGCATTTCCCTGGGCTCAGACAGGTACAAGGGAGCACTGAGATTTCCAAGGCAGGCATTTCACAGCAGTTGGCACCAAAGAAGTCCTTTCTATGGCTGGCAGGACTTGACCTGGAAAATAAGGAAATCTGCGTTTCTCCAGGGGCGTGAGTCTCAGGCAGTGTCTGTGTGGGCATCATCGACTGCTATGCTCCAAATGTCAGCTGAGGAGAAGGAAATGAACAGACTTAGGGTGCAACAAATACAAAAGAGGCCTAAGAATATTAATATAAATATTAATATAGAGAATAGTATTTTAATGCTATGTAAATATATTAATATAGAGAGACTAGCATATTAATACTATGTAAATATTTATATATTAATAAATTATATTAATATAACATTGCTATATTAACATGTTATTAATATTGATGTTAATATATTCACATTATATATTTATGTTAATATATTAATTATATTAATATAACATATTCTCAATTATGCTATCAAGGATATTGATAATTAATATTGACATTAGTTTATTAATATTTATGTATTTATTTATTGCTGTTGTCCCAGGTTTATTGAAAATAAAATCCAGTGACTGCTGTATATTACAGCATTGGAGAAAGAGTCAAACAGCTCCACGAGGCATTTTGAAATTCATCCCAACTGTAGGCCGAGTGACCTGCAGGTTGGACAGGCTGCCAAAGTCCAAAAGCTTCAGCATTTCCTTAGTGTCAGGATCTACTTCGATGATCTCCTGATCCAGGGCTGAGACCTTGGGGACATAATTGTCCCTCCTTTCTTTCTCCTCCTCCTGTAGCTTGATGGAGATACCTCTCACTGGACCTCTCTGAATCTGGTTCGTCAGATGCGTGACGCAGCCTGCTCTCCTGTTGTGGAGCTTCTTGCTGAGGATAATGGGGATCTCCTCACACACACTTGTTTGTGTGGAAGTCATTGCCCAGGCACATGTAGTACTTTTCTACGATGACCTAGGCCACCTTCGTCACAGTCTTGATGCCAACACGACCCATGTTGGTGGGTCTTTGGTCATTAATATTAATTGATATTAACATTATTCAGTTTATTAATAATGTATCATTAATAATATTTATACAATATTAGTAAAATAGTTTATCAGTACATTTTAATGTTGATATGCTTTCAATATTAAGATATTAATGTATTATTGATTACATGTGAATATATTAGCATATTAACAGTATATATTAATATATTTGGTATACTATATTAATATTATTTATATGATATGAATATGCTATTAGTGGCATATTAATAACAATATATTAATAATATAATGTGATTAATAGTTGTATGTGATTATTAATTATTTATGATTATATTATGATTAACAAGTAGTACTATTATATCTTGTTTCTAATGAATAATTATTATTAATATTCAAAAAACTAATAATAATTGTTATTTTTATAGAATCTGGAATTGTGGAGCAGACTTCGCAAGGCTTCTCTGACCTCTGCCTCCCGCTCTGGGATCTGTGAAACACACTGGGCTCTTCTTCTAGACCTCCCTTTTTGAAGCTCCTCCAAAGACCGTTTCATCATCTCTACTCAACAGTCTCCTCAGGAAATTGCCTCTTCAGTAGGCAAATGTCACTTGCCACAAACTTATCTTTGGCATGAGGATAAGACAGTGCTAAGGTAGAACTGTCTGTACCTTCTTTGGGTTTACATTGTGATAACTGCAAGGAGAAAAATAAATTGGGCTGAGTGGATAGAAAATGATAAGGGTAATGGATGTTTCCTAGTGGGATAAATGAGGGGAGTTTCTTAGTAGGACATGGAGATCTGAATGACCTACTGGAGCAACCAGGTGACAGCCAGAAGGAAAGAGCCACAGGCAGGCTCAGCAAGTTCACCACCCTGGGGCAAGTGGCTTCATCTGCTTTGTTAATCTTTGATGCTCCTGTCCAGAGAGGGCCTCTTAAGCAACTTGAGTGCAATAACTATTTTTCTATTATTGCGTTAATAAACCCCAAGAAGGTCCCTGCAACTCTAGAGAGTTAAAGACTTATAAGCCATTTTCAAGATTGGAGAATATTCTTATCTCAGCCATCAGTGGACAGAAAGGGGCAGCCAGGCCCCTTCAGAGCAGCACTGAGCTACTGTCCCTGGAGTGGTGGGGCCTGACCACAGCTTCCTCTTTCAACCATGGAATCCTTATCACTATTTTGCAAACACCAAAGATGTAGCCTCAGATGTGAATCTACTCACATGCTGGAAGTTTGTCCATGATGTTGAGAGCTCGTTTAAGTGGAAGATCCTGGATGAGTGCAGATACAGACTGTGAGCAGGAGAGCTCTGCTCTGTCTCTTTTCAAGACTCTGAGACAGAGGCCAAGAGCCTAGCATGCAAAACACCTCAGACAATGCATCCAGGGTAGGGGAGAACTGATATGAACCATTCACCCTTAGCCAAAAACCTGCTCACCTTGGGCAGGTGTGGTACCTCAAGGCTGACCACAGACTAGAGGAGATCTCATGTGTCTTCCTTAGAGAGATTCCTGTCCACCTTCCTGTCTCAGGAAGATGGATGGAATCATTTCATTGGAGGATGCCAACATCCCCTGTCCAGGGCCCACTGCCTGAGCCTTGGACATTTCGGCTGAGCTGGCTAGGCCTCTGAGAATCAGCCCTGATGACCCTTGATGCCCCACTATGGAGTCCAGAACACTGAAGAACTTAGGATGCTTGAGAGGTGAAACGCTCTGGGCCCAAAGAGATCAGACCATCCTTTCCTGAGATCCTGAACACTGATAATGACTTCTCATACTTTAAGACAGCTTCACAGATGAAGTTGGCAGAGAAGCTGAGCTCACTAAAGCAGGATGTATCTGTAACAAGAAAAAAATCCTTAAATGAGTTGCTATAGCTGATCCATGGGAATGCCCAAAAAGATGTTACAGATTTCACTAGGGCTTAATCTTAGTCCTGCAGCACCAAGTACACACTCTTCCTCCTACTAACCTGGGAAGAGCCAGTTCAGGGGAGAACGGGAGGGAATAACCCAAATGTCCATTAACAGAGAGTGCCAACAGCTTCCAAAATGTGTCTCCAGTCAAGGACAGGCCAAGATGACTCATCAAAGAAATGCAAATCAAAACCACAACTAGATAGCACCTTACGCCTGTTAGGATGGCCATTCTGGAAAAACAAAAGATAACAAGTGCTAATGAGGATGTGGAGAAAGGGATCCCTCACACACTGTTGGTGAAAATGCAAAATGGCGCAGCTGCTGTGAAAAGCAGTATGGAAATTCCTCAAAAAATTAACAGTAGAACTGCACCGTATGGTCCAGAAATCCCACTTCTGAGTATTTGTCCAAAAGAATTGAAATCAGGTTTTCAAAGAAATATTAGCACTCTTATGTTTGCTGCAATACTATTCACAATAGCCAAAATGTGGAAACAACCTAAAAATCCATCAAAAAATGAATGGATAAAGAAAATGTGATATAAACATAAGATAGAATAGTATTCAGCCTTTAAAAAGGAAGAAATTTGGCCAGGTGTGGTGGCTCACGCCTATAATCCCAGCACTTTGGGAGGCCAAGGTGAATGGATCACGAGGTCAGGAGTTCAAGAGCAACTTGACCAACATGGTGAAACCCCGTCTCTACTAAAAATACAAAAATTAGCTGGGCATGGTGGCAGGTGCCTGTAATCCCAGCTACTTGGGAGGCTGAAGCAGAGAATTGCATGAACCTGGGAAGCGGAGGTTGTAGTGAGCCGAGATTACACCACTGCACTCCAGCCTGGGCAGGGGAGGGAGACTCCATCTCAAAAAAAAAATGGAAGAAATTCTGTCATATATGACAACATAGTTGAACCTGCAGATCATTATGGTAAGTGAGATTAGCCAGTCATAGAAGAATAAATCCTGCATGCACTTAAATAGGGTATCTAAAATAGTCAAATTCATAGAAACAAAGAGTGGGATGGTTGTTCCCTGGGCTGTAGGACAGGAAGTAGGGAGCTAGTAGTCAGTGGGCATAAAGTTTCAGTTTAACAAAATAGATAAGCACTAGAGCTCTACTGCACAAAAGTAGTAGTTGCCTATAGTTAACAACAGTGTACTGGAATGTTTTTGCAACTGAAGCTGCTTCATCTTTTTGAGCCTCTGGTATTTCCTCTGCAAAATTAGAATACTGATAATACCTACTTGTGGGTTTGAAAATTAAATGGGTGGATAGCATGTAAGTGCATGGAACAGTGATGAGCATATAGTGAGAGATGAATGAATAAATACTGTCCTGTTGGGACAGATGAATGTCAATAAGCAAATGCAGTAAATTGGATCATTTCAGACGGTGCTTACTACTCTGAAGGAAAAAAAAAAGTGGCAGTGGGATGGACTATCTTAAGGAAAACGGGAAAGACAGTGAGCCACTTAGGTTGGTCCTTTCTGAGCTGACAATATTTTCTGGCTTTTTCAGGAAGCCAATCCTGGGAATATCTAGAGGAATAGTGCTGCAGGTAGTGGGAACAGGAAGTACAAAGGCGCATAGGAAGAACAGTCGTATGGTTGAAGAAAAGAAAGAAGGCCAGTGTGGCTGAAGTTTAGGGAGGGAAAGAGAGAGTGAGAGAAATAAGCTTTTAGAGAGGTAGGCAGGTGTGGAATCATATAGGCCAAGATAAGAAGTTTGAATTTTAAGTGCAATGTCCAGGTGTTGGAAAGTTTTAAGCTCAGATAATAATATTATCTGGATTTATTTATTTCTTTAGAGACAAGGTCTCACTCTCTCACCCCCAGGCTGGAGTGCAGTGATGCAATCACTGCTGACTGCAGCTTCCACCTCTCCAGCCCAATCGATGCCTCCACCTCAGCCTCCTGAGTGGCTGGGACCACAGGCGTGTGCTGCCACATCTGGCTAGGTTTCTTTTTTAATTTTCTAATTTTTTTCTTTTTGTAGAGATGGGAGTCTCCCTTTGTTGCCCTGTGCTGGTCTCAAATTCCTGAGCTCAAGAGATCCCCTCCACCCCGACCCCACAAATTGCTGGGATTACAGGGATGAGTTGCCATGCCCAGCCAAGGATTTGCATTTTAAAGATCACTACTGTGCACTTAAAATTATTAGGATAATAGATCTCGTGTCAAGAATTCTTACCAAAATGAAGCAAAATTCGCACACAAAAAAAGAATAAGCAAGGATGGATTCCAGTCCCCAGTCCTCAAATGAAGGGTTGCACTGTCCTGATAATGTTCTTTCCCTTGGGGAAAACACATCTAAAATCCTTGCAAAAACTCCTCCGAATTAGAGAGATGAGAAAGAGAGTCAGATGAAGAGAGAACACAGTTCTCATCTTACCTGTGACATTTTTCCTGGGGGCAGGGGTAAGTCAGGGGGCAGTGAGGCTGACACAGACACAGAAGGACAGGTGACACCTCTGTGGACCAATGGTCTGGAATTGTCTTCCTGTCCTCTGAATATGAGCTCTCTCTTGGGCTTCCAGAAGTTACTGGACCTTGAGCAACTTTGATCAAGATTCCCATGTGCTCCTTGTTTTTCTTCTGGCCAATGAGTGGCTTCTATCTGTGGGGACAGATAGCTGAGCATCCCGAGGTTTATCACATGGTCAGCTGCTCCACTGTGGCTTTATGTGCCCAGGCAGGTCCTTCCTGTCTCCATAGGGCTCCTTTCTCTTACTCTGGTCAGAGCTCCGCATAGCCCTGGCAGCCCCTGACTCCCTCATCCTAGGGACAGGGAATAGGGCCTTGCAAGGAGTAGACCCAGTTCCAAGTTGGATATGTTGAGTCAGTTTCTAGTGAGCTGAACTTCATGGCATTGCTCTTGATAAACACAAGATCAAGATCAAATTCAGAGAACCCCTCAGGCAAAAGCTTTCACCATGCTTCACTCCCAAAGAAAGCACCCCTTGAGGGGTGTTCCAATACAATTTGTGCAGAGAGAAGCCAGTAATGTGGCCCTTTCTTCACCTCAGTAAGAAAAGCTTGGCCCTAGCCCTCACAGTTTGAAAAGAGTGTCCTCCTATTACAGGCATGGGTATGTATTGGGACTTCTGTGTCCACATTTCACCTGCATTCTCAACTCTCAGGGACCACAGCAGGTCTGAGAGATTCTGCCTGTCTTTCTGACACACATCGGGTCAACCCTGTGCACTGACTGATGTCTTAGGACTCAGATTCGGGGTTGCCATGAGCTCACTGTCATTTTACCTTCTCAGTACTTTTCCCTTGCTCTGATCTCACCTGCCACATTCACTTTAAGAATGCACATTTCTAGATTATTGATTTTCCAACTGAGTTGTCCCGAGGGCTGATGTTCTGTAAACAGTTATTTCATTTTCTCTGTTCAAAGATGGTTTGTACCCACCATCTTCATGTAACAGTTTCTTGGTCACTTACCATGTGAATATGCAGTCTCTGGGCATGGAGTCCCCTGGACTCTCAATATCTTGTGTCCTGTTTTGCCACCTGATCCTAGTTAGGACAGGCACTGAAAATCAACACCAATGACGTATTGTTACCCTGAGAGAAAATGTCTTGCTTAAGTGTAGAATAACATTTTCTGTTGTCTCTTGTCACCCCTCCTAGCCTTTTCCCCACAATCCCACAGTCATGTTGATGCATGCTGAAGGGTGTTATGCCCCACTCTGTTCCTCCCACACTGACCGGCTTTTCTCACCCATCAGCTCTGAAGTACAAGAGGCTCCTGGACTTCAAGGTGCTCTGCAAGCTCCTCACCTGTATCTGCCTCCCAGTTTCCACAGTGCCCTTTCATGGCCTTTCTCCTGGACATACGAAGTGTGCTTCTCAGAGGAGTTTTACTTAGTGGAATTATCTGTCTCTTAAAGTGTAATCTGTATCTTTTGAATGAAAAAAAAAAGACCTACATTTGTTCTCTCTGGTATGCAGACACCAGACTCTTTTGTGACCCCTGAAATCAGTTTCTCTGTTTCTGATGAACTCTGGAGGTTTTGTCACTGCTGCTGCACTGCTTTACTTGATTCCAGGAATTCGTCCTTTGTCCTCTGTGGAAGTTTTAGTTCAGGTCTCATTTTTTTCCCTTAAGCACAAGACCCCTCCCTTAATGTAACACCACACGTTCTCCAGCGCAGGCCATCTGTTCTATTGAAGCGATTCCAACAGCTTCTGCAATTAACTTGTCAAGAGAAGGAAGAAAAGAAAGAAATGAAATGGTCAGGTATCCCTTGAAGATTCTGATGGTCACACAGAGGGAAAGAGCCTTGTGTGTGGGACCTTGAGTGTCAGGCCACCTCTTCTCCAAGATGGGCAGGGTTTGGTCCATCTTCCCAAATGGAGCTAAAGATCCATGCTGGAAATTTCCCTGCTCTAGAACAGACAGCTTGGAGTGATGAGTCATGATGAAGACCTTTCTATTGATTCTTCATTGCTGGGGTTTCCAACCTACAGGGATGAGGACTGATGCATCTGTGAATGAGCATGCCATTCCCTGGCAGACACCTGAGTTCATTGCTTGCTAAGAACTTGGTTCTACATCACTTCTTCTGAAATAGAAGGGCCTGCTGGCTTGTCAGCAAATAAGCAAAGTTTGGCTTGCTGTTTGGAGAAGCCTAATTTTATCAGTGTCAGCTCAACATTTAAATTTGAAAAAGGAAATTCAGCATAAGCAAGGTTCACATTCAGGTGTATGCTTAAATTCTAGGTATTCATCTCATTCATGAACTCAATCAGTAGCCAGAGTTTCCAGGATGCCTAGGGATTGCCCCCAAGGATCAGTGCTGGTTTGCAGCTACAATACCAGAGTTTGACTCTGATGCCACACTCTGAGGGCAGTCCTCACCTATTGTGATAAAACCCTTCAGGTCCTGTGGCGTAGCCATGGCCCATCCTGGACATGTTTAACTTCACCCACCAGGCACCCATCTCACTAAGAAGACTTTGATGTTCATGAGAAATGAATTTCTGCTGCCTACAGGAAGGAGATAGGACTTCTCTGAACCGTTGAGGCTCCTGCTACCTCCAGAGCAGGCAACAAAGATTAGACCCTGCCAGGAGGGAAGCACACCAGATAAGGATGGAGAATTATCTTGACAAGGGGCATGAAAAAAATTACTGGATGACAAAAAAAATACATCACCAAAGATCAATAAAACATTTGTAGAACACCCCACGGAGATGTGATCTGCCCACTGTACAGATCAGAAGAGCTTCCTTTCTTCTTCTGCGTCAGAAAATATCTGCTTGCTGGTCAATGTCCAGAGGATGATGTGAAGATGGGAAAGGACATTTTCCCTGGACACCATTTCTGAAGTTACATCTCTGTGTGTGCTTTCATTGGTGATGCCATTTCTCTTTGCTTTCTCTTCTTTTCTTGGGAAGACTTCTCTGTCTACATTTGTATATTTATTTGGCTGACTTTCCCTGAATTTGCTGCCTGACTGAGTAATTTATTTCAAAATAACTACATGGCAAGCTGTTTTATGCTGTTTAACTAAATCCATTGATTGAAGCATTTTCTGACACCTGGCCGTCCACATGGAGATTTCTCTTTTCCAGTCTTCCTAGTCTGGAAAAGACGTCACCATCCACAGGAAGTGTTTGTCATTGTACCCAATCTGGTCTCAGTAGCACCATTTACATACCAATAGTGTAAATCTCTGTGTTTCTTATAGACACATGATATGGTTTGGATTTGTGTCCCCGCCCAAATCTCATATCGAATTGGAGAAGCCTGGTGGGAGGTAACTGGATCATGGAGGCAGATTTCCTCCTTGCTGTTCTCATGACAGTGAGTGAGTTCTCATGAGATCTGATGGTTGAAAATTGTGTGACCTTCCCCCTTCACTCTCTCTCTTTCTCCTGCCACCATGTGAAGAAGGTGCTTGCTTCCCCTTGGTGTTCTGCCATAAATGTAAGTTTCCTGAGGCCTCCCAGTTATTCTTCCTGTTAAACCTGTGGAACTATAAGTCAGTTAAACCTCTTTTCTTCATAAATTAGCCAGTTTCAGGTAGTTCTTTATAGCAGTGTGGTAATGGACATAATGGACTAACACTATCTTGTTCTCTGGTATCTTTATTAAAGCATTTTCAGTGTCTGCTCATGCTCTCTTCTTTAACAATAATGTGCTTTCTGTGTTTATTCCTGTGACATGCAGCAGCCAGCACTGCCAGCCCCCATGGCTCTGCATGTCCCCACTGAGGTCCTGTTCCAGTGTCTGCAAGTCCCTCCTGATATTAACATATAACCACTGGCAATTATCTCAACATTTCTATTTTCTAAATAATTTTCATTTTAAAATCCTCCAGTACCAAAAGTTGTTTAAGACAAAAACAAATAGTTAATTTCCAGTTAGCAAAGCTTTCTCTTTGTATTAAGTATGCTTTAATCACATATTCAAAAACATGTGGTTTCTATTTTAATAACTTCTAAAAAATAATTTGGATTTTGTTTTGGGTGGATTATATTGTATGAAATCCCTTGTCTTTTCATATTTTGACCATTGTATTTTAATGTTTTGTAGCATGTCTTAGAATGAATGCAGGCATTCCTTTGGAGCATATATCCAACGAAAAGGAGTGAAATTACTGGGTCAGCAACTTCTTTTTTTTTTTAATATTTGATTAAATGAAATGTTTTACATCTCTCTGTTCCTCTTGCTCTTCTGTACATTATCATTCTTGTGGCTTTTTAAATTCAACTTTTAATTTTTAGATAATTGTAGATTCACATGTAGATGCAAGAAATAATGCAAACAGATCCCATACCCAGTTTTCCAGTGGTAACATCATGCAAAATTATATTATAATATTTTTAATGTGGGTGTTTATCACTGTAAACTTCTCTCTTAGAACTATTTTGCTGCATCCCATAAGTTTAGGGATGTTGTATTTCCATTTGTGTTTGTCTCAAGATAGTTTTTAAATTTGCCTTTTGGTTTCTTCTTTGACATACTGATTGTTCAACATGATATTATTTAATTTTCAAAAATTTGTAAATTTTCCAATTTTCTTCCTGTTACTAACTTTTAATTTATTACCATGGTGGTCAGAAAACAGACTTGATATGATTTTAATCTTCTTAAATTTGTTAAGATTTGTTTTGTGGCTTAATATATGATCTATCTTAGAGAATGTTCTGTGTATGCTTGAGAAGAATGGTCATTCTGCTGCTGTTGAATGTAATGTCCCATAAATGTCTCTTAGGACCTCTTGGTCTATCGTGTTGTTCAAATCCAAAGTTTCCTTTTTGATTTTGTGTCTGGACAATCTATCCGTTGTTGAAAGTGGGGTATAAAAGTTTCCTGCTAATGTTGTGTTGCTGTCTGTTTCTCCCTTCATTGTGTTCATATTTTCGTTACATATTTAGGTGCTCTGAACTTGGGTGCACATACACTTAAAATTGTTATATTTTCTTGATAAATTGACTCCTTCGATCATTACAAAATTATCTTCTTTGAATCTTGTGGCAGTTTTTAACTGAAAGTCTATTTTATCTGATGTGTGTATAGCCACCCCTCTTCTCTACTAGCTACCATCTGCATGGAACATCTTCTTCCATCCCTTCACTTTTAGCCTATGTGTGTCCTTAAAGATATATTGAATCCCTCAGATGCAACACATAGTTGGATCTTGGTTTTCTTTTTCTATTCATTCAGCCACTCTATGTCTTTTGATGGAGAATTGAATTCATTTATATTTAAAGTGATTATTGACAGATGAGGACCTATTACTGCCATTTGTTCAGGGGTTTCTGACTATTTTGTAGATATTTTGTTCTTTCTTCCTCTTGCTGTATTCCTTTGTAATTTAATGATTTTTTTGTGTGGTAATATGCTTTGATTTTACTCTTTTTGTCTTGTGTGTACCTACTACAGGTTTTTGTTTGTTGTTGCCATAAGACTTACATAAAATATCTTACAGTTTTTAGTCTATGTGAAGCTGCTAATAACTTAACTTCAACTGCATACAAAAACCCTACACTTTAACTTCTTCTCTCTACACATTTTTATGTTATTCATGTCACAATTTACATCTTTTCATACTCTGTATCCACCAACAAATTATTATGGCTATAATTGTTTTATTTTATCTTTTAATTTTATACTAGAATTAAAAGTGACTTATGCCATCAGAGTATGAGAGAAGTCTGAATTGTACTATATTCTTATTTTTACAGTGAGTTTTATACTTTTGAAATGAGAAAAGTTCCCTTGTTCCCCTCGCGGGGCACGTGATGGGGGTGTGGCTTGCTTCTTCAGTGCCCCACTGCTCAAACCTCTAGGGGAGCATACAGATGGGCAGATTGTGGGGCTCCGACCCCACGGTGGCATCTAGGGGTGGATGTTTACAGCTCCTGAAGCCCTAGGAGGAGAAACTTCTCATCTGCTAAATGGGGCTCCCTTGCAGCTCTGAGGTTCTGAGATCTTAATGTGTGCACTGTGTCTTCAGTGCACACAATACCACCCAACACAAATTCAATGCAATTGATTCCCCAGCAGTTGAACTCAATCACAATGCCACTGGCCTTGTTCTAAAAATTAAAGAACTGCTGCAGGAAGGGCCCTATAAATTTTGTCATCATAACTGCCTGAGCCAGAGATGTGGGGTGTTCCCTGCCAATCAGGGCAGAACAGGTTGACATGGGCCAATGAAGCCCAGAGGTCCTGGAGGAGATGAAAGTCACACAGGCCCCCTCAGAGATATCTGCCAACGTCAGTGTTGGGGTCTCTTCTGAAGGACGCTGTCTGTGAGATTGGGAAAGGTACCCAGCAGCCTTGTTTCTGTGGCCCAATACTTTTTCCACCAGACTCCTTCACGTGCCTAATTTGGGACATGGTTTCTGAGCTGCAGGTGTTGCCCACTCCAGCCCAGAGATCCCAGAACATCCTGCAAGCTCAGACGCAGGATAAAGGGCCACAGGAGCAGGAGCCTCCTCTCTCTGGGCAACTTCAGACTGTTTCCCCACTGTGCTGTCCTAGAAGGGGCTGATGCAGTGAACAGAGCCCTTGGGGCAGGTGGGGCCTGGGCTCAGCTGCAGAGACCAGGGGACGGGCTGGACCACATTCTCTTTCTGCCATATGCAGCTGCCTTACACTACAAGAGGGGGAAGAAGGGAGCTGAGGAGGTAAAAAGAGAAAAGACCCAGAGCCAGCGGGCTTTGTCACATCGGCTGTGACAGTTAAACCTGGCATTACTCGTAATTGCTTACATTTACTACACATTCATACAGAGGCCATGCTGTGGCTAGGCGTCTCTGGGCTAAGAATGTCTTATTCATTTAGAACTAGTACCTCGGACTCTGATTACGGGCCTTGCTGCGTGTAAGGAACAGCACTGCTTTAGCATGAAGCCTAGCCTATTGTCAGTGCTCAGAGAGCTCTGACACCAACAATTGGTTTTCCTACAAAGAATCACGTAATATTTGGGTTATAGAAGCAGGGCAGTGCTAACTGGATGTCCTGAAAGGAATGGACCTGGCATAAGAAGGGATGGAGAGCAGAATTTGAAAAGCATCCAATCCTGAAATTGGGCTGGAGGGAGCATGTCCCAAGCCTGTTAGGGACTGCAGGAAATTCATGACCAGTATGAAGGTGAAGCTGGGCACCTGCAGGCAGGCTGGTCTGCTCTCTCTGCTGTGACCCTCCTCAGGGCAGGCTGTGCTGTCAACAGGTGTTGTGCAATGCCAAGAACCCATGAGAATTCTCACTACGCCAGGGTTTTGAGGCACCCCTGTTCCCAGGTTCCTTCCTAGAACCCTGGTCGCCTTGGGATGACTGGGGGATTCTAGTTGACTACCCAAGGAAATCTGAAGCTTGGGAAGTTTGCAATGTTAAGTCTCGGTCCAGAGTCGGACCTGGCTCCGCGCCTGTCTGGCAGCAGCAGCAGCAATCCCTATCCGGGTCCAGAGCCCTGCCCAGTGGATACTGTGTGGTGTTTCCACAAAGTTGCATCTTTGAGCACCTCACAGAGAATCTGGAGCCTCTCAACCAGGACAACGTGAGAAAAAAATCTGAAGAAAAAGGCCCAGGTGCTTGGGGTAAGAACAGCCAAGCAAAGGGCAGAGGCTGAGTGGGTGCCAGGAGGACACTTTGTCACTTTGGAGACAGAGCCTTTGGCTTAAGGAGTTCCAGGCTGCTCTGGAGGCGTCGGGGGAGGCCTCTGGGACCACCTAGTCATTTTCCGCAAGAAAGTAAGAGATTTCCCAGTTTTGTGCTCATGGGGAGCATTCACCTGAGATATAAAACTTTGGCTGCTTAACTCATTTTAAGGGAATAATAACATATTTGCATACACTTTATTTGGAGGCAAAAGAAAAAAAATAGTCTGTTGAATAAATTATTCTAGATTTTACTTCCCAGGGATTTTTTTTTCTTTCTAAAAATTATAGACAATTCATCTCCTATTCTCCCTTCTTGAGAAATTAACCATTTGAAAACAGATATGTGCCCTTAGTCTGCCTTCCAATATCTCTCATACGATCCATGATTTTTAAAGAAATACAACTCCATTGCATGACCAAAGGGAGGAGGGGGAAATGGAAAGAAGGAGCTGGGCAACACAAGCACCAGGGGGAAGGGCCTGGGGCCCAGGGCCAGCACCTCCCTACTTGTGGGAGCCTCAGCTGTTCCTTCAATCCCCAGGCCACACCTAACCTTGGGTTGAAAAGTGCTTTCTGGGCTGACTCCGCTGTTAGAACAGGTAGGAGGTTGCTTGGTAAATGTTGCAAGAATGTGAACTCTTGTGGTAGAAATATTCTGAGGCTGATTCAGAGGCTGCCTGGGACCCCGTCACAGCTCTGGGGTCTGTCTCCCACAAGGAGCCATGCCCCGAACAGAGGTACCTGTGTCCACTCATCCTGCAGAGAGTGGGAGCCAGTTCCTGCCCCACCTGCTGTCTCCTAAGTGCTTCTTTGTGCCCAGGAGGGAGAGGGAGCAAAGGGCATGGGAACCTCCTGGGCTGTGACCAGTCATCACCTGGGATCCCACTGCCACAGCTCAGAGCTAAAGACAGAAACACCCAGCATTTCACTGCACGCTGATCTCAGCCAGCACTGGGAAGGGCTGGGAGCATGTCCTGCGTGCTTGGTTTCCCATGCCCCTGAGACGCTTTTCCTGCTTCCGCACTATCTCCTTGGGTTGCACAGAGAGTTCCAGCACTCCGCTTCCCTGGGGAAACTGACAATGACTGGCCCTTGATTGACTCACCCAGTGAGTTGGTTTCCTGGGGCCATGGTAACAAACTACCACAAACCAGATGGCTTTAAAAAAAAAAAACAAAAAAAAAACAAAACAAAACAGAAACTCATGCTCTCCCAATTCTGGAGGCCAGAGGCCATAGTCTGAAATCCAGGTCTGGGCAGGGCCAGGCTTTCTCTCCCAGCTCTGGTGTATCCTGGCAGTCCTTGGCTCTCCTTGGTTGCAGCTGCATCCCTCCCACCTCTGCCTCCGTTTTTGTGTGACATTCTCTCTGCCAGCATCTGCCTGTTTCTCTTGTCTTGTACCTACACCAGTCATACTGGATTAAAGGCCCTCCCTGCTCCACTCTGATCTCATCTTAACTGACATCCCAATGACATCTACACATACCCTATTTCCAAAGAAGATCACATTCCCAGGTATCAGGGGTTAGGACTTGAACATATCTTTCTGAGGTCACACCAGGTGACCCTTCTTCCCTAACAGACCATCCAGATCCTCTGTGGCTTTGCAGTTATGAGCATGGGGATCCTTTTGGCATGTACTTCCTTTCCCTGTCACTTTGGCCCAGTGGTTCTCACCTTGGTGAGGTCTGGATACCCATTCGTAGGAGCCAAGTATGTGAGTAGGATGGGTGTTCATGGAGGGTGGTCTCTGGGATGGAGCAGGGCACAGACAACTGATATGCTACCTAGCAATGTCTCTGTGGAGAGCAAAGATGCAGGAATGGAACTTGTTTTGAGGGCAATCAGCCAGGAGTGAGAGAAGGCCTGGCAGGAGAAGGGGTTTTGCCAATGGGAACAGAATTGATCATCTGGCTCAAATATCAGTTCTTCCAAAATCCTCATAGTGCCATCCTCGAGGGCCCTGGGAGCCCTGCAGCTTCTCTCTGGGGTGACAATAGCATGTGTAGCCTCAACAGGGACACTATAAGAATAAAAGAGTGTGCTATTACTATTTATGCCATGATCACAGGAATACCCAGGACTGTCCCTGACACACTGGACATAGGGTCACCCTACTTCTCCCTAAGTTCAGGTGACACAAGGAGTAGGAGTGAGGTGGGCAGACAGCAAGTGAGAAATGGGGTGGACAGGGCACACAGTGGGGTGGCCAGGCTGGTGCATTTGTGGCCCTGTCTATGGGGCCAGCAGGACCAGTGGGGTCAGTAGAGCATATACTGAGCTTGAAGAGGTGGCATGGAGCACTTAGAAGCTCTATCTGCTGCTTGTCATCTCTTGGCATGTGGAAGGCCTTCTGCAGAGTTACGCTCCAGACATAGCCTCGGAGTCCTGAATATCCCCCAGGCTCCTGGAATCAAGGAGTGTCTTAGACGGCTTGAGCTGCTTTAACAAAAATACCATAAGCTGGGTGGCTTATAAACAGCAAGCATCTATTACTCACAGTTCTGGAGGCTGGAAGTCCAAGATCGTGACACCGACAGATTTGGTGTCTGGTGAAGGCTGTTGCTTGTTCATAGATAGAGCGTTCTCGCTGTGTCCTCATGTGGTGGAAGGGCAGAGGAATCTCTCTGGGTTCCTTTTATAAAGGAAGTAATCCCATTGATGAGGGCTTCACCCTTACGACCTACTCACCTCCCAAAGACCCCACCTCCAGATACCATCGCATTGGAGGTTAGGTATTTAGCACATGAAATCTGGGGGCAACAGACATTCAGGCCACAGCAAGAAGCTTCAGGAGAAAGCTTTCAGTCTTGTGAAATGTGAATGAGGCTTTCCCACAGCCTAGACCTGTCTTCACGCCCCAGCCGCAGCCTCTTGCATTCACGGTGGCTTTTGAGCATCCTCTGACCACTGAGTCACAAACCTCCCTGTTCCCTCTCTATCTGGCTATTTTCTTGGTAGGACCAGAAAAACTTTTTTTTATAGTCTTGCCACCATGCCATGTAGTTTTCGTACATTGCAGCTATTTCAAATTACTGCATTACCACAGAACACTTTTTCTGTAATAACCCAGAATCAACAGTTTTTTTCTAGCTGTTAACCTGGCCTCAAAATCTTCCCTTTATTTGGGCCCCCTTTTTCTTCTGTCCTTAACTCTGACTCTGGTAGAGCCCATGGAACTGACAGTTCAAAGCCCGCGTGGCTTTTCTCTCCCCACCACAACATCTTCATCTAAATAGAGTCTTGTAACATTTACCTGCCCTCTCTCCCTTGAAAATCACTGTTCCCTGGTCCCTGTTGGGGAGCCTGGGCCTTAAGCCCCTTTGTCTTTGCCCTAGAAGAACTTCCTCTCCAGCTGAGTCAGGTTCTCATGAGATTCTAGGGGTGGCTTGGCCTCCTATATCCACTTCCCCCAACATTGGCCTGTAGCCACATATGGCCTGGACTTTGGCCCAGCTTCCAGCATGCCCAATAATGTCAGCCCTGTGGGGAAGTTCCTGGAGGTGTACAAGGACGTGACAATTCAGTGGTAGGGACATCGGGGTGCTTGTTCATGTGGAAACTGACTTTACCATTTTCCTCTTTTCTGAGTAGTTTATCATTTCTGGATTGCTGTCTGTCATTTTGGGAAGAAAATCAAACAAGCATCTGGTGAGTATAGGAACAACAGTGCCTCACTTACTAAAAAGAGACTTTAGCGGAACCTCATCCAGTTGGATCTTTCCAAGGTTCAGACAAAGGAACTGAACCCCAGGTTGCTGACAAGTGTCCTTTGGTCAGTGGCCCTGTGGAAGTACACAGGGCCCACTGATCTGGGGGACACCTTTCATGATCCTCATTTTGAAGAGAGTCCTGTACCCTCTCCAGGCTCTGGGTGGCTTTATGGGAAAATTCTGCCTCATCATGACACCCTTTGGTGTTCACTGACCACCGGGGTTCAGGTCCTTGGTGAGCACAGGGGAAAGAGGACAGTGAGAGCATGGGCTGTTAGTTGTGCCCCACAGCCTGGGTGAGAAAAGCATCAATCAAAAGAGATGAGCCTTGCTGGTGGGGGCCAGGAAGGGTGCAGAGTGAAAAGGGGGTGTTCAGTGATGGGTGCACATCTGATTGACAAACTTTTGCAGAATCATTTCCAGGCCTTTCTTAGGAGGCTAAGAGGCATGGGTTGGGGGACAGAGATGGGTATGGTGGAGATTCTGGTGACCTGGGATTTGGGGGTCTCCCTGTCCTGACACAGAAGCTGCCAAGAAACTGGCAGCCAAGCCTCAAGGTGGCAGTGCCAGGTTTGGACACTGTCATTCTCTCAGACCTCCCTCAAAGGATCAGATGCCCTTCTTCATCCCCACCCTCAGCCTCCCCTGAGCCCTCCAGGAAAGCAGCCTGTGTGGATCCCCTAAACAAGGGCAGGAGCACCAGCCCTACAGAGCAAGCAGCAGCTGGGTGAGGCAGACGGCGGCACAAGGTGGGGACCACGGTGTTCCAGGGCCACTTAGGCTCCTAGGAAATTCACCCGCCACCATCCTCAGGGACCTCTTCTTTGAAAAAAAGGGACTTTCTCAGAACATTCTGACAACACGAGTTGTGAATCCCTGGGGCTGTATGGAGAAATGGCCCACGACCTTTTTCCATCTCTTCCCCCATCACTGCCCAGCTCTGAGATTGAGCCCCTGGGAAGAGGGCCCGGATCTTTGCCAGAGGCTGCTGGGCATACCTGAGCACACGTGCCATGGGCTGTTTGTGACGGGCTGGAACACCTAGCCCAGGTGTCCCAGAAGCCACCACAGACATCAGCCTATTCCTCCCCTGGTGTTGGTCTTTGAAAAGTGAGTCTGGACACCGCAAAACTGGAATCCAGGTTTCCTACTTTCGAGGGGAGGTAGCCCCCCATGGCGCAGCTGTGATTCTCAGCCCTCCTCTGGGCCGTGCCCCAGCCGGGATCTGAACATCCACCCTCGGCCCCAGGTGCTGTTGCCCCCACACTGAGCCCTCGTACCCCATGCTCCCTGGCCCTCCTGCCAGGGCACCCTTTTCACAAAGTGGAGTGGATGAAAAGAACAGGAAAGAGCACCAACCCTGCTGCTGTCCCCATATGACAGAGGCTGCTGTGGGGGCATCTGTTGTACTTGGGTGAGCAGGCCCCTTGGCCTCGAGCTCTACCGTGCAGGGGTGCTGCAGACAGAGCCAGGTGATAGGAAAGAGCATGTCTGGGAACCCACCTGATGACAGCCTCAGCTCAGGATGAGGCAGGAGGCCTCTGGCTAGGCTTAGGGGAGATGGCTGGAGGAACCTCCTCAGGGTGCCAGTGGACTGGGTAAAGCCATCAGGGGGCTTGGAGGTCAGGGAAGCTGTGATTTATCAAGCACTGTGGGCATTGCAATATTTTCTCTGTTCGGTTCAGTCCAATGGGACATCAGTTCTATACATATCTTCCTCTTCCTCTAGCCCTGCTCAGTCCTGGGTGGAGAAGCTACCAGAACCACATCTCCTGTCTGTCCCACCATAAGTCTCTGCTTCATTCACGCTTTCATGTGTCGTGCATCAAGCAAGCATTTGCCTGTAGGCTTGGGGAGCTCTGAGAGGGGTTGAGAGTGAACAAAATTAATCAAATCGTATAACAGAAGAGGAAGTCCCATCCTGCCGAGGATCCTGGATGTGAGAACCTGCTGCTGGCCTGGTGGGATCGTGGTGCCCCAGGAGCATGAACTGCTCAGGAGCAGACCCTGACCAGATCCCCTGCAGGCCTGGAACAGCCTGATCAGCAGCCTCCTAAGCCCCATGGCTGCCACAGTGGGCCTCATTGTCCTTCCCTATCACCTAGCCGGGGTGTTCCCAGCTGCCAGACAGTGCCAACTGGTGGTGCCTGCCCATCAGTGCCCCAAGACAGCCACTACTTTTCGAAGAATGAGACCACCAGCTGCTTTGTGGCCAGCTCCAGCTTACTGGTGAGTATTTTTAGGTAGAATGTTCCAGACTAGTGAAGTCTTTGAGATTTTCTGCTTCTTGTTCACTGCTTCCTTCTGATGTGGACCATGCGGAAAGAGGCAGAACACAGGAACCCACACATGGGAGAATAGCAGGCATTTGACTGGACTGTGCCAAAAGAGTTGTTCAAGTACAATATCAAGCAAGACTGTAGTTGCAAAAAGACATAACCAACAACTTGGTTTCAATTTGAGCACCTTAATAAACAAACTGATTTAACTGTCATAGTCTCAAGGGATGGGTTTTTCCAAGCAAGAACTCTAGGGTCAGGGTAGCGAATTGCTCAAGAAAGGCCAAGAGCTCAGGGAGACATAGGAACCTCATAAACAGGGTGGCCACAGGCTGGCAGTGCCCAGGTTCAGCCAGGCAAGAGCCACAGGTCAAGGGAGGCTGCAAGAGGCTAAATCCTAATTCCACCACATGCACAAAAATGGATGGGATGGCCAAAAATGACCCCAAAAAATCAGGAAACAAATACGGAATGGGCTTTTTAATTGTTGTTTGCAATCAGAACTTTATGAAAATGACAGAATGTGGTTTCGCATTCTCTGTTGCATTAGAGCCAGTCTGAGCATCAGTATTTGCTCTAAAATGTGTTTAGTCAATAAAGTCAAGAGAACATGTGTGTGGAACACTGAGAAAAGAAGGCAGAGGAAATTTGCATTCCTGCAGCCATAGAGGGGGATATTCTAGGGGTGGAGAGGCAGCAGGCAGGGGGAATGTGTGCACAGCCTGGCCGTTGTCCCATCCCCTCATCGCTGGCTTCAGGCCATCCTCCCATAGATGGAGCAGCTATAATGGGAGTGGAGGGTTGAGGGGCAGGGGAGGCATCTGCTGAGTGGCTGGATGGGGTTTGTGTAGTGGGTTAGGATGAGCTCCTCAGAAACCAGCCTGAGCTCTCTGGCTCAGGAGCTTCTCAGGAAGAGCTGAGAAGCGGCAACCCCTGCCTGAGGGGTCCTTGTGTTCATTTCCCATGGCCACAATAACAGAGGACCACAAACTGGTGACTGAAAACAACAGAAGTGAATTCCTTCACAGTTCTGAAAGCAAAGTCCAAGATCGAGGAGTCGGCAGGGCCGCTCTTTCTCTGAAGGCTCTAGGAAAAAACTCTTTCTTGTCTCTTCCAGCTTTGGGGAACTCCAGGCATTCTTTGGCTTCTGGACACGTCTTTCTAACCTCTGTCTCCATCCTCATGAGGCCTTCCCCTCTGTTTGTCTCTGTGTCCTGTTCTCTTCTTATAAGAACACCAGTTATTGCATTTAGGGTCCACCCTAAATCCAGGATGATTTCACCTTGAGATCCTTAACTAATTGCACCTACACAGACCATATTTCCAGATAAGGTCATATTCTCAGGTTCTATGTAGACATGAATTTGAGGGGGGACACTAACCCACTATAGTCACAGTCTGTACAAATAAATTCTAGATTCTGCCCACCTGTGGCCTTACCTGTTCTACTTGGAAGTCATTGTTCCATGGAAGGTGACCCAGGGAAGCAGAATTGTTCTCCTCCTCAGGCAGATAGCTCCTGGGGACTGGCGTGAGAATTAGCAACTGTGCCAGCACATCACTTTGATTGGTCAAGGTGCCCCTTGCTGCCTCCCAGCCAAGCCAAGCAGGCCCACCCCAGGGAGCATAGGTGGGTAGCAGGTGCTGGCGCTCAGTTTACAAAGGAAGGCCTTCTGCCTCACCACCTCTGTGGACCTGCAAACCGCCCTAAGGGGTGAGTGGGAAGTCCCCATCTTACAGAAGACGAAATTGAAACCCAGACAGGCGGAGACTCTCCATGGAGGCCAGATGAATGAAGAGTCAGGAGGCTCAGCTCAACCTTGGGTGTCACCTGCCACCTGTACTGCTGTCCCTGGAGTGGCCCAGGATACTAGGATATGACACTGTCTCCCAGATCATGAGCAGGTTGAGTCAGGTACGAGGGAAGAGGAGCCAGCAGATGACACTGTCTAAACCCATCTGGTCATCTCAGGAAGGCAGAAGGGTTGGCCAGTCCAGCACAGACCTCGTGCATCCTGCATTTCAGAGGATCCTGTCTGTGATGCTCCTCTTCACGGCATTGGAGCTCAGTGTCGCTATCCTTTCTTCTGTCCTCTTGTGAAAAAAGACCTGTTCAGATGTCCTCAGGGTGAACCTGCTGTGCCGTGGGCTCTGGGGCCTGGGTGGTGGCACAGGGCATGGTCCTGGGGCCAATGGCAGGTGGTACTAAGGTCGACCCATGAATCTTGACCTTAGTCGAAGTCGACAGGTTTTGTTGAGTGAGGCAGCAGCCGGCAGAACAGGATGACAGCAAGTGCCCAGGGTGGAGGAATCACAATAGGAAGCGATGGGACCAAAGAGAGCACATCACACATCTGCTCATTTAGCAAAGCAGGAAACAGGCTAAGGTGCAGAAGCCCTCTGGTCCCTGGAACCCTCAAGTTTTTATATTTGTGTATCCCTTGTCTTTTGTTTCAAGATATTTTTTAATTTCTCTGGTTTGATTTTTTGGAGATAAAAGGCCTTCCACTCAGCGTACAAGGCCTGTTCACTTGCTTTGTCCTCTCCAGAATGTGTTTCCTGACCCAAAGTGACACAGTGATCACCAGCATGCCCCAGGCAGCATTTGCTGACACCGTCCTGGAGATGAACAAGGAGTGCACCCTTAGTGTGGGGGCAGAGAGAGAGAGAGCACATTGTCTGCAGGAGTCAGCTGAATGATCTCACAGACCCCACCTGCTGGGCTCTTCCATTTTATCACAATTATTCCGCCTGTTCACGTGCAGAGAGAACACTTGGGGCAGATTTTAAGACCTTAGAGAGTAACTTGTTTACAAATAAAATATCTCTTTGATGATGTATTTGGATTCCATGTCATTTTGCCACATTTCTCTTAATTTACTGGACACCAACAATGATATAAAAGTTAAGATTTTAGGAAATGTAGAAAATTTCTAAATAAAAATCAAAAAAGAAAATAAAACAACAAAATGAAGAGCTGCCTGGGAGAGATGAACCCATGGTCCCCGTCTTCACGCTAAGATGCAAAAGAGCAGAGCTTCCAGCTTCCAACTGGAGCTCCCACACAAAATACTGGGGAAATCTTCCTCCTTCCAACAATGGTCTTCCTATTGATCCTGAGACCTTGCTGGCAACCAGCCGTGTCTCTGCCCCTCTTTCTGTGCTCTCGTGACTCATCCCAGCTTCTCTCTCTGTGCCCCTTTCTTGTTCCCCTCTGCCCATTTCTCTTTTTATCTGAATCCCCAGATGCCCCTGCACAATCTGAGTGTGCAGAGTGGCCCAGCCCTCCCTAGGAAGGGAAAGCACTGGCCCCTTGCTTGGAGAGAAGGCAGAGACTGCTCTCCCACAAGACTGTAGTGCCCTAAAACCCCCTGATCAGCTCACACCTTGTTTCCTGGTGGCCAGGCCAATGATGAGGTTCACCACAGCCTACCTCAGCCAGGGACCTTATGACTTAATAGGGGAAGAGCCACAGAATATAGCCACATATATGGGCAGAAGTCCTGAGATATCCATGGGGCTGGATACTAAAGGGTCTCCATTTCCAAGTAGAACCTAAGGTTAGATGAGAGAGGTTTATTATCAATGCAGGAGGATCCTCACAGGATACAGGATTTAACAGCCTAACAGGGATTCCAGAAGATAGTTCAAATCAGATTCAAGGTAAGCTCCTGTAAGTATGGAAAAAGTGACAACTCCCCACGAAAGACAGAGGTGAGAAGGCTCAGAGAAGTGGATATGCTGGGGTGGATACACTCTGTAAATCCAGAAAAATCTACCTGCTGCCTATTTTTCAATTGTTCAATTTGCCTGTTAAATCATCTGGGCCTGGTCATGCTAAATTTTTTTAACTACCAATTTTGATTTACTTAATGATTGTAAATCTGGTTTATCCATTTCTTCTGTTTTTTAATTCACTCTGCATTGATATTTATACTACAACTCTCCAAACACTATTTCACAAATCAAGCTTCTATAGCAAAAGTAGGAAAACGTTTTAAGAAATTTTATTTTACCTTGTCAATGACCAAAAACACTCAAGACTGGCATCCTCACCCAATTTCTCTAGACTTTGTTTCTGGGATCATCAGCTATCACATGTTGTATTAGTCCGTTCTCACGCTGCTATAAGACAGCCTAAGACTGGGTAATTTATAAAGGAAAGAGGTTTAATTGACTCCCAGGTCTGCAGGGCTGGAGTGGCCCCAGAAAACTTACAATGCCAGCAGAAGGGGAAGCAAACACCTTCTTCTTTACATGGTGTCAGCAAGGAGAAGGGCAGAGTGAAAGGGGACAGGGGGAAGCCCCTTTTAAAAAACCATCAGATCTGATAACAATTCACTATCACAAGAACAGCATGGAGGCAACCTCCCCCATGGTTCAATTACTTCCCACCAGGTCCCTCCCACAACATGTGGGGATTATGGGAACAACAATTCAGGATGAGATTTGGGTGGGACACAGCCAAACCATATCACATGTCTTCAATTTCTGCCTCCTAAAAATGACATCTTTGCCAGGTGTGGTGGCGCACACCTGTAATCTCAGCAGTTTAGAAGGCTGAGGCAGGTGAATCACTTGAGGTCAGGAGTTTGAGACCAGCCTGACCAACATGGTGAAACCCCATCTCTACTAAAAACACAAAAAACTTAGCCTGGTATGGTGGTGTGCACCTGTAGTCCCAGCTACTCAGGAGGCTGAGGCAGGAGAATTGCTTGAACCCAGGAGGTAGAGGTTGCAGTGAGCTGATATCACATCACTGCACTCCAGCCTGGGTGACACAGCGAGACTCCATCTCAAAAAACAAAACAAAACAAAAAAATGACATGCTCAACCTTGGTCTTTCCTCAACTGTCAACTCTGAGTGCTAAGAACCTAAAAGATATCTCTGCTTTACTGCACAGCAAGGTCTTTGTTGTGAGTTGGGTTGTGTCCTCTCAAAATTTGTATATTGAAGTTCTAACCCCCAGTATCTCAGAATGTGACTTTCTTTGGAAATAGTGTCTTTATAGAATTAAAATGAGATCATTAGGGTGGGCCCTAAGAGGATATTAGGGCACAGACACTCACAGAGGGACAACTGTGTGAAGACACAGGGAGAAGACAGTTATCTACAAACCAACAAGAGAGGCCTCAGAAGAAATCAACACTGCGGACACCTTAATGTCAGAATTTTGGCCTCCAGGACTATGAGAAAATAAATTTTTCTTGTTGAAGCTTCCCAGTCTGTGATACTTCGCTATTGCAGCTCTAGCAGACTAATACACCCTTCAAATTCACCAGGGCCAAATTGAACCCACCATTCTCCTCTAAAAATTTCTTTTGCTTTCACCATTTTGTTTAAGGTCCTCACTCTTCCCATCACTCAAACTCTGAAAGTTCTTTTCCCATAGTGAAAAGGCCTAATGAAGGTGTTTCCCCATGGATTCTTTCCTTTTAGTTCTGTCTTGTGGACTGCAGCTGACTCAGCCCTGAGGGTGCCCTTGATGTCCCCGCTTAATTAGCATCTCTACCATTTCACCATTGCTTGCATGAGACAGTCGAAGGGTCATGAAAGCTTCTGTGATCTGGAAGACGTATTCTATAACAGTAGCGTTTCACAGCAGAAGCCAGACTTGCAACATTGCAAAGATCATGGGATTTGGAAGCAGAAAACCTGAGTTTCTATTTGGACTCTGCCACTTACCAAGTGTAGAACTTTTGGAAAAACCTTGGAAAGTCTTCCTATCTCCATTATGGATCAAGAGTGTGACCTTGGTTCACCCTCTCACCATTCTTTCCTTAATTTTTTTTTCTTATAAATAATAGCTTCCACCTTCCACCCTGCAGAGCAATTGTAAACTTCATAACACATGCGAAGCGCTTGACTCAAAAAACAGGAAGCACTAAGGACTGTTAATTTAACTGGCATCTCATTACTTTTATAAGAAAGCCTAGCATAAAGAAAAGGTGTGTCCACTGTTATGGGTTGAATTGTGCCCTCCCAAGAAAGATACATTGAAGCTCTACTCCCCAAACCTCAGAATGTGCCCTTATTTGGAAATAGCAGCATTGCAGATGTCATTAGTTAAGACAAAGTTATACTAGAGTAGAGCAGGCCCTAATCCAATACGGCAGGTGTCTTTACGAAAAGATAGCATGTGAAGACACAAACATACAAAGAGAAGGCAACCATGTGGTGACAAGAGGAGAGACTGGAGTGATGCTCCTGCAAGCCAAGATTGCTGGCAAACCACCAGAAGTTAGGAAGAGGCAAGGTAGGATTCCCTTACAGGTTTCAGAGGGAGGGTAGCCAGCTGACACTTTAGACTGCTAACCTCCAGAGTTATGAGACAATAAGTTCCTGTTGTTTGAAGCCGCCCAGTTTGTGGTACATTGTTACAGCAGCCCTAGGAAACTGATACATCTACACAATGCAATGTCCTTCAGCCATAAAAAGGAATGAAACACTGGCATTGGCTATCATGTGGATGAAATGTGAAAACAGCATGTTCAGTGAAAGAAGCCAGGCACAGAAGACCACATATTATATAATTCCATGTATGTAAAGTGTCCAGAATAGGTGAATCCATACAGACTAAACACAGATTAATGGTTGCCAGGGGCTGCAGGAGGGGAGAATAGGAACTGACAGCTAATGAGTATAAGCTTTCTCTTAAGGGTGATATAAGTGATCTGGAATTAGATAGCAATGATAGTTCCAAATCTTGTGAATATATTTAAAATTAAATTGTGTAACTTAAAATGGTGAATTTTATGTGGAATAATAGCAATAAAATTCAATAGAATAAAACAAAATGAACGACATGAAGCCCAACACCTCACTGGAACATGCAAAACCCTTCCTTTATTCTCTGGTGGATCCCATTTCTCGCCATTGTTCAGTGCTCTCTATGCCCCACCATGCTGTCCTACTCTCTTCATCCTCTGCCTTCTCCCATGCTGTCTGCCTACCTATAGTCCCTCTTTCCCCACGCCCTGTTTTGTTCCTGTGCTGCCCCTTTCTCACCCTGTACTCTTTCACTTTGAAGTCACTGCCCCAGAACCTTCTCTTTCACTCCACGATTGGGTTGTGTTGACCCACTTGCACATCATATGTTTCTGAGGGCAGAAATGTTGGCCCATAATTACAGTTGTCTGGTTATGTCTCTGTCTCCCTCACTAACATGCAAGCCCTACAGAAGCAGGAGCTGTGTCCAGCATGTTCACCAGGGTATCTTCCAAGTGTATCACATGATACTAGGTGCTCCGTAGACACCTGCTCAATGTCATATAGGTTCTTGGTCTTCTCTTCCAAATAAGGTAGAATAGTTATTTTTCATTTTACAGGTGAGAACATTCAAGTTGAAAGAAATGAAGAGAATATTTGATGTCCCGCAATACAGGGGAAAGCCGTTACTGCATCCCAGGAATGTTTGACCATAAAGCCCTTCCTTGCCCACTAGGCCAGGTATGTCCCATCATAGAGCCCCTCACCCCACTTGCAGGTTACCCTTCCAAAGTGCTGTTCCAAAAGAGCTCACCGAGACAAGGTGATATTGGAGAAGTGATAGACACATAGATCTATGGAAGACATTGGGAAGCTTGGGAATAAACCCACACAATTATAGCTAATTATTGACAAAGGAACAGCAGCAATTCAACAGAGAAAGGAAGGTCTTTTCAACAGTGTTAAAACAATTGGACAGTCTTTTTTTGTTTTTTGGTTTTTGGTTTTGTTTTTAAGACGGAGTCTTGCTCTGTCATCCAGGCTGGAGTGCAGTGGCAATCTCGGTTCACTGCAACCTCCGCCTCCTGGGTTCAAGCAATTCTCTGCCTCAGCGTCCCAAGTAGCTGGGATTACAGGCGCCTGCCACCAGGCCCGGCTAATTTTTTGGATTTTTAGTAGAGATGGGGTTTCACCATCTTGGCCAGTCTGGTCTTGAACTCCTGACCTCGTGATCCACCAGCCTCGGCCTCCCAAAGTGCTGGGATTACAGGCGTGAGCCACGGCACCCAGTCAACAATTGGACAGTCTTATCCAGAATAATGAATCTTGATCTAAACCTCCTAATTTACATGTAACAAATTGCATTAGTTACAATATTAACTCAAAATGGATCATAGATCTAAGCATAAAATATAAAAATATATAATGCTTAGACTAAAACATAGGAGAAAAAATTTTTCCAATCTAGTTAGGCAAAGAGTTCATAGATGTGACACTGAAAGCAAAGTATAGCAAAAGGCAAAAATAAATTCAATAAGTTGTACTTCATCAAAATTATAACTTTTGTTCTGTAAAATACATTGTTAAGTGAATGAAAAGATGAGCTGTAGATTTGGAGAAAATATTTTAAAAAATCACACGTCTGACAAGGACTCATATTCAGAACACTTAAGAATGCTCAAGCCAACCCAATTAAAACAATCAATCCAATTCAAAAACAAGAAAACAAAACCAGTTTCAGAAATGAGACAAAGACTCAGACACAAACTTCAGCAACGAGGGCACGCAGCAGGCAGAGCAGCCCAGACAAGGTACTCAATACTATGACTCACTAGGGGACTACAAATCAAAACCACAGTGAGATCCTGTTACACACCCATTAGAATGTCTAAAATAAAAACCACAGACACTAGTAGTGCCGGCGAGGATGTGGAGCAACAGGACTAACACATCGCTGCCAGGAAAGCAAAATGGCACAGCTGCACTGGAAAGCAATTTGTTTCTTGTAAGGTTACACATATACTTACCACGGGAACCAGCAATCTCAGCCCTGGTATTTCTCCTAAAGACATAAAAGCTTATGTCCACACAGACACCCGTACACAAACTGTTATAAAAGCTCCAGTCATAATAGGCAAAACCCAGAAGCAAACTAAATGTCCTTTAACAGGTGAACGTGTAAACAAACTATGGTGCATCCATACAATGGAGTACTGTTCAGCAAAAAAAAAAAAATACTACACTGTATACACACACAGGTACACACACATATATCTCCTAATGTTAGCAGAATTTTTTTAATGTGTAATACAGCATTGTTTACTATAGGTAGGATGTTATGCATCGAATCTCTAGAATTTAATCATCTTCCATACCCGAAATTTTACACAAGCTGAAAAGCAACTCCTCATGTCCCTCTTCTCACCTCCCAGTAACCCCCATTCTACATTCTGCTTCTATGGGTTTAACTATTTTAGGTACTTTATCTCAGTGGAATTATACAGTATATGTCTTTTTGTGACTGGCTTGTCTCACTTAGCACAGCGTCTTCCAGGTTCATCCATGTTGCAAATGGCAGGATTTCCTTCTTTTGCATGGCTGGATAATATTCCATTGTGAGGATAGCCTCCATTTCCTTTCATCTCTCAATGGACATGAGGTTGTTTCCACATGGCTGTGTGGGAGCAAGGGGGTTTCTTAGCCACTGGAGCGTCCCATTGGGATGGGGCACTGGTGGTGACCCCTAAGCAGGGATGTGCCCTAATGGACTTGCATCTGATAGGGTCTCCAGGCCACTATGGCCCCATGCCTGGGTGAGGTTAAGAGTTAAAGAGTAGAAAACAGGAGGCCAGTGAGGGGGCATTTTTGGGCCCATGGG
This sequence comes from Homo sapiens, assembly GCF_000001405.40. Taxonomy (NCBI): domain Eukaryota; kingdom Metazoa; phylum Chordata; class Mammalia; order Primates; family Hominidae; genus Homo; species Homo sapiens. Next base: position 29,517,306 of record NC_000006.12, read on the forward strand.
AAGGTTTCTGAGGAGATGGAAGGGCTGCAGGTATAGGTTCCCAATATGTCCCCACCCCAGTTCAATTTCAATGACCAAGGGAGATAGCAGAGGTAAAGAAAACAGATAAGAGGGGGTCACCTGACACCTGGTGGACAGAAGCTGACATCCAAGAGGTGATTCCACCCACCTCCCTCCTGAGCTTCCTCCTTCCTCAGGTCCAGTTAGGCAGGGGACCTGGTCAGTGGTGCCTAGTCACCTGCCACTGTGTGACCTCAGACAGGAGATTTGTCCTGGGAGCCTCCTTCCCTCCATCTATAAAAGGGGAATGGACACAGCAGCCCAGAAGGCTTCGAGGAGGAGGAGGACGTGAGAAGGTGTGCTGAATCCTGCCCTGCTGAGCATGTAGGCCTAAAATTTTACACACAAACTGAGTCCCTATGAGGAAAGGGCAAGCCCTCTGCCCTCTGCCCTTCCTATGTCTGCATATCCAGAACTGCCTCAGGTGGAGAGGGCAGAGACTAGGGAGCACCCATAGATGCTCTGATGCTGGCCACAGCCCTTGGGGGTGACAGTGATGAGGACCTGGGTGCACATGTGGTGGAGCAGCCAAGACCAGCCAGAGAAGAGACACACTCATGCACACACGTGTTCACAACATACACATTCACACTCACACACAAACACATTGAATGCATGCGTGTTGACAGTTCAAGGAGTAGAGGACACTGGACCTGGGCCCTGCTGACCCAGGCAGGGCCCCACTCTGATGGGTGCTGTAACCCCAGACGTCACTGTTGCTGAACATCTGCCTGCCTCTGAGTTGTGGAGCAGCTGGAGACACACAGTGGTGTCTGTGAGTGTCTCTGTGTGCAGGACCCTTTTCTAAGTGAGAGGCACATCTCAGCACAGCTGACTGATCATTCTCGGGTAAGTGTGACCTGCTGTCTCCCCTTCCTGCTGACATGGGGGCAGATGCTACCAGATGGCATCACTGGCCTCCAGGGCACTGTGGAGGGTAATGTCGCTGAGCTCCCACCAGGTGCTTTCTCTTCACTGACCATGTATTGCAGCCGTCTCATTCACCCTCACACTGACTTCGTGGAATGGGTGCTAATGTACCCATTTGAAGATGAGATGCCTGAGGTCAGAGGGGAGGCAACTGACCCAGGGACCCAGATGTGACTCTGGACTGTGATCTCAGCCCTGCCTTGTGCTGTCCTGCACTCAACTCCTGGCCTCTGCAGCCTTCCTGCCTTAGATACAAAATCTGCTGAGGATTCCGGACCCCAGTGGGGGTAGAACCTGGCTCTGGAAGAGCCACAGGAATGGGGGGCCCTGTGGGTGGGGTTAGAGGCATCCCTCAGTCCAAGTCTGTGCAAGAAAAAGTTCCCCAGAGGCAGGGATCTTATCCATTCAGACTTTAAGTGTGGGCTCTGATGGTTACTGTGGGACCCACCAGGCACTGGAGTTTTCCAGTTTGGGAGCAGAGCTGGGAGCCCTCTGCCCTCGAATAGTTGTGGAAAATGAAGAAACCCTGGAGGTCTGGCCGAAAGGTGACAGTCATTCCTCCTGTTCTCTGAGGCCTGGGGACAGGGGTTTAACCTGCAAGGCCCTCTCTCTGACCTGTCCTCCAGACGTATCACCTTCCCTTTGTCTCAGGTATTCCCAGGAGAGATGGCCCCTCTGGGTGTTCTCCAGAACCTGTCCCCAAGAGTTCACTTGTTCTTTGGTGACCTGGGAAAACAAAGCCTCTTCCTGTATCAACTGCTCAGGACTGTGGAATCTGCCCTCCCTCCACCAAAGGGAGGCTGCTTTGGAGACAATAGATCAAGCCTTCTCCGAACCAAACATCCTCCTTCTTGACTGGTGTTATTCTTCAAATGGATTCACTGGCCACAGTGAGTAAAGATTTGAGTGGAACAGAACACTCATGAGATTTCTTCTTTCCTATAGAAAACTGGGCATCTTCATGGTGTCTGAACAATAGCAGGAGGCTGATCATATAGAGATTTCTGGTTCCTGGCCCTAGTCTGCCTCCAGGTGTCCATTATAGTCATCATGGCCCTTCACCCTGAGCAGGTAGATGCCGTTCATCCTGCTGTGGAGTGTGTGCCCATTTCAGGACATTTAGGGACAACAAGTCTTGTTGTCTAGGTCTCCTTGTTTTAAAGTCCTCAGGAAAGGGCCCACCTCTGGTCAGGCCCAGGGACTCCAGAAGTCCTGGCAGAGGTGGGGCCATTTGGCTTGGTCCCATTGTCCTGGGGGTGTTGGTGAAATGAAGTTCACCCGGCTGGCATCTGGGAGCAGATGTATGGGGTGTTCTCTAAAGCTCTCAGGTGCCATGTAATTTTGGGAGTATTTTGTCTTATAGGGTGGATATGGACAAAGACATGGATATCCTGCTCGCCCAGGAGTAAAGGGACATCATTGCCAAGTATAAGCAGACACAGGTCAGGCTGCTCCCTCCAGGGAGGCGGGTCTCACCTCTCCCTCTGTTCCCTGGTCTGATGGTCCTGGACTCCTTCGGGATGCAGGGCAAGGATGAGCTGCCCACACGCCCATACCCAACAACTTTTATTTTGGCCTCCCTCACCCTCTCTCCCTCTGCCTTGCAGGTTGCTGATCCAGGGCACCAGTGGACACAGGAGATGAAGATGTTTACATCTACAAGGTCATCAGTCAGCTTGAGATTCCACAGTGAGTCAGTCTTCTGTCCTCCCAACCAATTGCCAAGACCAGCTCGGTCGTGGAGACCCTAACCCAGTGGCGCTAGAGGAATTAAAGACACAGACACAGAAATAGAGTGTAGAGTGGGAATCAGGGGCTGATAGCCTTCAGAGCTGAGAGCCATGAATGGAGTTAGACCCACATATTAATTGACAGTAAGCCAGTGATAAGCATTGCTTCTATAGATTATATATTAGCTAAAAGCATTCCTTATGGGAAACAAAGCATTCTTAGCGAGGAGCAGAGAAACAGGCCCTGGCTGATATCTGCAGCAAAAGCATGTTGTTAAGGCAAAAAAGCATGTTGTTAAGGAATCCCCCTGCAGATGTGGAGTCAGGCATGGTCACTCCTGCTGGACGTTAAGAAGGTGAAGGCTGAAAACCCAAGTAAGTACCAGGTATGGTCCTTCCACACTCAGCCACAGCGGAAGAAACAGGCCAGGCCATGTCAGGAGCCCAGGTCTCTAGCTAGAGGAAAAGTCAAGCCTGAGTGATGGTCAGTCCCATATCCTAGGCACAGACGATGGCATGGGAACCACAAGTGAACTGGGCTCTGGTGACCCTCAGTGGCTTTGGAAATAAGATAGAGAAGGATATTTCTGCAAAAAAAAAAAAAAAAAAAATCGTCTTTCCTTCCAGAAGTGCTGAATGATTGCTGTTTGTGGTAGTGAGCCTTTTGTCTGTTATAAGGCTGGTTCCTTCCTGAGGAACCAGCCCTTTAGCCCTGCCCTAAAGAAAATAAAGGAGCAGGGCTCCTATACAGGGCTCTCACTGTAAAGCAACTGAGGGAGAGTGAGCCCCAGGGAAGGACCAGCCCCATCCTCATCCACCACAGGTTATCAGTCCAGGTGGCCACTTAGGGAAGGGAAGAGGGTCTTTCTATGGGCTCACACTCAGGAGGGCCTAGGATTTGGGAGCAGAGGGAGCAGAAAATAAAGCAGCAGGGCAAGATGTCCTCAGCGAAAATAAACCAGATTGACCTGGACATGAAGTGCACCTTCAGACACCATGTCATGTTTTGGGAGCACTACAGAGTCAGGTAAGGCCTATGGGGGATGGAGGGTCCCGGGGAGACGGAGGAATTCAGAGGAATAGGGGCATCCCATGCAGGAGTCCAAGATAGGACGTGACAGAGCCCCCCAAGGGCTCTCTTGGCCAGGGAGCAGCCAGCATCACAGAGCATCTACTGAGCTCCAAACCATGGGCCGAGCTGGGGCATGTGGGTCCAGAACCCAAGTGGCTACTGAGGAAACAAGCGGTAGCAAACACAATCATGCTGCATGGTGAAAAGTTCTCTCTATGACCCACAAGTACCTGAGGTAGAGACCCACAAGAGGGGCTCAGACTTCACAGGCAACACTGACAACACCAAACACCATAGAGGATGTGGAGCCACAAGAACTCTGTGCATTGCTGCTGCAAAATGCTGCTGCTGCTGAATGCAAAATGGTACAGCCGCCTTGGAAGACAGTTGGGAATTGCTCACAAAGCTAAATGTACTTGTACCACGTGACCACAAGTGTCATAGACGTTGACCTAGCTGACTTGAAAATGTATGTACACCTAAAACCTACATGTCACATTCACTGCCTTATTCATTATCACTAAAACCTAGAAGCTACTGAGATGACCTTCAACACAGGTCCCAGGGGAGATGGAGGAATTCAGGGGAATGGGCGCATCCCATGAAATGAGGTTATACCTGTTTGGTATAATAAAATTACAGGTTAAATCTATAAATATAAATTATAATTATAGATTATTAGGTTACATTTATTTGGTATAATAAAATTATACAGTAGGTATTGTCAAATATGAAATTAATATCTAATGATTGTATTATACCAAATAAGGCAAATATGTGTCTTTTGGACTTAAGGGGACCTAATATCAAAAAAATTAATGAGTCAAAAGGACTGAATTTAGAATTTAATTTTGAAAAAATCAAATATCAAAACTTTAAAACACCTGCTATCACAAAATAGGATCATTGGTCATTGGTCATTGTAAAATAAGTCATTCATTTAACCAAAGTGATAACTCAAAGATTTCAAAAAAAAAAAAGTCAAAAGACAAAACCATTACTCTTTGAGAGAGGAGACTTAATTTTCCAAACAATAAGCCCTAATAAAGATAGCATGAGGCCAATGAAATCTGTTTCTCAAATCTTATAAACAAATCTATTAAATTTTAATGATCTTCACCATACTATATAATTTCCAAAAACCTTTTTGTAACATTTTATAATTTTTTAAATGAAAAAGTGGGTTAATACTCCAAGAAAACCTTGTTAATCTGACACAGGAGCTCAGAGGTTAGTCTTGCATCAGTGAGCCTTTGATACTAATCTTTACAGAGAAACTGTAACCAAGATAAAACCAATTTTATCTTTCAAAATAGGCTCTTACAATCGCATGTACCCACATCTTCCACAATAGCCCCTGGACTTTGAGGGGTAAGATAGTTTCAATTTCTGGCCCTGTGTTTCATGAGTGCAGTTTCTTTTGATTATCATCTTCTCCTGGTTCTGAAGATACGGTTTTAGAAGCTTTCAGTGTTTAAGATTTAGCAGGACTTGGTGTCCTTTTTAGATACAGGAGTCAAAGCCCTGTAACTCAACAGAACAAGGACTTTAAAAGCAATACAGAACATTGTATGGATGTTAATAACTTTAATTTTTTAAATCTCAGTTTTCCTAGGCAAATAAAAAACTTAATGACATAGGAATTGTTTCAATAAAATATAAAATCTGTTTGTTAGGCCAGTTACCAAAAGGCAAAAAATAAATAAAAGACCTGCAGCAATTGCTTTTCCCTAGACTTCAAGTCAAAACTAATGAAAATGGTACTTGAATTAGTTAGATATAGGAAGGGTGTGTCTTGCATCATAAGTGAAAATTTTCAGTTTCATAGAAAAACTTCAAACCAAGAGCACAGAATGTTATATTGGAAGAAAATATTTCCTTTAGACCTTTAAGATAAAACACTTTTAGCATCATGTCACAGTAGCAGTTAGAACCTGAGGAAAAAAAATTATAGAAACTGACAAGAAAGTTGGAGAGAGCGATTATCTCAGGACTTATGAAGGGGAGAGAAAGGTGAAAACAGTGAGATTCAATAAAAGTTGAAATCTGGGGTAAAAAAATTAAAATATCTTGTAATTTGTTAAGAGTAAATTAATATCTTAAGAAAATTTTGTTCTTCTAGCCCATTCTTGAGTGGATTAGCATATTTTTAATATACACTAAGTGCAAAAGCACAGTCTCTAGAAAGACTAATTTCCTTTTAATTATAGCCAACTTGATCAAATAAATTCTTTTCTCATAAAGTCTCTTTTTACAAACCTTACTATGACTTACACAAGCCACTTATGACATGCCTAGACTTCCTGTTTTATCCTAAACAGCTTCTTTCCTAAATAACCAATCATTTTATCTTCTTTTTCTTTTTTTTAAGATTTCTTTGTTGTTGCTGCTGTTGTTGCTGCTGTTGTTTCCTTGAGACAAGGTCTCTCTCTCTGTGTCACCCAGGCTGGGGTGTAGTGGCATGATCACAGCTCACTGCAGCCTTGACCCACCCAGGCTCAAGCAATCCTCCCATTTCAACCTCCCAGGTAGCTGGGACTATAGATGTGCACCAGCATACTCAGTTAATTTTCTGTGTTTTTTGTATAGACAGGGTTTTACCATGTTGCCCAGGCTGGTCTGGAACTCCCAGGCTCAAGCAATCTGCTCACCTCAGCCTTACAAAGTGCTAGGATTACATGCATGAGCTATTTGCATCCAGCCATTTTATTTTAGAACAAACATTTACCATGCAAGATTTTTTTCTCATATAAAATTTTCCTTTTAACCTTTCTTACCAAAAATATCTCTTTATATTTTTAACTGTCTTTATATCGCTCTTATTTAGTGGTTCCTTTTATCTTGTTTCATAACCTTTAAATAACCTTTGAATTCAACAAAAATTATTTTCCTTTAAATAAGAACATATTCTTAGCAAAATGTTTTTCTGTAATTTTTTTAATTGTGAATGACCCAGACATTTAATAAATGCCTGTTATGTAATATAACTTTAGATTCTAAATTATATTATGCTTATTTACAAGCATTCCTTCCATTACATTTACCTAACTTATTTTTAATAGTTTACCTAGATTACTTATGAAAACTGTGATAATCAACATTTAAAGGTATTTTCCTGTTAATCATTTATATAGCCTGTGAATTTCAGGTGTTTACCTAAGTAAGAAGCTTAAGGTTAAACAAATGAGTTTTTCGCCAATAACTCAGGATAAATGACTTATTTATCAAAAAAAATTACACAAGGATAATTATCTTTTGAGTTACATTTATAATTTTATAACCGTCATGCCAAATTTTGACACCTTATGTATATTAGCATTTAATCAAGCTGACTTTTAACCACTGAGCTTTAAAAATCCTTTAAAATCTCATTGCTGTAACCGAGTACACCCATTTTCCTGAGACATCAATTATTATTTTTTTTCTTTCCTTTTCTTGTTCCTTCAGTTCCCCACTCCCTACTTAGGCTTTTAGGAATGCAAATATAGCCTTTTACCTCCCCATTACCGGACTCTCCCTACAGTGCAAGTTCATCTAACTACACGCTCAAACTGGAAAGTCAACTTGAGAATTAACAGTTGATTTATAAACCAATCATGCCCACTGTGGAACTCTCACTCTTTAGGAGGTTGTCTCAAGAGATAACAGCCTGCCCATGAAGGTGCCAGCAGTCACAAGCTGATTGCCCCGTAGATAAGGCACAAGAGCTAGCATGGACCCCCCGCCACCACCCTTGCTCACTTCCTCCCCTGCTTTTTAAAAGTGAAGCCATATGGAGGACACCTGCATTTCTTCCCCTAAGCTAGTTTTGGAAATAAATTACTTTCTTTATACCAGACTTCACTTTTGTTAATTGGACTCTGCAAGCAACAAGCGACTAACCTGCATTTTGGTTACATTACCATGTTTTAGGTGGGACAAACTTCTAATATTTCAAATGTAACACAAATATCAAACCAGTAAAGACTTTATTTAGGAACCAAACCCAGGCTGCCATGGTGGAAAAAGGGCAGAACCTTAGCTACTGAACTACAGCATGGGGCAACCACTATTGCTATTTCAGTTTGGCTTGGCTAGCAAAGGGTTGTTTTGTTATGTAAATAAAGCCCTTCAGGTAATTGAAATCTTTCTTGCTTCGATGGCTGATTTTTCTTTTTTTTCTCTTTGTTTTTCCAGCTTCAGGAATTTAGCCAGTTCAGAGGTCTTGTTCCCCATAATTTAGAACTTTCCTTCAGGTTTGACCAAGTCAACTAGAGTGGTCAAACCCAACGGAAAAAAGACTAAAACAACAAAAACAGAACCAAACAAATAAACAACAACAAAAAAGTAAAGCAAAACAAATGATTGCACAATTTATAAGATTACTGAGCACTCTAATGGTAAGGAGGAATCAAGACCAGCTGGTAGTTAATCTTAACTTTCAGAGAATTTCCAAGACAAACCCCATTTCAGCTACTTATGTAGGAATAAGGCCCAGGTTGAAGATTGCTCTCTATCATCCTAGAAGCAGGAAAAAAACTCAAAACTCATCTTCCCTGTTGGAAGCAAGCTGAAACTCTGGAAAGGAGTTGCCTGCTTTCCATTATCATGGATTCAGAAAAACTCATCTTTTTGGATGCAAGTAAAACTCTAGAAAAGGAGTTGAACAGCAAAATAAACCTTAGATCTCAACAACATTTTGAGAAATCAGGGATTCTCTGGAGATGATACCTCCCAGGCCTCAGCAAATCGTCCTGTTGGTTTTGTTACTGGCAGCAAATCCATATGGGTCTGCAGCAATCTCAATTCTTGCCTTCTCAGAAGAAAGAATTCGACTGAGGGGCATACGGCAGAGTGAAAGATTGAGGCAAGTTTTAGAGCCAAGAGTGAAAATTTATTAAAAAGCTTTAGAGCAGAAACTGAAGAAAGTAAAGTCCACTTGAAAGAGGGCCGAGTGGGTGACTTGAGAGATCAAGTTCATGGTTTGATCTTTGACTTGGGGTTTCATACATTGGCATGCCTCTTGGGGCGGGGGAGTGGTTTGCATCTCTTCTCCCTTGATTTTTCCCTTGGGGTGGGCTGTCCACGTGCACAGTGGCCTGCCAGCACTTGGAAGGGGCAACATACACAATGTGTTTACCAAAATTGTACACATGCTCACTTAAGGCATTCTTCCCTTACCAGCCGAGTGTTCCTGGAGAAAGGTTATATACTGGTTCAACTCTGCCATTTTGCCTGTTAGTGCACATGCTTAAGTCCACTAGCCCACCTCCTGAGATCTTATTGGGAAGCTGCTGATTACCAACTTGAGGTGTTTCTATTGGGAGGCTGCCTTTCCCTGGCACCGGCTGCAGCCAATTATTATTTTCAAGAGGCAGTTTAACAACCTCCTGACCACCATCTGATGGTTGCCTGACATTCCTGGGCGAGGGTCCCTCTCCTGACCTATTCATGTCTGACTAATTACCTATTGTAACAGTTTGAACAATAAAGATAGCTCAAGGCCAGACATGGTGGTTCATGCCTGTAATCCCCGCTCTTTGGGAGGCCTTGCAAGGCCAGAGGATTTCTTGAGCCCAGGAGTTCAAGACCAGCCTGGGCAACAAGGCAAAACCCTGTCTCTATGAAAATTACAAAAATTAGCCCGGTGTGGTGGCACAAGCCTGTAGTCCCAGCTACTCAGGAGGCTGAGGTGGAAGGATCACCTGAGCCCGGGAGGTGGAGGCTACAGTGAGCAGGGATCGTGCCACTGCACTTCAACCTGGGTGACAGAGTGAAACACTGTCTCAAAATTAAAACAGATAAAATAAAAATATAGCTCATACTGGTACCATGCACAAGTAGATTTGTCAAAGGTCAGGGCCACCTTCACTCAGAGTCTCTTCCGTTGGTTGCCAACTTGTAAACGAAAAAGTATGTCAGATAGGTCTCAATCAGTTTAGAATTTTCATTTTGCCAAGGTTAAGGACGCACCCAGGAAACAGGTATATGTACCTTTCTCAAAGATGATTGTGAGGGCTTCAATATTTAAAGGTGAGAAGTGTGCTAGATGGGAAAGAGGGTGTGGTTATCCACATGTTGCAAGAGAAAAGGAGTAGGCAGGAAAACAGTCAATTATGGATTCATCTCACACTCAGTAATAGGCCCTTTACATAAGGTGAACATAAGACTAGCTACTTGAGGAGCTATTTAACCTTCTATCTGTAGCTATCTGCTGAGGAACAAAAGGAAAGACAGTTTTTTGCATGACTCAGCTTTCAGCTTAATTTTTTCCATTTGGCATAGTGAATTGGAGTCCTGAGTTTTATTTTCCTTTCCCACCTCAAACCCCACAAGCTTTGCGTTGTTGCAGATTGTCCCTCTCAGAATATTTTACAAGATGGTGAAGTGCCTAATGAACATTTCTTTTGTCATAAAGTGAGTTTGGATCCTGAAGAAGCCATCATCTTAATCAGGCTTTGGGATCAAAGTTCCCCTTCACCCGAACCCTGAACAGCACAGCAGACAGGGAAGGACTTACTGAGATGGCTGCTCCCACTCTCCAGCCCCCACTTTCCTGACCATTCCTGGCAGGAAGAGCTGCTGAGCAGACTCCATGGGCTGCCCACACAGGGTCTGGACCTAGCTGTCTTCCTGTGCCCAGCAGCCTGTGAGCCATCCCAGTCCCCTATGTGCAGTGGTCAGCACCCACAAGCCAGCCTTCATAGGGATTCAGTTCATGGGTGTTGCCCTGAGCCTGGCACAGTGGCCTCCCCAGCTTAGCATCTGCAGTTCGGGTCAGGGTGTTCTTAACGGCCCTCACCTATGCCTTTTCTGGCCACACATGAGTTTGGATGAAGCAGGAGTCTCTTCCATAGCTCCTTTTCATCTGAGATGTCCATGACTGGCTCAAGTGAACCACAGTGTCAGGAGAGGGGCACGGAAGCTGCACCCTAAATTCCCCGGGACCTGTGGCAGGCCTTCCTGGTGACCTCTGCCTTCTCAGGTGACTTCTGCCCTCCTGGGTGACATTAGTTCTCCCCTCTCAAGTGATCTGTGCCCTCCTAGGTTACCTCAGCTCTCCCAGGTGACCTCTGCCTTTCCAGATGACTTCAGTCTTTTCAGGTGACCTCAGCCCTCCTAAGTGACATTAGTCCTCCCTGGTTATCTCTGCCCTCCCTGGTGAACTCAGGTCTTCCAGGGGACCTCTGCTTTCCCAGATGATCTCTGCCTTCTCAGGTGACATTAGTTCTCCTAGGGGATATTAACTCTCCCAAGTGACCTCTTCCCTTCCAAGTGACCTGTTTCCTCAGGTGACCTCAGCTCTGCCAGGGGACTTCTGCCTTTCCAGGTAACCTCTGCCCTCTTGGTGACATAGTGTGCTCAGGTGACATTAGCCCTCTCAGGTGACCTCAACCCTCCAAGGTGACGTCAGCCTTGGTGAAGTCTTTCCATGATGACTTTGGCTTTTGCCAGAGGTAGGCTACTGCGGGGGCATAAGCCATATCATGCCATGAGCCACTATCCTGCTCATGTTCCAGAATGAGGAGACATCTGGGTGCTGGCCCAGCTGCTGGCCAATGAGAGGCTTGCCAAGCATGGTACTCTCCAAGGTGACCTCTGCCCTCTCAGGTGACACAGTCCTCCCATGTGACATTAGCTCACAGTGGACAGCTACCCACGAGGCATCACACAGCCAGGACAGGGGACGGCCACACTGGCTGGGTAATTGTGACTTACAGACAAGGCACCTTCTGTCCCCTGCTCATTTTGAGCCTCCAGGGTATCCCCTGCTGAGAGTCCCACAGGAGCCTGTGACTGGCCAGGGACCCGACACCCCAAGTCAGATGCCTCTTGTCCCCATCAGCAAATGGGATCACAGCTGCCCTGTGACCACCTTCTGCATCCTGGTGTCACAACCTTCTGGCCCTGACCTTATGCAGGGGACTCTTACAACCCTGCTGGTCCTTCCACCTCCCAGCTGGCCACCCTCCCAACCACCCTCCCTGCCCATGGCTAGACCAAGCCCAGATGACAGCTTCTCTCTGTCCTGTGTCCCCTGCCCTGACCCCACATCCAGGAGAAGGCCACACACCCTCCAGCACCCCTGGTCACCCCACCAGCTCCCACCTGTCCTCACTGCTTCAAAGGCAGGCCTGCCCTTCTGGAGCCATGGCCCTGGAAGCCACTAAGCAGTGCCTCCAGCCAGGCCCCAGGGGCATTCCCACCCCTCCTCTCCTGGCCGAGACCACATGATGGGGTCACTGGATGGGACAGTGAAAGGCCTTGGGGTCTGGAAGCAACCACCACTGCCCAACTGCCACTGCCCAACCGCTGCTGCCCAACTGCCACTGCCCAACTGCCACTGCCCAGCCTGATGGCTCCACATCTCAGGAGTAGGCTCTGATTCCTTGGGGCCCCAGGAGCCTCTCAGGAGTCTACATCCCAAGATGTTCTAACTTCCAGAGTCTCCAAGCCCATCAAGAGCAAGTTTTGCTAAAAGTGTTCTGAGAGCTTATGAAGCACATGGTGAGTGGTCAGTCCCTCAGCTCTTCCCCAGAGGCCCTGGGTCCCATGGGGTTAGCAGGGACAGGGGAAGCCTGGGGCTGGTGAGAGGCCAACTTCCAGCCAGGGCTTGATCTGGTTTTCAATGGATTCAAAGTTTGGCCTCCTTTTCCTTACCTGGAGGGGACAGAGGCACTGGGACCAGGCCAAGCTCTGGCTGAGCCAGGGCTAGGGGAAGTACATCCACTGGGGGCCCATGCCATGGGGAGGTGTTGGGGCACAGCCACCACTGTTCTACCTCTTGGGGAAGGGTCTGCAGTGGGGTCTGGAATACAGAGGTTTTCACGGAAGCCCAGGGGACCCTGAACACTTCTATTCCTTCTATCAGGACAAGGAAGGGTTGTGCATCCGGCTTTCCACCTTAAACTGGTTTCTATGGTGCTTCATCGATGAGATAAGGATGCATAGGAGACCCCAGGCCAGGTACCTCCTTTCCCCACAGTGCTCAGCTCCCCCAGCCCAGGGGTCTGGCTTCCCCAGGAGGACCCAGCTCACCCCCACCCCACAGGAGGCACAGGCAGGTCTCTGCAGGGCACACAAGCCAGGACCTGTATGATGGGAGCTTTACACACCAGACACCAGGGAATTCTGGGCAGACTGGGCCAAGACCCATCTTGGAAGAGCCAAAGGAGCCAGGGAAGCCACAAGCCCTCAGGAAGCCCCTTATTCTGGGAACCACATTTCTGCTGAGATGAGTCCATCCCCATGAAGAGCTGCCGGACCTTGTCTGACCCAGCCTTATGGAAGATTGGGTGGGTCTCTTCCCAAGCAGAGGGAGCCTCAGGAAGTCCAGACTGAGGCTACAGTGGGCCCTGCTCAAGCCACCAGCCCCGAGGTTGGAAAGGCCAGGTCCTCCCACACCTGCTGTTCCCACAGACTTCCTTCATGCTCATCCTGTGGCTCTGGGATGTCTACCTACTGGGAGGTGAGTGTGTGGTGACAACTATGGTATACATGGCCTTCACAGCCACAGAATTAAGTCCCTGGGTGGCCAATGGTGCCCAGAAGGAGCATGCAGGACAGACCCTGGGACCTATAGCCAGGACAGATTCCTGGCTTCTGGTGTGTGATGACCTGAGAGCAGCATCCACACTGTCCAGATGGCTCTCTGCTCCAGCCTGGAGGTAGGGCCAGACCAGGCCTGGTGGGCTGGGCAGGGAGTGGACCCAGGTACCAAACCCACTCCTGACACAACCCAGATGAAAGGCAAGAGTGTGTTGAGCACTTCCCTGCCCAGGCCTTCCTCCAGCTGTGGTTTTCTGTGAACATCTGGACCCCTGGGGCAGCCACAGTAGGATCCAGCACCGCCCAGTGGTGGGTGCCTGGGGCAGGAACAAGGTGCAGACACTGACTCTCCCACAGACCCCTCCCAGCCTCATAGTCACCCTGTCCCTAGAACACCCCCTGAAGCTGTTCCTGTTTGGCTTGCAGGAGTTCCTTCAGGACACACTGTCCTAGGCCTGGGCCCTGGAGGAGGACATGGTGATGAGGCACCCTGAGGCCTCCATGGGGGAACTGAGAAGCATGCACTGTGACCTGCACACCCAGGTGGGCTTCAGCACCAAGTCTCCTCCTGTGTCACCCTGCGGGGCAGTAAATAGTGGGAAGTGCCCAGACCTCACCAGCCCTGCTCCCTGGGCCTTCCTCCAGCCCCTCCTCTCCCTCCTCCTCTAAGAAGCTTCTGAAACCAGGCTGCCTGAGCCTAGGGCAAAAGCTGACCTTGGGTTTACTGGACATGCCTCAGAGACAATGAGACGTGAGCAAGACTCTTCCAAGCCCCTCCCCTGTACCCTCCTGCTCTCACTCCTGAAAGCCCCAGAAGGACACTGGAGGGGTCAGATCCATCTGTGCAAGCCCACAACCACACCTGTGAGTACCAGCAGCCCTGGAGAGCAGCAGGGGGCCTTCACTCCTGAGCACCCCTCCAAGGGCCTAAAATCAGTGTCAGAGACCCTAAGAGAATCTAGGGAGAGGGCATAGGTGAAACCCTGGCCCAGAGCCAGAATTGATTGCTCAGCTGAGTGTGGGAACAGTCCAGCCCTGGCATGGAGATCCCCCAGAGGAGTGGAGGGTGTCTCATCCACTGTGGAGATAAGCCCCCATATTGCGTGGCAAAGGGGCTAGGTAACAGTTAAGGCCTCATCCATCTGAGCTCTGAATCAAGGCTAAAGCCCAGGCTAAGCAGCCCTGGGGCAAGAGTGTGAGGCAGGAAGACTGAGTCAGCCTGAACCCTGGGGGCTGTCCCTGGAGTGACTTGAGCTTCCCTGACAGCTTCCCCACTCTAGGCTGCACACACACCTCGCTCTGGGAGTAGCAGCCTGCAGGAGTGTCCTCAGCATTAGACCAGGGGGACCACACGGGGACCCTGAGGACTGCAGGGACCCAGGTCTGTGGGGTCCAGCCTGGCAAAAGCAAGATGTTCTCAATGGAAAAGCTGACCAAATCTGCTTTCCTTTCAGCCAAACCTGAGCAAGCACCCCCACCACCCAGGCCTCTGCAGATATCCCCCAGCATTGAGACCCTCCCCAAGGGGATGGGCTGCTTCTCCCTGGCCCACAGCCCAGCTCCAGCAGCCCATGGGTATAGCCCTCCTGAAACAGGAGCCTCATCCTCCCTCACCCTCACCTGGCTATGCTGTACCCAAGGCCAAAGCCCAGAGGCATAAGGGAGCTTCTGCAGAGCCCAGGACAGCAGGCTGCTCTCTGGGGGCCCTGGGGACTCAGAGTGTGGCCAGCCCATCCCCAGCTCAGGATAGACCACAGAGTGCTTGGTGATTCCTGCATTGGAACTCCCTCTCTAAGCTCCCCATGGACCTGGACCTCAGAGGCCTGTGGTTTTCACAGTAGAGCTTGGAGCAGAGATGCTAGGCCCCTATCACTTCCATATGTGTCCTGGACACCTCTAAGATCATAGGACTGGCCTAGCCCCCAATACCAGACACTGCCCAGCCCCCTGATAGCCCAGAGGTAGGGCCAGAGACAACTCTCCTGCATGTGATGCCTACAGCTGATCACTCTTGGCAGACAGTGAACATCACGGCCCAGAAGGAGCCAGGGCAGCACTTGGCAAGCTGCCCCAAAGCCCCAGAGAGCTCCTTAGACATGGAAAGTCAATACTGATGGGGAAGCTGGACACTTGGAGGCCACTGGAGGGAGGGGTGAGCATGGTGTCCCCACAGCCCAGGCCACCCAGCAGCATGCCCTGCATCCATGGTCCCAACCTGTAGGGCAGAACCCCCCTCTCAACGCACAATTCCTAGACCCAGAGGGCCCTAGCCCAGACTCAACCTGAGCCCTGAAAGGGAAGGGGCACCAGGGGTGCCTTGGGGCCTCCAGCAGCAGCCAAGATACACAGGAGATGGAGCCCCCTGTGGCCCTGGCCAGAACTAGTATTTGGCTTAAGGCGGAGCAAGCCCCCTTGGAGCACTGCGTACATACCCGGGGCCTATGTGTGCCTGGCAAGGCCAAGCTGATGATGTTACCAAGCTCAAACTACCACTGGCCACCTTGGTGAGGGTGGGGCAGAAACACGTGGACCAGCCACCAACCTCATCCATTCAAGGAAGCAGAAATGGTCAGGCTCCTGCAGGATAAGTGGCCACCACCAGACCACCAATGGGGCAGAGTTCTGAGGCCCAAGCAGATGGCACTGGGGCCCTGCTTCCAGGGTCCACAATCTGCTCCAGGACACAAGACTGAAGAAAACTAAGCAAATGAGAGTCCAGGAGGCTGGATCCCTCATCTGCCATTCTTGGCAGTTGCATTTTGTGGTCAGAAAAAGTCAGGAAACTTGGCTCTACTCACTGCAGGAGGCTCCAAGGTGGGACCAGAGCTTCCAGCATAGATTCAACAATGCCTAAGAATGCCTCTTCTTGGGGAAAAGGACCCCTTCCTTGGCCTCAAAGCCCCCACTTATTTTGATTAAAGCACAATAAAGTCTTTGTTGTTATGTCCTGCCTGTTTTTGAGTTGCCCAGAGCTCTCTGCAGGAAGCCCTGGACATACTGGGGTGGATGGGAAATGAAGATGGCACAGCCCAGACCCTGACCAGCCTCTCACAGCCTCCCCATCCCAAAGGCCGCAGCAGGGCCAAGCACCAGAAAGGCCAAGGTTCCCACCCAACTGTGAGCCACACTGCACTGCAGCCTCCCACTCTCAGGCAGATGCCAGGGTTAAGACCCTCCAGTAATTTCCTGTAATTCAAACTGCACCTGATAGGGACCCCCAGAGGGCTGGGAAGGGAGCAAAAGTTGGAGTTCCAGTGACATTGCTCATTCATGACAGTCTGTACAAAGCATCCCTGAGAGGGTCTGCTGTCACCTGTGTCTACTGTCCCTGGGTGGCTGGTCTCCGGCAGCCCTCCCTTCCTTTCTTCCCTCCTTCCCTCCCCACATCCCTCCCTCCCTCTCTTCCTTCTTCTCTTGCTTCCCTCATCCTTTCCATCTCATCTCCTCTCAGCATCTGGCAATCCCAGGTCCTGAGCCTGTGCCAAGGCGGGACACAAAGGACACCACTGACAACAAGCCAGGTGACTAGCGGGGTCGGGGAGCCTTGTGGAATCAGAGTGGATGGGGAGGGGCTCATCTGTGCAGCCCAGGACTGCTGCCCCGGGAACAGTCTAGAACAGTGCAGAAGTGTGTGTCCCTGTGTGTGCACATGTGCACGTGTATGTGTATGTGTGTGCGTGCCTGTGCACACCTGTTTACTCAGTTCTGCTCTAAGTCCATGTCCACGACCCCAGAAGATCCCAGGTATGTCCTCACTGACGTCTGCTGAAATCAAGCATGGCCCCTGCTGGTAGTTATTGCACTGTGTAATGCCATCGTCGGGACCTCAGAGCAATAGAAACCAGTGGACCCCTTTAGGCTTTTCTTTCCAATGGGACATAAAGAAGTTATATGGACAGAAGTTATATCCTGTTTTCTTTCCATTGATTCTTTTACCACCTTTCTCCTCTTACTGATTTTGAATGAAGGGGGTTTTTCATGAGGGTAAGGTAACTGGCAAGAAATGAAATAACAGCCAGATGCAGTGGCTCACGCCTGTAATCCCAAGATTTTCGGAGGCCAAGGAGGGTGGGTTGCCTGAGTCCAGAAGTTCAAGACCAGCCTAGACAACATGGTGAAAGCCCATTTCTACCAAAACAAAAAAATTAGCCAGGTGTGGTGGCACGCGCCTGTAGTTCCAGCTACTGGTGGGGCTGAGGTGGGAGAATGGCTTAAGCCTGGAAGTCAGAGAGTGGAGATTGCAGTGAGCTGAGATCACGCCATTGCACTGCAGCCTGGGCAGCAGAGCAAGAACCTGTCTCAAAAAAAGAAAAAAAGAAAAGGAAAGAAATGAGATACCGAGAAACTAGCAAAGCTTCACCTGGCTGTCTGGAGACAGCCCTTGTGTGGTCCCCAGCCCACCTCACAGGTTCTAGGCTGGCCACCCTGTGGCCTCTGTACTGTGTATCTGGACCCAGGCTCTGTGGGAAGGGTACCTGGTCTGACAAACATTCCTCCATTTTTCTGGCTGCAGCTTGGAATAGGCCCAGACAGCATGTCCAGGAGATGCCAGACAACCTCACTATATCCTGTGAGACAGGCCCAGTGGGCCTTGAAGGAAGGGGTGAGCATGAAGCTGGGCACCCAGAGCCTGAGACCAACTGTCCCTCCCTGTGCCCTGGAGGAGGGGCCTGGCCTGTCAGTGTAGATGTGGGGAGAGAAGGGTCTGTGGACCCAGGAAGGGACATTGGTAGGGGACTTTGAGCACCACTGCTCAGGGGACATGAATGACAGGGTGGGAGGCATCTCCCATTTCTGCCCTGAGCACAGCACCCCTTTGACTCCTGAGGGCCACGAGGAGTCCACTCCCCAGAGCTTTTTGTAGAACCTGCATATGAGTCCATCAGAGGTGAGATTTGCAAATACTTCCTCCAGCCTGGGACTTGTCTTTTCATTCTCCTCACAGGGTCTTTCAGAGTGCACACATCATTTTGATGAAGTCCAATTGATCATTTTTTTTTCCTTTTATGCATCATGCTTTTGGTGCTTATCTAACAAATATTTCTCTAATCCAAAGTCACACTAATATCTACCTTTTTCCTTATGCAAATTTTAAAGTTTTAGGCCTTACATTTTGGTTTATGATACATTTTGAATAATGGTGCCATGTATGGACTGAAGTTTTTAATATGCATATCTAATTGTTCTAATAGTATTTGTTGCTAAGATTGTCTTTTCTCCACTGAATTTGCTGTACAACTTTTGAAAAACAATTGAACACATATGTGATGGTCTATTCTGGACTCTGTATTCTGTTCTATTGATCCATTTGTCTAGCCTCTTACCAATACCATACCGTCTGAATTTCTGAACCTTTACGATAGGTCTTGAAGTTAGGTATTGTTAGCCATCTTACTTAATTCTTCTTTTTTAGAGGGTTTTTTATTTCTAATCTAGGTCCACTGCATTGCCACACACAGAAACCCGTGCCCTTGAGCATACATACATATGCAACACAAGTATAAATATATGCACAGAACGACAAAGTGAAATTTATCCCAAGAATGCAAGGCTGCTTCAACGTTAAAAATGGGCCAGTATAACTCACCATATTAACAGATGAAAAGACAACAGCACATCATTATTTCAGTATATTTGGAAAAAGCATTAGACAAAATCCATCAACCTTATAAAAACTTCCAGTCTATTTCTATTCCTAAAAACTAGGAATAGAAGTGAATTTTCTTAAACTGATAAAAGGCACCTACAAAAACCCTGTAGTTGATGTTTACTGGACGTTATTCTTAATGATGAAAGACTGGATGGTTTCACCCCAGAGGAAGAACTAGGTGAGGATGTCAGCTCTCACTACTTGTATTCAGCATCCTATGGAGAGTCTAGCAGTGCAAAGGGCTCCTTCCTTTAGTAGACTCAGATTTCCATCTGGAGTCATTATTCTCCTGCTAGATGGATGTCCTTTACCATTTCTCAATCTGTACATCTCCTGGTGATGATTTCTTTCATCTTTTGTCAATCTGAAAACCTCTTTATTCTGCCTTTTTATTGGAAAACAAAATTTTGACTGTGTAAAGAATTCTAGGTTGGCATTTTTTTCTTTAAAAAAAATACTTCCATACAACTTGCAATTTTCCAACAAGAAATCTGCTTTGTATCTTTGATTCTCTGTACATATATGTCTTTTTCTTCTCTATCTAGCTGCTTGTAGGAGGACTCAGCTTCTCGCAGATAGACATGTATGATAAAGATGCAGTAACTACATCAAGTGTGGTATTGTCCATGGATGGATAAATAGACTGATGGAATAGAGCAGAGGGCCCACAGACAGACCCACAAGAGTCCAACTGTGATTGATCACCAAGGAGGAGCGTGATGGTGAAGGACTGTGCTTGTTATAATGTGCTGGGGCCTTTGGATAACCACTGACTAAGTGGGCCAAGTGGCCTTTTGGCTTAGGCTGAAGCAGGATAATAATAACGTTATCTATTCATAGAATTGTTAAAATTACCTGGTTTTATATTTGCAAAGTAATTAGAGCAGTATTGAGACAAAGGGAATCTTCAGTGAACATTTCCTCTAGTCATAGTTTTTTCCACCACTTGACTTCCTGCCCTATTCAGAGTCTTATGTTTGCCAGGACTCAAGCACCTCCTTATGGGGCAGACTCCACAGGGCATGATATGGTTTGGATCTATGTTCCCCACCCAAATCTCATGTCCATTTGTAATTTCCAGTATTGGAGGTTGGGCCTGGTGGGAGGTGATTGAATCATGGAGGCAGATTTTCCCCTCTGTGCTGCTCTCATTATAGTGAGTGAGTGCTCACCAGATCTGATTGTTTCAAAGTGTATAGCACCTCTCCCATTGCTCTATTCCTGCTGTTCCTGCCATGTGAAGACGTACCTGCTTCCCCTTCACCTTCTGCCATGATTGTAAGTTTCCTGAGGCCTCCCCAGCCATGCTTCCTGTACAGCCTGTCAAACTGTCAGCCAATTAATCCTCTTTTCTTTATAAATTACCCAGTCTCAGATATTTCTTTATAGCAGTGTGAGAATGGACCAATACAGGGCATCATGGTCAGTCCTGGGGAACAGCTTCCTGGAGTGGGAGGAGCTCAGTCCTGGTAACCTGCTGTTCCCTTGCCTGAAACCCCTTGTTTCCTCCACCTTCCATCTCATTCAACAAAGCTCTTGGGAGAACAACTTTAAGGACTCCCTATGCCTCTTCCTTCAAAGGTAGCCAGCCAAGAAGTAGATGGCTGGTTGAGCCATACTGACTACCATGGACAGCAGCAACAGAAGGTCAAAGGCAAAGGTCAGGTATTCTTTTCCTGGCAGGTACACAAGGACAACTAAGGGCAGGCCCCAAACGAGGAAGCTGATGGCCACAAAGCGGACAATGTGGTAGATCCGGATGGGTGAACAGTTCTTCAGGCAGTACAGGCTCCTGATGATCAAAGTCAGGCTGGAAATGCCCACCACAAGACAAATAAGCATGTGAAATATTATAAAGCCTGCCTGAAATTGGTCACATGCCAGGCCCTTCTCCCATTACTCACAAACCTGGCTAACCACATGCAAAGAAAGGGCCAGGGCCCAGCTCAGGATGCTCATCACAGCAGAGGTGTGCTTTGGGCGGTGGCAGCACCAGGTGGGACAGAGGACACACAGAAAGCTCTCAATATTCATGGCCACCAGGAGACAGAGACTCACTGTGTCAGAGAAATAGGACACAGGCTCCAGAAACATGGCCACCTGCAATGTCACCTGGTGATACAGCATGAGGATTTTCTCCAACAGGATCACAGTTACACAGGAGAGGTTGACCATATCAGCAGCGGCCAGGTTAAGGACATAGGTCATGTAGGGGCTGCTCCTGACCTGGAAGCAGAAAAGCCAGCACACCACACCATTGCCCACCAGCCCACAGAAGGCCACCAGCACTGTCAGGATGAAAACCACCTGTTTGCCCACCAACCACTCGCCTCCCGTATGACTCATGTTCACTTGTCCTGGGGTCTCTGTCCTGTTGTCCCAATCCAGCTTCCCAGAGAACACTGAGAGAAACTGGGCCATGGTGGGCTGCCTTGGCTGCCTGGGCACACCCTGCAAAGACAAAGGTTGGTAACTTACCAGGCCTAGGAAGGAGAGTCAGGGTTGCCTTCTGACCTGCTGGGCTTCCCAAGAGGGTCCTGCTGGGCCTCCCAAGATTGGTGGGAATCTCACAGAGCAAAGTCAAGGAGAGGAATGAGTCTCCTGCAAGTGATCCATCCATCCCATATCCTCCACTGCAGGGTACCCTCTCCTGCTTGCCCCCATCCCTCTCTCCACCTCGTTCAGGTATTCTTGATGCTGTGCCCAACACCAGGTGTGTATCCATGCACCTAGGTGCCCATAAAGGAAAGAGGTGCATTTCTTTACCTTTGTTCTCCAACTCTCTCATTGACACAGACAGTTTTCATGGCATGGTTTTGGTGGAGGCACCAGGCAATTCCTCTGCCCTAAGGTTCTGAGATATTCTGAGTCCCACATGGGGCAGTTGCTTTTCAGTGCTCTAGGGAAGGTCTACCCAACCTCTCTCCTGCTCACCTCCCCTCAACTCCTCACTTTCAGCACGAGGGCCTCCTGGTAGGACCTTTATGTTGTTCTGCTGCCTGGAAGGGCCTCTGCACATCTGTAAGCTTTGTATCCTCTTTCCAATCTTTGCCCCAGTATCAACTTCCAGAGAAGCTTCTGCTTCCTATTAACATTGCATTCATCACATGCTGAGTGTCTATGCAACTTACTTACTTCTGCAGAAATCCCTCTGTGGGAATGGAAGATTTATCAGGTTTTTTATTCTCTTCACAATGTTGTTCAATAACTTCTCCAGCTCCTGGAACAGGGTTTGACATAGAGGACTCACTTGGGTACGGCACCTATGGAGAGCTTTATGCAGCTCAGTTACACTTGGGGAAGTGCTGGTGACCTCTTCATAAAAGCAAACTTTGCTTCTGAATCACAGAAGCTTCTGGAACAAAGCTTGTTCCGCAAACTGATTTAAAAAAAAAGGCTTCTTGGACTCCTGAGGGAGACTCACACCTGAACCCTGGGCTACGTCCACAACAGGAGCAGGCACTCTCCTCCACATTGCCAATCACAGGTCTTTCTTTGTAGAATCATGAGGGGAGGGTGACCAACTTATCCTGCTTTGCCTAGGACTTTCCCAGTTTAAGCTCTGAACATCTCTTGTCCTGAAAATCCTCATAGCCCTAGGAAAACCAAGGTGGTTTGTTGCCCAACTTGAAAGTTAAACAGGAGAAGGTCAGTACCCCTTCTGGAATCCCACAGCTTGGTTAAACCCAGTGATCTGAGGAGTTCATGCTGAGACTGTGAGAGCTGACCTCTTGGGGGCAAATCCCAGCTCTTTTTCATAGTAGCTGACTCTTTCTTTGCCTCAGCATCCCCATCTAAGTAAGGGCTGCTGCTATGGGATGAATTGTATTCTTCTAAATTCATATGTTGAACTATCCCAGTACCTCAGAATGTGACTGAATTTGGAGACAGGGACATTAAAGGGGTAATTATGTTTAGATGGGTCATTAGGGTAGGCCCTAATCCAATAGGGGTAGTGTCTTCATAAGTAAAGGAGATTAGGACACAGACACCCACAGGGGGATGACCATGAGAAGACACAGGGAGAAGGCAGCCATCTACAAGCTAAGGAGAGAGGCTTTGGAAAGAAATGATCCCGGCAATCTTTGGATCTCAGACTTTCAGCCTCCTAAAACTGAGAGAATGAACTTCTGCTGTTTAAGCCACTCAGTCTGTGATCTCTGTCATGGGAGCCTGAACTGATGATCACATTTATGATGAAAAGTTTACAGACGGAATTATGGAAAGTCTCAGAACAGTGAGATCTACCTGGTTCTACAACCCTGAGCTGCTGAAGCTTTGCTTCTGAATCACAGAAGCTTCTAGAACAGAGCTTGTTCCACAAACTAACTGATAAATGCCTGCGATATGCCTGGAAATATTCCACAGGTGACCTTGTGGCCTGCAGTCACATATTGGTGCATCAGCAGGGTTTAGGAGAATGCTAGGGACCAGCTCCAAGTGAGCCCAGTGTTTGAATCTTCCCTCCTTGCTGGGATGATGGAGTCCCCTTCAGTTGGCAGCTCTCTTGAAATGGAAGGGTCCAGCCCCAGCCCCTCCCCTCCCTGCACTTGTTACCTAGACACTCTTACCTGAGGCCAGGGAGGACCGCAGATCTGGCTCAGATCTAATCTGGTCATAGGATGAGTCTTGGGGCTTGGTAACATTGGTGCCCATGGAAACATCAGGGTGACCTGCAGTTCTGTGCCTGGGCCAGGGTGTCAGAACTCGTGATGATGACAGAAGAGAAGCTGCAAACAGACCTCCGTGGCCCACCCCAGGCCACCAAGGCACCAAGCAGGAGCAGTTGGGCTCTGGTCCCCAACAAAGAAAGGAGATTTATAGATAAAAGAGTTTCAAGGGGAGAGGTGACTTACCCTTCAACAAAGAGAAAATGCCCATTTTGGAGGCAGCATGTGGCTTCAGGGACAGAGCCAGGCTTCCCATCCCTGGGCTCACTGAGACCTAGCTCATGCCCAGAGACCACTACTGAGGCCAGTGACTAAGCAGCACATTCTTCCTCATCACACAAGAGGAGGACACAGCCCTCCTGGGGTGGGAAGGCTTCAGTGCCTGGTGCAGCCCCAGCACTGGGCACAGAGAGATCCTAGCACCTGGAAATGTCATTTCCAAGTCGGGTCATGAGCCAAGCTCCCCAAGGAGCATAAACAACAAACAGGTTGGATCCTGGGATTCAGGGAGCCAGCTCTGATGGAAGTGCTCAGGTTGATGCAGCCAAAATAGCCAAGTAACCTTTGCATTGGGATTGAAGTACTTGCTCTGGTTCTGAGT
Source organism: Homo sapiens (assembly GCF_000001405.40). NCBI lineage: Eukaryota > Metazoa > Chordata > Mammalia > Primates > Hominidae > Homo > Homo sapiens. Next base: position 29,541,547 of record NC_000006.12, read on the forward strand.
TGAGAGCCCACCCTCCCCACTTAATCTTTATTTGAGGTGAAATTTACATAACACAAATTAACTAATTTAAAGGGCACAGTTCTGCCTCACTTAGCACCTTCACAATGTTGTGCAACCACCACCTCTATCTGGTTCCAAAATATTTACATACCCCCATAAGAAAGCCTTTTACCTGTTAGCAGTTACTCCCCTTGTCTTCCTCCTCCCAGCTCTTGGCAACCCCATCTACCTTCCATTTCTGCACATTCACCTATTCTGGACATGTCCTATTAGTGGAATCAGACCCTCTGTGATTTTTTGTCTGTTTCTTTCACTCAGCCTCTTGTTTTCATGGCTTCTTCACAGGGTAGCATGCATAAGAACTTCATTCCTTGCGTTAGATACAAACTAAATATGAATATAGAAGCTGTGAAATCAGAAGACCCAAAAGGATTTTCCTAGAAGTCATAGACTACACCTCAGTAATACAGTGGCTCAAATCCTACCTTTAACAGAATAACACACCCTCTGCCCATCTACACAGCTGGGGCATTTGTGAACCAGGGGCCAGGGCACAGTTGTGGCTCACCTGCTGGGACTACCCTGGAACCCCGAATCCTGCTTTCTCCAGGAACCTGGTTTCTGTCCTGTCCCCATTTTCCTGAGAAATGCACCTTCCCCAGTAAAAAATCATGAGGTTTCAAATTCCAGGAAAATATGTCTCTGAGTTAAAATGGTTTGAAAATGAAAGAAGGAAGAGAGATCTTTTCTCATACCTGGGAAGTCTTGGATAGAATTGGTACCACAGAGGCCAATGTCCTGAGAGATGAAAGTTCTGCCCACAGGTCAGGAAGCAATCTAACGATGTCTGATTTGAACTGGGTCCTGACAAGAGGTTGTCAATTTCTCTGTGTCTGTTGGGTCTTCCTGTACTGGGGCAAATTGCATATCAGGGCCCAGGCCTTTATCTGAAACATTGTATCTCAGCATCTCCTGATATCCCCCATCCCACTGACACTTTTGATTACTCCATCCTGAACAATAACTTCCCTCAAAAAAGAAGGATCTTTAAGACAAGTTGTCACCTGCCTCCCTGTGTGAATCTCCTAGAATGACATCCAGCCCAGCCCAGCCCATCTGAGACAGGCAGGAGAGGGAACTCTGGTGGGCATTTTGTCAATAAACTTGAGCATGCCAGGAACTCAAATGTGCTCCTTTCATTTTGCTGTCAATTGAATTGCATTTTTTTTTTTTTGCAAAAGATGTGGAAGTTCTTGTAAATCTGTGTCAGAAACTTACATTGGATTCACCAAGCCTAGGGAGATTTGGCTGTGCTTTGTTGGAGCCAATATTTTTCACCCTGGTTTACCCCACCACTGACTTGCTTTCTTTTTTTTTTTTTTGAGACGGAGTTTCACTCTTGTTGCCTAGGCTGCAGTGCAATGGTGCAATCTCGGCTCGCTGCAACCTCAGCCTCCTGGGTTCAAACGATTCTCCTGCCTCAGCCTCCTGAGTAGCTGGGATTACAGGCATGCACCACAACACCTGGCTAATTTTGTGTTTTTAATAGAGACAGGGTTTCTCCATGTTGGTCAGACCGGTCTCAAACTCCCAACCTCAGGTGATCCGCCCACCTTGGCCTCCCAAAGTGCTGGGATTACAGGGGTGAGCCACTGTACCCGGCCTTGACTTGCTTTTATGAGGCAAGAAAAGACATGTCTCCTTGTTGCACTAATTTCGATCAATCAATAAGTCAATTAGTTCATTTTCATTACATCTCTCTGAATCAATTGAGAGATAAATTGAGAAGTCAAAACAATGCCCAACAACATAGCATCTTTATTCCTCCCTCCCCTAATGACCTGGGAAGCAGTTTGTGACCCCAAAGCACTTGCTTATATGTTATTCTCTCCAGGAATTGAATTTACTCCTCAAAGTAATAGGCACAGGCACCCATGGTCAACACCTGTCTCCTGAAGCTTATCACTTAATGGAGGGAACCCAGGAGTATGATTCCTCCATGCAGACAGTCAGATTCCAAGGAGAAAGGAGGAAAAGTCCTTCAAATGCCACATTCAGCCCCTTCTTCTGGATGCCCCACTCAGCAAAGTCACTTGTGGCTGATGCTGGTCAGAGAAGCCCTTCCAAATGGGAACATGGGTGTAGGAAATATGTGCTTCTCACACTCCCAAAGGATCACAAATGGGGCCCTGTGTCTCTTAACTTCCTTATGTACAAAAGTACATACTCACTAGAATATGATTTTACAACATTTCCATCATTCCTATACAATGTGTTGGGAAGTGATCCTTTCTGATCTATATTTTGGAAGAGTTTGTATAGAATTGTATTATTTTTTTCTTTAAATGTTTGGTAGAATTCACCAGTAGAGACATCTGGGCCTGGGCCTTTTTTGTGGGAAGATATGCAATGACAGTTTTAATGTCTTTACTTCTTGTAGGCTTATACAGATTTTCTATTTCCTCTTGAGTCAATTTTGGTAATTAGTTTTTCTAGAAATTTATCCATTTCATCGAAGGTGTCTAGCATGTTAGGATAAAGTTGTTCATAGGATTTCTTTATAATCCTTTAAATTTCTATAAAGTTGGTAATGATGTGCCCAATTTCATTTCTGATTTTAGGAATTTGAGGCCATTTTTTTTTCTTGGTAAGTCTAGCTAAAGGTTTGTCAATTGTGTTGTTATTTTCCATGATTCAACTTTTGGTTTCATTACTTTTCTCTATAGTGTTTTATTTTCTATTCCATCTACTCTTGCTCTCTTCTTTATTATTTCCTTTCTTCTGCTTGCTTTGGGGTTAGTTTTCTCTTCTTTTCCTTGCTTCTTACCATAGAAAGTTGAATTACTGATTAGAGGTATTTTTCTTTTCCAATGTAGGCATTTACAGCTACAGATTTTCCTCTAAGCACTGGTTTATCTCCATCTCATAAATGTTGACATGTTATGGTTTCATTTCATTTCATGCATATTCTTTTTAATTTCCCCTGTGTTTTTTTTTCTTTCACTTGTTATTTGTGGATTCCTGAAGTTTCCAACTGTTGGTGATTACTCATTCAATTCCATTGTGGTTGGAATACATATATTGTATTAGTTCAATTTTTTTTTAATTTATAGATAATTTGTGCCCTCCCATCTAGTCTATCCTGGAGAATGTTCCATGTGTGTTTCAAAAGCGTGTATAATTCATTTGTTGTTGTCAAGTAGGTCAAGTTGGTTGATAATGTTTCAGGCTCTGTATCCTTGCTGATTTTCTATCTAGTTGTTCCATCAATGATTGATAATGGAGTGTTGAAATCTTCAACTATTTTTAATGATTTGTTTATTTATCCCCTCAATTCTGTCATTTTCATGTTTTATGTATTTGGGGGATGTGTTGCTAATTGTGTGTATGTTTATAATCCTCATATCCTCCTGATAAATTGAAATTTTATCATTATAGAATATGCCTCTTTATTTCTAGTAACGCTATTTTTCTCAAGGTCTACTTTGTCCAATATTAGTAGAGCTGTCTCAGCTCTTTCATCATAGTTTTCTACATGGTATACTTTTTTCCACCCTCTTTTTTTAACCTATTCATTTTAAAATCAAAACTGCCTCTGGTAGACTGCATATACCAGACATTGGACATACTAGGTGAACATATTAGACGAACAATTTTAAACACGTTCAAAGAACTAAAGGAAACCATGTCAAAAGAACTAAAGGAATGCATGAGAATGATATCTCACCAAATACAAAACATCAATAATGAGATGGAATGTTAAAAAAGAAACAAGGCTGGGCGCGGTGGCTCACGCCTGTAATCCCAGCACTTTGGGAGGCCGAGGCGGGCGGATCACGAGCTCAGGAGATCGAGACCATCCCAGCTAAAACGGTGAAACCCCGTGTCTACTAAAAATACAAAAAATTAGCCGGGCGTAGTGGCGGGCGCCTGTAGTCCCAGCTACTTGGGAGGCTGAGGCAGGAGAATGGCGTGAACCCGGGAGGCGGAGCTTGCAGTGAGCCGAGATCCCGCCACTGCACTCCAGCCTGGGCGACAGAGCGAGACTCTGTCTCAAAAAAAAAAAAAAAAGAAAAGAAAAGAAACAAATAAAATTCAGTAATTGATAAATAAAATCGTAGAAATAAAAACTTCACTAGATAGCCTCAATAACAGATTTGAGAAGGCAGAAGAAAGAATCAGTAAATTTAAAGATAGGTGGGGAAATTATCCAGTATGAGGAACATGAATTAAAAAGAAGAAGAATGAACAGAGTTTCAGAGACCTGTGGGACACAATCCAGTGTACCAAAACACATAAACGAGAATTTTCAGGAGAGGATAGAATAAAAGGAACAGAAGGAATATTTAAAGAAATACTAGCTGAAAAACTCCAAATTCAATGAAAAAATGTTAATCTACACTTTCACAAAGCTCAACAAACTTAGATAAAATAAATTCAAAGAGATTCACACATAGAAACATTATAATCAAACTGCCAAGAAACAAAGAAAGAATCTTGAGGGCAAAAAGAGGGAAGCAACTTATCATGTACAAGAGATTCTCAGTAAGAATAAGAACTAATTTCTCATGAAAAATTACAGAGTCAGGAGGCAATGGGATGACATATTCAAAGTAGCAAAAGTAAAATACTGTCAATGAACAATTCTAAAGCCAGCAAAACTATTCTTCATAAATGAACTAGAAATTAAACATTCTCAGATTTTGAAAACTGAGAGAAGCTGTAATTACCAGACCTGTCTTATGGGAAATTATAAAAGCAGTCTTGCAGGTTGACATGAAAGGACACTACATAGCAACTCGAATCCACATGAAGAAATGAAGAACTCCAGTAAAGATAACTACATGGGTAAATATAAAAGACAGTATAAATGCAATTTGTTTGCGATTTCCTCTCTCATATGATTCAAAAGACAAATACATAATGAAATAATTATAAATCTGTATTGATAAGCCTACAATGTATAAAGATGTAATTTGTACGGCAATAAAAACACAAAGAAGCAGAAGAGAATGGAGCTGTATGGAAGCAAAGGTTTTGTGTGCTATTGAAATTAAATTGCTATTAATCTGACTAAATTGTTATAAATTATTAATTGCAAGATCCAGGGCAATATTTAAAAAATACCTCAAAAAGTATAGTAAAAGAAACAACAAGGAGAATTAAGTAAAACACTAACAAAATTTATTTAACATACAAAGGCAGTAATAATGGAATAGAGCAATAAAAAACACGATATAAAGAAAATAAGTAGCAAAATGACAGGTCAAAATCCTATACTATCAGTAATTACATTAAATGTAAATATATTAAACACCCCCTTTAAATGGCAGAGACATGAAAAAAAAAAAGAAATCCTGTCATTCATGGCAACATGGATGAACCTGGAAGACACCATGTTAACTGAAATAAGCAGGCACAGAAAGATAAAGACTGTGTGTTCTCACTCACATATGGAAGCTAAAAAATGTTGAGCTCATTAGAAATAGAGAGTGGAATTTTGATTATTAGAGCACAGGAAGGATCGAAGGGAGGAGAGAGGGAAGGATAGGAAGAGATTGGTTCATGGATACAAAATTACAGCTAGATACCAGGGGAGGAGGCTGGCAAGATGGTGGAATAGGAATAGCTCTGGTCTGCACCTCCCAGCAAGATTGACCCAGAAGGTGGATGATTTCTGCATTTCCAACTGAGGTACCCAGTTCATCTTATTGGGACTGGTTGGACAGCGGGTGCAGCCCATGGAGGGTGTGCCAAAGCAGGGTGGGGCATCGCCTCACCCGGGGAGCACAAGAGGTCAAGGAACTCCCTCTCCTAGCCAAGGGAAGCCGAAGCCTTGAGGGACTGTGTGGGGAGGAACGGTGCACTCTGGCACAGATACTGCGCTTTCCTCACGTCTTCGAAACCTATAGACCAGGAGATTCCCTCTGGTGCCTATGCCACCAGGGCCCTGGGTTTCAAGCACAAAACTAGGAGGCTGTTTAGGCAGACACCAAGCTAGCTGCAGGAGGTTTATTTTTTCTGATTAAGTCAAGCAGCAGTTCTCACCGTGGCTAATTAGGCCTCCCACTGGGACATTTGGCAATGTCTGGAGCTGGTTTTGATTGTCACAATTAGAGAGGATGCACTACTATCACCTAGTGGGTAGAGCCCCGAGATGGTGCTAAACATCCTACAATGCACAGGACAGCACCCCCAACAAAGGATGATCCAGTCAAAATCGTCAGTAGTACTGAGGTGGAGGGCACTGATCTTTAGATCTTGTGACTAGGCTTTTTCTTTCTGAGTAACATGGAAACTGCTGAAAGATTTTGAGATAAGAAGTGGTATGATCTGAGTTGTTATAAATGGGTTACTCTGGCTTCCATGTTGAGAATATACTAAAGGTTAAGGGAAGAACCAGAGGATTATTTCAATCATCCAAGCAAGAGATGTTGACAAGGACAGACCAGAGTGGTGGTCCTAACAGTGATAACGATTTGTCAGTTTCACAACATATTTTTGCAGGTAGAGCCAATAGAATTTGTGGGTAGATTATATGTGAGTGAGATGAAGAAGAGTCAGTATCACAAGATTTTTGTCTGAGAAACTAGAAGAATGGATTTTCATTACGGGAGATGAGAAAGGCTACAGAAGAAGCACATTGTGGGGGAGAGGGTGGGTAGTAAGGAGCTCAGTTTATGGCATGTTAAATCTGAGATGTGTATTAGATACCAAAAGCTGCTGGTGGGTAGACAATTGGACATAGGAATCTGGAGGTTAGGAGAAAAATCCAGCCTGGAAATATAAATTTAGGAGTCATCAGCATATAGATGGTGTACAATGTCATAAGACTGGATGACGGAAGTGCATGTAAAAAAGGAAAGAGGACTGAACCCTAGGCACAGCAGGGAGGAGGAGAAACCAATAAAGGAGATTAAGAAGGAGCAGCTGGGAGACTTTGGTGATTTGAAGCTGTCAGTCAGCTCAGACTGCCATAACAAAATACCATAAACTGGGTGGCTTCAACAACAGAAGTTGATTTCTCACAGTTCTGGAGGCTGGGAAGTTCAAGATCAAGATGCTGGCTGATTTTGTTCCTGGTGATGGCTCTCCTCCTGGCTTGCAGACAACTCCCTACTTGCTGCCTCCTCACGTGGCCTTTCCTCTTTTATAAGGAAACTAATCCTATTTGGCCCTCACCTTTGTGACCTCATTTAACTATAATTACCTCCTAAAATGCCCATTTCAAATACCATCACATTGAGGATTAGATTTTCAACATATGAATTTTGGGGGGGGACACAATTCAGTCCATAGCAGAAGTGAAAGGCATGTTCCAAAAAGGAAAGCTAAGTCCACTCTATTGAAAAGCTTCTAACAGGTCAAGTAACATGAGGACTGAAAACTACTATATCAATGTGGAGGTCAGTTTGTGACCTTCGATGAAAGGTTTCCAGTGCAGAAACCTTGTTGGAGCCAACCCGAAAGAGAATTCAAGGACTTGGATGGTAGCTAGGGGGAAGTGAAGTCAAGAGAAGATTATTTTCTGATGAGTGAAATCAAAGTATGTTTATGTATTGATGGGGATGGTCCACTGGAAGGACAAATTATATTACAGGAAAGAGGGGAAAGATTAGAGTAATGTCCCTGAATAAGTGGAAAGGGATGGAATATAGTGGGCAAGTGGGGGTACTGGCATCAGACAGATGCAAAATAGTATATTCCTAGCAGTATCAGAAGAAAAGGTGGAGTCCCATATGTGAGCACAGATGCAAGTAGGTGAACAGATGGGTTAGTAAGAACTTCTCTTTTTATTGCTTTACATTTTTTCAGTAAAAAATGAAGTAAAATTTTTATCTGAGAAAGATGATATTATTTGAGAGAGAGGAGTACTGGGGATTTGAGGGGAGACCAGAAAGTATGCATGAGTTACGTAGGAGAGGGGAAAGTGAGTGGACTAGGAAAATATGATTATCAATGACATTAGCCCCTTCCTCTTAAAGTAGTGGTCATGAATGTAAAGTGAAACCTCTCAGTGTGGCTATTGGCTTTCCTTCGGCCACAGTCAGCTGAACAAATATAGGGAGAGAGTAGGACTATAGTTGGATTTAAATAGGAAAGCAATTTAGCTGAAAGAGTGTAACAAGTGAAAAGGGCAGGAACATTGATGTATGCAAAGGAGTAATAGTGATTGACGAGACAGTCTAAGCTTGATAGAGAACTGAAGATACAAGGGGCGTGAGGGGCCACGATGAATTTGCGGACCTCTCACTGAGGAAGAAACTGAGAGGAAAGTATAGAAAGATAATCTATGAGGATACTGAATTCACCAAGAATCATCACAGTACTGGAGAGAGTGAGAGGGGATCAGGGACAAAAATCTTCAAGGACGAAGGAGGAGCAAAGGGAAAGAGAATGATGAGAGCCACAAGTGGGGAGGTGGACTTTGGAGCAAAGCTGATGACATAACAGTCAAAGCTACATTCAAAACTAATAATGACTTCAACAAATCTACAAAATTCCTGACAGAAAGGGTTATTTTCCTTGTTTTACAGATGATGACATTGAGAGTCACTGAAGTTAAACAATTAGCTTAAGGTCACTCCATCAGAGAATGAAATTCTAAACCAGTTCCAATTGAATAGTAGAAATATTAATGAGAGGGAATTACGCTGCCTTTGGCCTTCATACACTGCCAGAGGCACACTACCCTAAAGGGACTTTCCCTCCAGAATTTCCTCTTCCCCACTCTTGGGGACTCCTCTCCGGACACCTTCATGCAAAGTACTAATGATAGGAGTGGGACATCTATTCCCCAGAGCTCCATCCTCTCTTCTAAATAACAGGGAACGTTGAGTCCCCTGTTTTTTCTCTAGTGAGAGCACTCATCAGCATGCTTCCTCCTCTCTAACTGTGTCCTTTAGATCCAGGAGGGATATTTGCTACCACCACCAGCTAATGCTGATTTGCTACCAGCACAAGGCCCAGGTCCTTGTCTGGTCTGTACCCCATTACAAGGTTCTCCAGGAACAGACATCACCACCTCTGCCTAGATCCTGAAATTTCACAAATGTAGGTTCTTTCTTACCCGTTCTTTTTATTCCTCTATTTACAAGCACAATGACACCCACCCCTCGTCTTCTTCCTGAAATACCTGGCTCTGATCCCAGGCATCCATTCCAGAAATCAACACAGCTATGCAATTGCATCTTTTATTAAATACTCCCAACTCCATTTCAAATCCAGAGAATCCAGAGCAGGAGCAAGAGACCAACCTATCATCTGGAAACTCAAGGTGTAAACATTAGTGCCAAAGATTAGTCATGAAGGTAAGTTGGGTATTACAGTGCCCTACAACAAAATGGTCTTGTGCCGAGAGCCACATTCTGAAATACCAAGTGAAGTTTGATGACACATTATATTATATATTTCACAACAGATTTGTCTTCTAGATGTGTGAGGGAGATGATGGGTTTATGTGTACAGGTGCACACATGCCTATGTTTTGGGGAATTTGTGCATACATGTAACAAGAATGTTATCTGTGCAGTTTTATTATTGTGTGCCTGTTTTCATGGTGTGGCATATTTGAAGAGGAATGGTTTAGAGCTTGCCAGGCTGAACAGTTATGTGTCCGTGTAATCACCGCATTAAAGAATTTGACCTTTTGTAACTCAACATCTCTAGCCACCATTGGTCTGTAAGCCTGAATGTCACCTCTCCTACTTTATTCATCTCTGATATGACCCCAAATTATAAAATGATCTATAAATATAGGTAAGACTTTGCATGTCCTTTCATACTCCACAGTCTCTAGCACAGTGGATCCTGGTTGATCAAACAGGAAGGACCTCGAAGTTAGTCAAATATAAGTGGAAAACCTATTAAGCATTTACAAATAATGTGGCCTTGGGCAAGTAATTTAACTTCAGTTACTCTCCTAACATACTCTATAAAATAAGGCTATTGCCTAATATTCAAGTGAGTTAAGATTAGAGTTAATAAATGAAAAGAGCTGTAAATGTTCATAGCAGTTGTATCACTGCCTAGCATAAGAACCCCTTAAAAACCTGTTTCTTAATTTGGGAAACAGATATGACGATAGTTAGCATTTATTAAAGGATGACAGTTAACAACTGCTATGTGCCAGGCCTTGTTCTAACAGCTTTTCATATTTAGCCCACTTAACATATTTCTATTTTCATATGAGGAAACTGAGGCAGAGAGAGGCTAAGTAACATACCCAAGGTTTTCCAGCTAGAAAATGGCAGAGCCAGGACTCAAACCCAGGCAGTCTGGCTGCTGAGCCCTGGTTCTTAATTATGACATTAATGCTTATTCTGCCCAGTGAGGATAAAATGAGTGAAACATAAAATCAAACAGGATGTTTTGGTAGGGAGCAGTGTTTTTTCCCTCTGAAAAATGAAAAATTAGGTTATTGTGATTTTGTAATTTACAGCAGTGAATATGATGTGAAAAATAAGTTATCCATATAATAATTTATGTCAGGAGTCATGCAGCAGAAAGATTTCTGTCCATCACGTAAACTTTCATCCATTACATAACCCATATGTTTCTGTACCATTAAGACACTTGGTTCAACAAGACCCTTGGAGAATGAGGTTCCTTTTGTTCCCTGGGGTTCTCTTTTTATTTTATTTTTGGATTAATATTTGATAGTAAAGCCAAGGATTTGGGACAGGAAACTTAGATGACATCTAGTTCAAACTCCTTGATTTACATATGAAAAAATTGAGACAGAGGGAAATGAAGATTTCCCCATATCATATAACTGGCTAAAGGGAGCTATGTAGGTAAAACCAAGATGTCCTGATATTCTAGTCTACCAGAAAGTGTTCTTTTTTTCTACCCAACTTATTCCTGATTTAAAGGCTAGTATACGTGTGCTGATCTCCCCTCAGTGGGAGGGGCATGGACGTTGGGAGTAGTCTCTATTCACAACAAATTAAAAATCAGTAATCAGCCGTATAATGGGTTGTGTTAGAAAGTAAACTAAGGCCCAATAAAATATTTAAGAGTTTATTTGAGCAGTGATCCAGAAGTGGCTAGGGAGCTCCCCAGAGAGAACATGAGGAGGAGGCTTTTTAGGACAAATAGATAAAAGCAAAGATAATATTTCATTGGTTACAGTTATACAGTTACACAGTTATACAGTTGCCTTATTTGGTCTATCCCATGAGGAAGTCCTAGTTACTAATTACGTTTTTGTTGGCTGCTTCTGATTGGTTGAGCTTAAGTTCTGTGTTTCTTTAACATAGGCATTTACAAGAAATACCACAAATAAAGTTTCAGACATGCTTGCAAATCAAGCAAGGTTAAGGTCACTTAGGAGGCCCAACTGGCTCTGTCTGCTCAAGGATTCTTCTGGCCTCGTCTCCATTTTACATGAACTGTTGCATAAATAAACACAGAGTACCTGAAACAACGGAGGTGATCATTCTGCCTACCGAGTGTTGGCCAGGCCAAGCTTGGAGTGTTGCTCTTATTCTTAGGGAGTTTATTTTTAAGTAATCTCATCTGTAAATGGGATTACAATCCACAAACTGACCTTGTATATGATTCCATTCCTTCTCCCAGCCCAGCCCCACACTCCAAGGTTTTCCCTTTGCTTATAAGGGGTAGTCACCCTTTTTTATTTCGACCTTCCAAACATTCTGGGAGTTTTCCTCCTTTAGGCCAACTACAGCGCAGAGGAGCGCTTTCTCCTGCTGGGTTTCTCCGACTGGCCTTCCCTGCAGCCGGTCCTCTTCGCCCTTGTCCTCCTGTGCTACCTCCTGACCTTGACGGGCAACTCGGCGCTGGTGCTGCTGGCGGTGCGCGACCCGCGCCTGCACACGCCCATGTACTACTTCCTCTGCCACCTGGCCTTGGTAGACGCGGGCTTCACTACTAGCGTGGTGCCGCCGCTGCTGGCCAACCTGCGCGGACCAGCGCTCTGGCTGCCGCGCAGCCACTGCACGGCCCAGCTGTGCGCATCGCTGGCTCTGGGTTCCGCCGAATGCGTCCTCCTGGCGGTGATGGCTCTGGACCGCGCGGCCGCAGTGTGCCGCCCGCTGCGCTATGCGGGGCTCGTCTCCCCGCGCCTATGTCGCACGCTGGCCAGCGCCTCCTGGCTAAGCGGCCTCACCAACTCGGTTGCGCAAACCGCGCTCCTGGCTGAGCGGCCGCTGTGCGCGCCCCGCCTGCTGGACCACTTCATCTGTGAGCTGCCGGCGTTGCTCAAGCTGGCCTGCGGAGGCGACGGAGACACTACCGAGAACCAGATGTTCGCCGCCCGCGTGGTCATCCTGCTGCTGCCGTTTGCCGTCATCCTGGCCTCCTACGGTGCCGTGGCCCGAGCTGTCTGTTGCATGCGGTTCAGCGGAGGCCGGAGGAGGGCGGTGGGCACGTGTGGGTCCCACCTGACAGCCGTCTGCCTGTTCTACGGCTCGGCCATCTACACCTACCTGCAGCCCGCGCAGCGCTACAACCAGGCACGGGGCAAGTTCGTATCGCTCTTCTACACCGTGGTCACACCTGCTCTCAACCCGCTCATCTACACCCTCAGGAATAAGAAAGTGAAGGGGGCAGCGAGGAGGCTGCTGCGGAGTCTGGGGAGAGGCCAGGCTGGGCAGTGAGTAGTTGGGGAGGGGAGAAAGTATTAAGCCAGAACCCAAGGATGGAAATACCCCTTAGTGAGTCAGTTTAGACTTCAGGCTGTTCATTTTTGTATGATAATCTGCAAGATTTGTCCTAAGGAGTCCAATGGGGGATATGTTTTCCTCCCGTGAGGAAATGTTTAGTTCTTGAGGGAAAATCCCTAAATCCTCTATATACTCAGGTTTAGGGAAGGAAAACCTACCCCTCACAACTCCACGCGCAGGGAAAATGATGGACGTGATGCTCGCCTTTAGCTTCCTCCCTATCTGATGGAAGACCATGGAAGACCTCTTGGTCTCTGCAATCAGAAGTCTCAAGTTGACAAGAAAATCATAGTCCCTACCCTGCAGGAGAGGGTACATCCAGAAAAAGCGACCATGGACTCTATTCTCAGAAATCAGTCCAACTTAGTGCAGACCTGGCCAGATGACCAGTGCCCTCCCCGGGGCATTTCACCCATAAATGTGATGAGGAAAGCCCATAAATGGTGGTGAATTTTGCTGAGTGGGGTTAAGACTGGAAACCCCCCTGCAGGAGTTGGTTCTTGAGCAAGTTTTAAAGAAACAAGGAACTAGGATGAGTGTGGAAGAAGGCGGGCACGTCTCAGCCCGTGAAAAAAACTCACAGGTGATCAGTAGTGAGTCATGAGAGAGAGAGCAAGAGAGAGAGTCAGAGAGAGGAGTAAATGGAGGGAGGAAGATGGAGGAAGGGACTCAAGTTCTCAAGACAGGAACAGGGATCTCCTCATGAAAAAAAGAAGAGAGGAAAATGCTCAATCAGCAGAACCTGAGCAGAATATTGAGGTCAACCCAGAAGCCAGCTCCTCACCCACCCTCACCCAGACTGGCGCCCTCATCCTGGAGAAGACCTGCTAGACCCTAAGGCAGGTAGGAGAGAGGGTGGTCCACAGTCCCCCAGCTTTAGAAAGTTTGTTCGCTCCCAATGTCCATCTACCCCTAGGAATCCCCACTAGTTAAACAGAATTGCTAGATCCCTGTGGAAAATACCTTTCCTTGCCCACCATCATCCCCAGAAATAATAACTATTTTAGTTGGGTGTGAGACATAGAGAATAAAAGGGGGCATGGTGCCAGACTTCATTTCATACAAATAGCTTTAAAGGAGAAGAGGGGGGAAGGAGTTTAATTTAGTTTCTAAAATGTTTAGTAATTTGATTGTGATCATGTCAGAGCAACTAATTCATTTTATAAAATATCATTTCACTATGCTCTATAAGTAGAAATTCAATTTGGTTCAACCATTATTGAGTGATATAAATAAAGCACTGGACTTAACAAAGACAGAAATACAGAAATCAGTAGAACATGGATCCCAACCTAAAACTTACTCTCTTGTCATAAAGGAAAGGAGATAGGAGTTTTTGCATAAATAACAAGGTATCAAGACAGAATTAAATTCCAAGCTGGCTTTGAATGCTCTATTTTGCCTTAAAAATTTATTTACTAGTCTCAGTAATACATTAGTAAAAATCATGTCACTTAATTAATTGTGTTAGAATCAAAGAAACATAGAGTTGGGCAATATACTTCATCCTACCCATCCCACCCAAATCTTACTCTACTCATCTCATTCTCATTAATTTTGGGAAATCATCAGAAGATGTGTTCGTTGAGTAAGAGATTAAAAGAAATAAGCTTTTTGACCCCTGCCAACACCCCATGCCCAGGGTGGTCACCCTCCAATACAATAACATGCCAGGAAGAGTAAGTTGCCCTTTCTGATGCCGTAATCTGCCATCATCTTCCCATCTTCCAGTCTCTTTCCATTGCAAGTCACAATCTGGGTCTCAGGGATTATACCCGTCTTAGTCTCGATCATTGCTTTCACTTGTGCCACTGAGCTGGACCTTCGCACCTGGAGGAGGTGCCTCTTTGCCTCATCACCTGACTCCACAAGAAACAAGGGCAGCTCCTCATCACTGGGCTTCACCACTTTCAGGGTAAGGTGGATGGTCTTCTCTTTGTCAATGCCATAAGATGAGAGGCTTCTCCGTGGCTTTAAGATCTTGGAGCCCAGCAAAAGAACCTGGTCCTGCACAGGAACCTTGGTCTTAGACCGGACATGTTCTTTGATTTTTTTCACGCTGTCATATGGGTTGGCATCAAAGGTCATTAAATCCCATTCCTCGGAACGGACATGCACCTGGGAAGTGAAAGCCACAAGACAGTTACCTAGGATGCCTGCCTCCTTTACACTTCTACTCCCCACCACAATGGCTCCCCCTCTTCCACTATCTATCTGGTCCTCTAGCTCCTATTCAGTAGCCAGTGTCCCTCTCTTTCTTGGAACTTCTTTTTTGGAATTACCAAGTTACAACACAAATAAGATAATTTGTCCCATTCCTTTATAATCACACCTTTTTTTCGATCTTGAGAATGGAAAATAAAATCCTGAGCCCCCAACCAACTGAACGGACGCTCTTTTGCTCAGGGGGACCCTAGAGAAACTTTAAAAACTTAGTCATTGGGCCAAGGGTGGTGGCTTACACCTGTAATCCCAGAACTTTGGGAAGCTGAGGCAGGCTGATCAATTGATGCTGGGAGTTCGAGACCAGCCTGGTGAACTTGGTGAAACTCTGTCTCTACTAAAAATACAAAAATTAGCCAGTAGTGGTGGCAAGTCCCTGTAATCCCAGCTACTCAGGAGGCTGAGGCAGGAGAATCATTTGAATCCAGGAGGCAGAGGTTGCAGTGAGTGGAGATGGCACTACTGCACTCCAGCCAGGGCAACAGAGTGAGACTCTGTCTCAAAAATATAAATAAATAAAACATTCAGTCATGATGGAACAGGAGGTTGGATATGCCTCATTGTATCTTCTCCCTTTTGCAGTTTAGACACAACTGACCAGCAAAGTTAGAGATTATAAGACTGAGAGAATGGATTCTTTGTGGCAATAAGATAGCAAATTATAAACAAGACCGAGGGCTATAACAGGCAAAAGTTAAGTCATGCATCCCTTACACTTAAAGAATAAACTATGTTCTGCCACAAAGTTTTTTCTTTTTTCTCTAGCAGCTAAACAAGCACTGGCCTTGACAGGAACAATATTAAAACAATTACAGCTCACCCTGTGTTGGGGAACACAGGCTAACTGACCCCGTGTTCCACAAGCCATAACTACAGTTTTAATTGGACAAAAGACTGATTTCAGTAATTTTCTCCTGATAAGAGACCACTGACCATGGACTGGTTCTGGCTAGTTTACAGAAGCTGTGCATTTGAATGCCTTTGTGTCCCTGCTTCACCTTTTCATGTATAAGGCCTAACTGTAATGCAATTAAATGTTAAGTCTCCACTTCAGAGTGACCATGGGTGGTATGTAACATGCAAGCTTATTCAATATGCATGCATTAGGACCCCCTCCATGAATATTCATTGCCTCTGCTATAACCTATTGGATATGTATACTTAGCAAACCCCTTCAGCATAAATTCCTGTGTCACCTTTCCTCCTGCAAAGTGCTTGCTTTTGGTTTTCAATCAGAAGCAAAACTTCCCAGCCTGTCAGAATGGCTACCTTGCAGACTATAACCTTTCATAAGAAATAAACTCCCCTTCTAAATTTATGAATTGTGTGATTTTTTTTAGTTGACAATCTTTACATTTCGTTTTTCTGTGCATTTCAATGGATGTAAAAAACATACCTTTATCCATCTCAAAATGTAATTAGTGATTTTCCACCTTATTTACCTGCCTCTCCTATCCAGATAAAGTTTGTCAAATGTCAACAAGTAAATACGAGGCTTCAAAAGATGTACATCAGACTCTAAAAACAACTCTCAAAGAGAATTTCCAAAATATGACAGCCTCATGAAGATACTCATAGCCATAGGATACCCTCTGTCAATACTTCAGAAGGAAATCCTGGGTAGGACACATAATCACTGAACTGTTAGTTTCTTTTCAAATATCCCACTGCTTTATAATAATAACTCACATACTACCGTGACACTATGTTCAGTGTTTCTTGTTAATTTATATTTCTTGTGTTTTTATTTCTATCTAATGAGAGACAGGACTAGCTGGATTTCCTAGGCCGACTAAGAATCCCTAAGCCTAGCTGGGGAGGTGACTGCATCCACCTTTAAACACGGGGCTTGCAACTTAGCTCACACCTGACCAATCAGGTAGTAAAGAGAGCTCACTAAAATGCTAATTAGGCAAAAACAGGAGGTAAAGATATAGCCAATCATCTATTGCCTGAGATCACAGCGGGAGGGACAATGATCGGGATATAAACACAGGCATTCGAGCCAGCAACGCTACCCTCTTTGGGTCCCCTCCCTTTGTATGGGAGCTCTGTCTTCACTCTACTAAATCTTGCAACTGCACTCTTCTGGTCTATGTTTCTTACGGCTCGAGGTGAGCTTTCGCTTGCCATCCACCACTGCCGTTTGCCACCGTCGCAGACCCGCGGCTGACTTCCATCCCTCGGATCTGGCAGGGTGTCCGCTGTGCTTCTGAACCAGTGAGGCGCCCATTGCCGCTCCTGATTGGGCTAAAGGCGTACCATTGTTCTGCACGGCTAAGTGCCCAGGTTCTTCCTAATCGAGCTGAACACTAGTCACTGGGTCCACGGTTCTCTTCCGTGACCCATGGCTTCTAATAGAGCTGTAACAACCACCACATGACCCAAGATTCCATTCCTTGGAATCCATGAGGCCAAGAACCCCAGGTCAGAGAACACGAGGCTTGCCACCATCTTGGAAGCGGCCTGCGGCCATTTTGGAAGCAGCCCACCACCATCTTGAGAGCTCTGGGAGCAAAGACCCCCTGGTAACACTAATATAGAATGTGATCTCCTTTGATAAGACTAGGGCCTCACTCACAGAAGGTAGGGACTATATCTAAGTCTTACTTCAATAGCTGGAAAATCCTAAAAGATGGGAAAACTCACCCCTAATGGCCACTTGAAAGCCTGAGAAGACCTCCCTCATACTCCATTCAGAAATATTTTCCCAATCTAGATATTGCAGACATTTCTTCACTGGAAGATCTGTGTTAAGCATTGCCTTAATTCCAGGTTCTCTCCATAGTGCATATTTTCTTATATAATGTAATGTGTTAGATCATTAACAACTTCAGATGAATGAGTTTTGTGAAGCTCTCCTTTGAGAGGAGAGGGAAGATTAAGTTTAAGAACCTTAAAAAATGTTACCATAATTTCAAATCTCACCAGCCCTGTGGAACACAAAGCTCACCCCCACTTTTTCTTCTACCATTTATCCCTAAGAGTAGCTAGTCCAATGTTTTATTTAAAAAAGAACACAGAAGCCAGATAACCAGCTTCTCTTCAGACAATCCCTCTTCCCATTCTGCAAATGTCAATGCCAGCCTCTTCTCCTGAAGGATGCCTGCCCAGCCCCCCAGAGCCCTGAGTACTGCCCAGCCCCCGTTTCTAAGATCTCTCCCCAACTCTTGAAAGTGCTTTTCCTTTCCCCATCCCCTTTATCAAATCCCAACTTACACAGAGGCAGGAAGCATTGGGAGCCATCTCTGCAGACAAGGGGCCAGAAACCAGAGACAGAAAAAGGACTTTGCATGCAGCTTATATACCAGAGTTGAGTTGGAAATCCCCTGCCTGGATTGCTGTGTTTGTCCAGCTTTGCTGTGCTCTTTGTTCTTGCATGCTCCCATGAATTTTCTTTCACTTTTGCTGGGCAGGAGTTAATAGACAAAGAATGCTTTCTGATCACATACTTCTCTCCTCAAGCAATCTATTTGCAAACCTCATTCCAAACATGGGATGGTCTTTCTGTGTTGAAAACTTTTCCCTTTTCTCAGGAAAGATCTTTGTCTGTTGAAGCCACCTGGATCTATACCCACAGCCCAAACCTAAGCTGCAGATCTCTATGTCTAGCTGTGTCTGTGTCTATGGGAATTCTCGTTCCTTGAATTCCCGGCATATCCTTGAACACCCCAATCTCTCTGCCATCTCCACGCCACTGAGCATGCCTTTTCCTCCAACTCTATCCCCACCACCATGAATTTATAAGAACACACGGTGTAAACAGTATCTTCGTCAAAAAGCCTTCCCTAACTCTTTTCCTCCCCATCCTGGGTTATGTGTCCATCTTCTATCCTCTACACTTCCTTCAAATGCCTCTCAGAGCATGTTTCTTCAACAATAGCATCGTCTGCTTGTCTGTAATCTTTAGAAAAGAGTAGGAATCTTGGGGGTCGTGATTGTGTCTTAATTAACTTGTATCTTTAGCACTGTTCCAGCATGCTGTCAGGCACAGGAAATAATTTATAAATGTTTACTAAATGCACAAATGAATTAATAAATGAATGAAAAGTAAGTAAATAACAAAAAAAGGAAAAGTAATATTTGGTGAGTACTTAAATTTCAAGAACTGCACAACATATTATTAAATGTTACCTTATTTACTGTTTCAGCATTTTAATGAAGTAAGTACAGGTGCTCCTTCACTTATGATGGGGTTACATCCCTGTAAACCCATTGTACACTGAAAATATCCAAAATCAGAAATGCATTTAATACACCTAACCCACCAAACATCATAGCTTAACCTAACCTGCCTTAAACATGCTCAGAACACTTACATTAGCATACAGTTGGACAAAATTATCTAACAAAAAGTGTATTTACTACTGAAGTGTGAAATATCTCATTTAAGTTATTAAATACTGTACTGAAAGTGAAAAGCAGATGATTTTATGGGAACTTGAAGTAGGTTTCTACTGAGTATGTATTGCTTTGGTATCACTATTAAATAAAAAATCATAAATGGAATCATTGTAAGGAACCACCTCTATTAGTATCCCCGTTAATAAGTAAGAAGCTACCTCATCCACAATCATATTAGTAGTAGCTGGTAAGCAAGGGTTCAAACACTAATCTGTATTTCTATAGTCCTTGTATTCTTCCTATATTATTATGTTATTTCAGTGGGAAAAGGCAGGGAGAAAAGTGCTACTGGAGTTGGGTATTTCCAGCATGGGGTTACTGTGAGGGCAAATCTAATATACTCTCAGAAAAAACTAATTCAGGGGATTCCCTACCCAGAGATGACCTGGATTCTGGGAAATAGTGCCCTTTCAAGAAAACATATGAACAACAAACCTGGACTCTGACCTCTCTCTCTCTCTTTACTCTTCCCTTCCTATGGGAAATTCCCTCCCTGCCCAAAGCCAGGGCCAGGACTGTCCCAGACACCTTGGTGCCCCTTTGCTGACCACAGGCAGGACTTCATCTTGGGACCTGACCTCCTTGCTTCTTACCCAGTGTCAATCTGACTTTTTTCTGTCTCTCTCTATGTCACAATAAGTTCTTTCAGAGACAGATCTCTTTTCATTTGCTGTTTTAGTCTCTTTTGCATACTATAAAGGAATACTTGAGGCTGGGTAATTTATAAGGAAAAAAAGTTTAATTGATTCATAGTTCCTCCAACTATACAAGAAGTATGGCACCAGCATCTGCTTCTGGTGAGGCCTCAAGAAGCTTTTACTCATGGTGGAAGGTGAAGGAGAGCAGGCGTGTCACATGGCAAGAGAGGGAGGTAAGAGACAGTGGGAAAAATGCCAGGCTCTTTTAAACAACCAGCTCTCTTGTGAGCTAATGGAGTGAGAACTCATTTATTACAATGATGACAGCCCCAGGCCATTCATGAGGGATCTGCCACCACAACCCAAACATCTCCCAGTGGGCCCATTTCCAACACTGGGGGTCACATTTCAACATGAGATCTGGAGAGTACAAACATCCAAACTACATCATTTACCCCTCTGACAAATTCAGAAAACCAACTAAAGTGTCAGAGGTGTTTGAACCAGAGCAACTCCATCTTGAATAGGGGCTGGATAAAATAAGGCTGACATCTACTAGGCTGCATTCCCAGGAAGTTAGGCATTCTAAGTCACAGGATGAGAGAGGAGATCAGCACAAAGTACAGGTTATAAAGACCTTGCAAATAAAAGGAAGCAGTAAAGAAGCCAGCCAAAACCCACCAAAACCAAGATGGCAACGAAAGTGACTTCTGGTCATTCTCACTGCTCATTATATGCTAAATAAAACATTAACATGCTAAAAAATATTCCCACCAGGGCCATGGCAGTTTACAGATGCCATGGCAATGTCCAGAAGTTACTCTATATGGTCTAAAAAGAGGAGGAACCCTCAGTTCCAGGAATTTCCCACTTCTTTCCTGGAAAACTTGTGAATAAGCCACCCCTTGTTTAGTATATAATCAAGAAATAACCATAAAAATAGTCAACCAGCAGCCCTCAGGGCTGCTCTGCCTATAAAGTAGCCATTCTTTTTTTCCTTTACTTTCTTAATACGCTTGCTTTCAGTTTACTCTATGGATTCACCCTGAATTCTTTCTTGTGCAAGATCCAATAACGCTCTCTTGGGGGCTGGATCAGGATCCCTTTCCAGTAACAAAAGTAAAAAGATGATGGTATGAAGATCTTGCCAAGTTATAAAACAATTGTGGCGGTTATCTACGAGTGTCCCAATGTGGCCCTGGCTGACGGGATGCTCTTGGGCCTGTCACTGCCCCCATTGAAGCCTACTTGAAGCCTACTTGGAACAGATGTCTCTTTCTAGTCTCTTTAATAACGTCCATGAAAGAGTTTCTAAACTGCTTTGAGATCTAGAATATTGCTTCAAAAATGCCAACCAAACTCAGTCAGAAAGCTAGTGTGAATTCTCATTTATTGGTGATTGGGAAAAAAGTCTACACTCAAAGAAGAACAGTTTGAAAATACCTACCAAAATTTAACATGGACATACCAAACCAAGACAACCAAATGCCTATCAGTATTAGGGAAATAGGTAACCAAATTGTAGAATATCATAAGCAGCATAAATAGAAGGATCATACCTGCAAACAACGATACAGATGAATGTGCTAGAACCTATTGAGTGAAAAAAGTGTTAGAAACAAATGCTTATTCCACGGTGCCGCAAAGAAATAGCACTCAGACATAAATTCAATTTTCTCAGCAAGGAATTTTTACTTCTATAGAAGGGTGTGACTCGCGGATGGAGTAATGGCAAGAGCATACCTGGACAAGGGAGGGGAAGGAGTTCTTATTCCTGAGGCAGGTAGCCCCTACTGCTGTGTCGTTCCCCTATTGGCTAGGTTTGGACCACACAATCTAAGCTAATTCCGATTGGCTATTTTAAAGAGAGCAGGGGTATGAGCCAGAGCGGCAGGGTGGGTAGTTTGGTGGGAAGGGTGGTTACAGAACAGGTGACTCAGGATGATTCAAATCAAAGCAGGTGGCCGAGGGTGACTCCGGATGGAGCAGGTGACCAGGGGAACAGATATGAACCACTGATTAGAACTGACAGGAAAGTTGTTTACTGAAACTAGAGGCAAGAGGGTGAAGAGAACCCGGAAGCTCAACTTTCAAATGGAGAATCAAAGAATAAGAGAGATGAATATGCTGACATACTGATTCTTTGAAGAGAATCTTGGAGTTCACTATATCTAACAAAAGCAAGATGAGTAAGACTACATAAAGTATGATACTCTCCATAAATCTCAAAAGCAAGCAAAACTACATAGTGAGACAGAGAAAAAGAGGAACTACTTGAAATTCAGGATATGTCTGCTTTTTAACAAAAATGAAGCCCAATCTAAATTTTGATATAAGCTACTTGAAGGAGATTTTCAACAGGAAGTAAGAGGGCATTAGAAGCCCTGATATTATTTCATCTTGCCATATTCAGAATCTGAAGTTTAACCAAGAGAACTTAATGTTTGTTAAAGCAATTTATTACTTGAGAGACATACCGTATATTCACTTTATTAAAGGTAAAGTAATAATATCTAAAACAAATGTTCCAAAGAAAACTAAACATAAGCAAAACTGAATATAGTATCTAGAACTACATATGTAAGCAATAAGGCTCTTATAAAAATGTAAAAACCATGAGTGTTCATTATGCTACTATTATGTTTTATAGTGTTACATTATATTATTCTATATGGGTTACATTTATTTATCTGTAGTATCAAAGATTATAATAAAAATATAATTTAAAATTTTTCATGTTCATATCCTCTAGCTCAGCAATTCTGCTTCTAGGAACTTATCCTATTAGTACTCTTTTGGTTTTTTTTTAAGGAGTATCACTCTTGCCTCCCAGCCTGGAATGCAATGGCGCGATCTCGGCTCACTGCAACCTCCGCCTCCTGGGTTCAAGCGATTCTCCTCCCTCAGCCTTCTGAGCAGCTGGGATTGCAGTCATGTGCCACCATGCCTGGCTATTATTTATTTATTTATTTATTTATTTATTATTTTTATTTTTAGTAGAGATGGGGTTTCAGCATGCTGGCCAGGCTGGTCTCGAACTCCTGACCTCAGGTGATCCACCTGCCTCCGCCTCCCAAAGTGCTGGCATTACAGGTATGAGCCACCATGCCTGGCCCTATTAGTACACTTATATATGTGTGAAATAAGCCATGTACAAGAATATTCATGTGAAATAATTATTTGCAACTGAAATAAATGGGAACAACACTTATCAATAGACAACTAAATAAGTGCTGGTGTATACAGTTGAATTAAATTTAAAAGCCAAGTTGCAAAATATATGTATAATATTTTGTTATTTAGAAAGGAAGAAAATATACACATATGCTAAAATGTGCATACAACATCTCTGTGAGGAGACACTGACTCTGCAAGTTGCCTGAGGAGCAGGAATGAGAGGTGGACTATTCATTATATGTCTTATCTTATTATTGTTGCTATTTTTTAGTTTTGCAACTGTGCATGTTTTACACATTCAGATAGGCAGATAGTATGGGAAGGGATAGTATATTTTTTATGTAGTCATCAGCTCAGAATGGAGCTGGCTATAAGCTATGCACCAATGGGAACCAGTTTCAGTGCTCATCACTAGTTGACAGGCAAAGGGCCATGAAAAGTTGGTGGCTATAGTAGGTTAACTATTGTGATTCTGTGCCTTCCCTACTCCCCAAAATTTATTTTCCACTAATCTTTTACATACTGCAAAATTTAGAAACATTGATAATATAGCCCATAATATATCTGAAAGCAAAGAAATTTATAATTAGCTAAAATCAGAGACCAAACCTAATGAAAAAAAAAAAGTAATTCTGAGACAATTGCTGAGCCTGGTACATGGGACTGATGTCAATGTGCAAAAATTGTCCAACCTGACAAAGCAACTGGAATAACTAATGCAGTCATAAGTGCAGGATGATGTGTTGACCAATGGCGCATTTCCACTTTGTAGCAGTCAGGCCATCTTGGAGTGAATCCAGGCTCTGCCTCCTACTTCTCATGCAAGTTATTTGGTACTTTCTTTTGTCAGCTGGGGATTTCGGATTTCACTTAGGATTAGGCTCTGCTACCATTAACAGACATCTGAAAATAATGTGCCTTTAACTAAAACCCCAAAAGGACCAGATCTTAGAAGTCAAAATGACAACCAAGGCTTAAGGAGTTCACCCTAGAACCAAGAAAAAACTGCAATGATCCATTCCAGCAAAATGTAAAGCCAGTTTTTCAGAAGTTCAAAGTGATAAGTGGGTAATATATCTGCTTATTAAACAAGATTCAATACGCTTCAGAGAAAGATAATAGAATACAAAATAGATAAAGGTAATAGAATACGGAATCTCTGTAACATATTACTCACATCATCAAGTGTAAAACAGGAAATCACCAATCATGTGAAGAAACAGAAATATTAGACAAACAGTTTTAAATCCTCAATAAAAACAAACCCAAACGCCACCGAAATGTTAGAATTATCAGATGGAGACTTTAAAATCACTATAGTATTTTAAAGAATCCACAGGGAAAGATTTATACAATGGGTAAAGAAATGATGAATTTTAGGAGACAGATGTAGAAACTGCCATTTTAAAAAGCCAAACAGAAATGCTGGAACTGAAAAATACAATATCGTTGACCCTTGAACAACAAGGGTTTGAACTGCATGGGTCCATTGAATGTAGATTTTTTTCAGTAAATATACTGGAAAATTTTGTACCTTTGTGACAATTTGAAAAAACTCGCAAACTTCATAGCTTAGAAACATCAAAATAATTAAGAAACAATTAGACATATCATAAATGCATAAAACATACGTAGATACTAGCATACTTTATCATTTACTATAAAATATACACAAATCTATTATAAAAAGTTAAAATTTATTAAAACTCACACACAAATACTTATAAACAATCATAAAATACAGTATTAAATCATAACTGCGTAAAATTAGTCATAGTACATTCTGTCTTACTATAATAATTATGTAGCCACCTCCTGTTACTATTGGGTGAGCTCAAGTGTTGGGAGTATGGGATTAAAATGTCATGTAATACTAATCATTCCCACGTAAGCAGTTCGTCTTCTCTTTAGGAAAAAGTGATGTCTCACGGTTCTTGCGGTTGTCCTGTTTTTGTTTTGTTTGTTTGTTTATTACAGAGTTTTGCTCTGTCGTCCAGGCTGGAGTGCAGTGGCACGATCTCAGCTCACTGCAACCTCTGCCTCCCGGGTTCAAGTGATTATCCTGCCTCAGCCTCCCAAGTAGCTGGGATTAGAGGCATGCACCACCACGCCTGGCTAATTTTTGTATTTTTAGTAGAAACGTTCTTTGGTTCAAGACGGCCAGGCTGGTCTTGAACTCCTGACCTCAAGTGATCCACCCCCCTCGGCCTCCCAAAGTGCTGGGATTACAGGTGTGCCACCGCGCCCAGGATCTTGTGTATTTTTAATTGTGTTTAGTGCAATTCCATAAAGCCTGAATAACACCACGAGACCCATATAGTGATGCTGGAAGTTTTCCCTGGAGACAGAGAAAAGCCATAACATTACAGGAAAAAGTTGAATTGCTTGATATGTGCTATAGATTGAGGTCTGCTGCTGCAGTTTCCTGCCATTTCTGACTGATGTTTCATCTCTTAACAGATGACACAAACTTACATAATTGATAAATACGGTATTGTACTGTCAGTGTATTTTCTCTTCCTTATAATTTTCTTAATAACATTTTCTTTTCTCTGGCTCATGTTATTGTAAGAATACAGTATATAATACATACAACATACAAAATATGTGTCAGTCAACTGTATATATGATCAGTAAGGCTTCTGGTTAACAGTAGTTTATTAGTAGTTAAGGTTTAGGGGAGTCAAAAGTTATTCATGGATTTCCAAATGTATGAGGGGGTCAGCACCTCTAACCCACGCATTGTTCAAGGGTCAGCTGTATACGACTTTCTGGTAAAAAGAACCAGGAGTCCTTGGAGAGATGGTTGATCCCAGACAGAGGAAAGAGAACATACAAGATAACCCTGGAATACTGTATGATGCCAGAAACTAAAGAAGTCATTAAAAAAAAAAATGAGGACACATCAAAAAACTCACAGTAATCACGTTAAAGGATTTCCCCATAGCCAAGTCTGGGAAAATGTAAACAGCAAAGTAAATAATGAGAATAATGAAGAAAGAATAAAATAAACATCCAGGAGTCATTACTGGATATGAATAAAGAAAATAAACAGTAAACGAATAGGAGGAGAGGGACAGCTCTTACAAAATTCAAAATAACAAACATAGGAGAAATGATGAAAGTTATCATTAGGCAAACAGCCCAATAGTAATTGTTACAGTCAAAACTCATTTGTGGATGCTAAAATTAGTAGGCAAAACTATAATGAGAAAAAGATACTTGCATAATCTCAAAGTATTACCATAAATACTTATTATGTTACTTATATTATTATAAGATATGACTACAGTTTTAATAAGACAACACAGTTAAAAAAATGAAAAATAATTTGAATAAAAGACACGTAAGGACCAATAAAGCACATGATAAGATGTTTAACACCATTAACCATCACAGAGCAAATTGAAACGACTTGAGGGAGCACTTCACAGCCGATAGAATGCCTAAAACCAAGAGACTGACAATTCCAAGTATTACCAAGGATGTGGAACATCTGGAACTCTCATCGCTGTAGGGAGTGTAAATGGCACAATCACTCTGGAAAGCAGTTTAGCAGTTTCTTATAAAGATAAACAGACAGCAAATGACTCAGAAATTCCAATTCTAGGTATTTACCCAAAATAAAGAACACATGTGTTCACACAAAGAACGAAGAACCATATACAACACAACTAACTGTTCTCTCCTTCTTCTTCTTCTTCTTCTTCTTCCTCTTCCTCTTCCTCTTCCTCTTCCTCTTCTTCTTCTTCTTCTTCTTCTTCTTCTTCTTCTTCTTCTTCTTCTTCTTCTTCTTCTTTTTTTCGGACCCAGGCTGTTGTGCAGTGGCATGATCATGGCTCACTGCAGCCTCAACTTCCTGGGCTCAAGTGATCCTCCCACCTCAGCCCCCCAAGTAGCTGAGACTACAGGATGCACCACGATGCCCGGCCAATATTTTGTATTATTTTGTAGAGACAGGGTTATATCATGTTTCCCAGGCTGGTCTCAAACTCCTGGGCTCAAGTATCCTCCCACCTTGGCCTCCCAAAGTTCTGGGATTACAGGTGTGAGCCACCATACCCAACAATTGTGGCTTCTTTCATAGCAGCCCAAAACTAGAAACAACCCAAATGCCCATCAATGCATGAATGGATAAACTGTGGTATATTTATACAGTGAAATACTATTAGCAATAAAAAGGAGCAAATTACTAATATATGAAACACTATGAATGAATTTCCATAACAAGCCAGATAACAGAAGCCAGAAATAAGGCATGAAGCTAGGCATGGTGGCTCATGCCTGTAATTCTAGCATTTTGGGAGTCCAAGGTGGGTGAATCACTTGAGCCCAAGAATTCGAGACCAGTCTGGGCAACACAGCGAGACCCTGTCTCTACAAAAAGTACAAAACTTAGCCGCGTGTGGTGGCCTGCACCTGTAATCCCAGCTACTTGGGGGGTTGAGTCCAGGAGGTTGAGGCTGCAGTGAACTGTGATCACACCACTGCACTCTAGCCTGGGTGACAAAGTAACACCTTGTCTCAAAAAACATAAAAAAAGTAAATTTCATTGAAGTACAAATTACGGGTAATAAAATGCACACATTTTAAGTATATTGTTCAATAAGTTTTGACAAGTGCATACACTTGGATAACCAATACCCCATTCAAGATATAGAGCATGCATTTTCATTATTCTAGAAAGTTATCCTATGCCCTGTCCCAGACAACCAATCATCTGATTTCTATCTTGCTAGATTTGCTTTTCCTGTTGTAGGAAAGTTATGTCAATGAAATCAGGTGGTATGAATGTATGAATGCTTGCTTGCTTGCTTTTTTTTTTTTTTTTTTTTTGAGACAGGGTCTCACTCTGTCACCCAGGCTGGAGTGCAGTAGTGCAGTGGTGCAATCACGGCTCCCTACAGCCTTGACCTCCTAAGTATATTGAACAATATACTTAAAATGTGTGCATTTTATTACATGTAAATTCTATCTTAAAGAAGTTTATTTTATTTTATGTTTTTTTGAGACAAGGTCTGACTCTGTCACCCAGGCTAGAGTGCAGTGGCATGATCACAGCTCACTGCAGCCTCAATCTCCTAGGCGCAGGTTATCTTCCCAGCTCAGCCCCCCAAGGAGCTGGGACTACAGATGAAGGCCACCACACCCGGCTAAGTTTTTGTACTTTTCGTAGAGACAAGGTCTTGCTATGTTGCCCAGACTGGTCTCGAACTCCTGGGCTCAGGTGATCCATTCCTCTTGGCCTCTTAAAGTGCTGGGATTACAGATGTGAGCCACCATGCCCAGACTGAAGTTGATTTTAAAAGCAGAAATGAGCTACTGATACTTGAAACAACATGAATAAATTGCAAAATAATTACTCCTAGTGAAATAATTCTTACTCAAAGGAGTATATATTATTCCATTTGTATGAAGTCCTAGAAGAGGCAAAACTAAGTATCAAGGAAAGAGGCAAGTGGAAGGTTTGTAGGATGATGGAAATCTTCTGTTTCTTCATTGAAGTCATCAAAATTCATCAAAGCGTATATTTCAAATCTGTGCATTTTATTGCATGTAAATTATATCCAAATGTCTACCAGTAGAGAAGAAACAAGAAATAACGAAGTCTTACATGGGTTCAAATGAGACTTGAGAGAAAAGAATGGGACACACTCAGGAGAGGTGGCAATGAGAAAACATGACCTTGTGCTCCTCAATGACACAGAGGAGCAGAAGTGACCTTTTTACTTACCACAGGGAGCACCAATGCTGGCACGTTTCCTCTGAATCATCTCCTTCTTTCTTAATCATCATTAGCACCAGTGGCTAATTAATTGTCTGTGAACTGTGACGCTCTGGAGTCTTGGGAGAATTAACAAGCCATTTCTCTCCATGGGATGGGAGTCCCGGGATCCCTCCCTCCATCACTTCACCACGTTTTCTTCTCTATCTCCACTACCATTAAAAGACAGGTTAACTTACTAGGTTGAAGAGGAGAGGTTGTGGGCAAAGAGCAACCTTCAGCCTTACAGGTCCAGAAGAAGGATGGTGGTGGGGTATAGTTTGTGCCTGACTCTAGAGCCAACCCACCTGGGTTCAAGTCTCAGCTCTGGCTATATAATTCTGAGCTAATTATTTAACCTATGTTTTAGTTTCTTCATCTGAAAATAAATATAGAATATAGAAATATTATCCAGGTCATACAGAGGTTGTGAAGTGCTTTGAAAGGTGTGGCAGCAGCATTAGAAGTCAACATTACTACCTGAGCCCTAATCCACCACCCTTTCAAAGGTGCCCAACACTCCTGACTTTGCTTGTAGATTTCATTGTGAGGATTAACTAGAGGCTCACTCAGTCTAGAAGCTCGTTGTCAGGGAGAAGCTCCGGCAGCAGGCAATGGGGAGATTGTGACATGATTGAGGAAAAGTTATAAGTTTATTCTTCTCCTACTGTCCATTAATGTCCACATATCGTCAATGGTAGAGCTACCCCAGGAGCACCAGATTTGGAATCAAACAGGACTCAGACTCCAGGCCTGGTCTTCATCGGCTATGTAACCTTGGGCAAGCTACTTAACCTCTCTGCGACCATTTCTTCTTCTGTAAAAGGAAGATGATATTAACTACCTCAAAGAGTTATGAGAACCAGGTATTCAGGAAATGTTTAGCATGGTGCCTGGTGTATAGGAAGCACACAACAGATGGTAGCTGCCAAAGTATTAACGTGGTTTTCACTAATGAATTGGAGAAAAGAATTGATATTTCATTCCCTTGTAGCACCTAGTACACAACTAGGTCTTTGGTGATTAATAAAGAAATAAATACATCCGTGAATATGAAATTAATAGGAAGAGAGTAAAGTTGTACTGGACTTTTGTGGGTGTCCAAGAAAAATTAAAAAGACCAGAAGAAAGAGAGTGAGAACAAATACACGTTGTGAAACACAGAACAAGAGAGAACAGAAAGAGAGTCAAAGAACTATGTAAATTGAAGAGACTGAAAAATGACATAGAGTGAAGCAATGAATTACCAAGAGTATAAGAGTGTAAGAGAGGGATGCAGAAAGTGTATTAGAATGATGGTTGACAGATAAATAAGGAGGAGTTGGCTATTTTTTACCAACACAAAGGGTGTAATGTTATAAGACAATATAGGAATGATTTTGTAAAAGTAATAATTGAAATAGTCATTGCGTCTTCAGGAGTAGGTAGTAGGTATGATTAGGGAAGGGCACGCAGAAGGCTTTTAAGATTTAAACAATCTTTTGTTAAAATATTCAACAATATTTTAAAGGAAAAATTTTTCTCAGAGTAAAAAGAATATAGGAGGAAGGAAACGAAAAAAGAGACAAATATAAACAGGTTGAACAAATAAAAAGATGAGATGGGGCTTTTAAACACACAAAAAAGAGACACTGCAATGGGTAGATGCTGCCAACCTATAGCCTCTCCAGCCACCTCCCCATCAACTTGCCCAGTTCCTGCCTCTCAACTGCCAGAGTGGCTGCCACCGTCCACCCATATCTGAGTTGGCCCTGTGTGCTGAAACTCTCTTCACCTTCTCAAAAACACAGTCCCCTCCTCCAGGAAGCATTCCCTGATTCACTCAACCACCCTACTCATTTTCTTTACAGATCTATCTCTCACCTCTAGCCCCCTACCCCAATATTTTTGCCTTATTTGCCTGCAATGTTTCAAGTTTTCTGCTGATGTTGAATGTACTACCCAGGGTTTTTCAAAGCCATGAGACTACTCTTTCTTCCAGCCCATAAGCTCCTCCGCCTTGAATGACCACATTGTTCAATAATTTGAAGTAGACTCCTTACTTCAGTGACTTAGGATAGGCTACTAAAGAGGATAAAGTCAGACCTGACATCTAAGTACAATATGTGACTCTCAACTGGATCCTACGTGGAAAAAAAAAAATCCTACAAAGAACATTATTGGGACATAGAGAAAATAAGAATATGGACTGTGTGTTACATAACAATACTGTATCAATTTTAAGTTTATTGAATTTAATTGCTGTACAGTGTTAATTAAGATCATCTTGTTGTAGAATATGAATACTAAGACAATAAGGAGAAAGAGGCATGATGTCCACAAGTTATTCCCAAGTGACTCAGAGTAAAAATGAAAATACATAAACATATTGAGTATAATGATAGTGAAAATGAGTAAAAATACTAAAAATTGATGAATTTGATAAAGGTTATATAGAAGTTCTTGGAACTACACTTGCAACTTTTCTGTAAGTTTCAACTTATTTCAAAATCAAAGGTTTTTAATTGCATGTGAATAAAATTAACCGAGCATTTTCAAAAGCAAAATTCTACTTACATGTCCCAAACTCAACATGGTATGTTTTTACTACTATATTTTATCTTACATGAAAAGGAGAGGATATTGAAATCTATTTCAGCTTTCTAACACCAAACATCAATTCTTCAGGATTTTTTTGCAGTTACAGAACCAGAAAATAATCTTTCTGACTGACATTATATTTTTTCTTATTTTTACATATTACACATAATGGAAAATTTAGGCAGGACATTTCATTTGCAGGAGAAATGTTTGTTCTTAGTTTAATAAGTCATAATTTTTTTTGAAAGACCTAAATCACCTGACTGATCTTTCTAGCAGTTGAGTCATTTCACATACAGAAGAAATCTCCACAGTCCACATTTCTATCACTGGTCAAATCTCTTGCAAAAGTGTAAAGTAGATAGAATGTGAATGATTTGAGAAAATTTATGCCCACCACTAGAAAACATGATGAATTCTCTAGTAATGTTTACAATTAGGAAACTCACTGAACACACATTTCTTTGTATTTCCTTCCACACATAACAAAGGGAAAATTCAGTAGTAGCATAGCGATCAGAACATAATAGGTACTTAATAAATTTTTGCAAAATTAATAAAAACTAACTAGTTAGCTGATCTATGCTTCACATCAGACGTTTTGCATTCAACCAGGAAGTCAGAGGCACCAGTGTGAGGCTCAATCCGTTGTTGAGCACATTAATGGTTTCCTCACTCCCACTAGACAATGTTTGATCAGAAGGAACAGGGGATGAGAAGGAGCTGCTTGATGGTGATGAGACTGGGAAAGGAACGCTGGGCGAGCAGAGACAAAAGAGAAACACTCACCTACTGGGACCTCACAAACACCCAGGCTGAGTTTTAATAAGACAGGTTGAATCACACTGGGGTGACAGCCTCATCCTTCCAGATACAGAGAGGAACAGGCCATGGTTAACCAAAGCTCCGCACCAGGCTTTCTCCTTCTGGGCTTCTCTGAACACCCAGCACTGGAAAGGACTCTCTTTGTAGTTGTCTTCACTTCCTACCTCCTAACCCCGGTGGACTCATCATCCTGCTGTCTGTGCTGGACCCCAGGCTCCACTCTCCAATGTACTTTTTCCTCTCCAACCTCTCCTTCTTGGACCTCTGTTTCACCATAAGTTGTGTCCCCGGGATGCTGGTCAACCTCTGGGAGCCAAAGAAGACCATCATCTTACTGGGCTGCTCTGTCCAGTTCTTCATCTTCCTGTCCCTGGGGACCACTGAGTGCATCCTCCTGACGGTGATGGCCTTTGACCGCTACATGGCTATCTTCAAGCCCCTGCGCCATGCCACCATCGTCCACCTCTGCCTGTGCTGGCAGCTGGCATCTGTGGCCTGGGTCATTGGGCTGGTAGAGTCAGTGGTCCAGACACCATCCACCCTGCGCCTGCCTTTCTGCCCCCATCAGCAGGTGGATGATTTTGTCTGTGAGGTCCCAGCTCTAATTCGACTCTCCTGTGAAGACACCTCCTACAATGAGATCCAGATGGCTGTTGCCAGTGTCTTCATCTTGGCTGTGCCTCAGCCTCATCCTTGTCTCTTATGGAGCCATTGCCTGGGCAGTGCTAAGGACTAACTGCAAAAGGGCAGAGGAAAGCTTTTGGGACCTGCTCCTCCCATCTCACTGTGGTCACCCTCTTCTACAGCTCAGTCATTGCTGTCTACCTCCAGCCCAAAAATCCCTATGCCCAAGAGAGGGGCAAGTTCTTTGGTCTCTTCTATGCAGTGGGCACTCCTTCACTTAACCCTCTCATATACACCCTGAGGAACAAGGAGGTAACCAGGGCATTCAGGAGATTGCTGGCGAAGGAAATGGGGCTCATACAAAGTTGAGGGAGAGCTGTTTAATGTGCTTTCTAAATTAAGAAGAAATTATTTATCCTTTTGTGAACAAGTTTGAGCTCCCAAGTATACTACCTTTCATACACCCATCACAGTGTTTACAATGGGTCACAGTATATGAGTGTGTGTGAGAGAGAGAAAGAGACAGAGAAAGACTAAGAGTCAGGTAAGAGGAGGTAGGTATCTTTAATTAACATCTAAAGCTCAAAAAGATTATCATACCTGCCCATTTTTAATATTTAATTTCTATATTTTTATTTTCTTTTCAATTTGGTTTTTAACTCTCTTCTCCCCTACAGGTTCTCCAAATGCACCATGCCTATTTCTGGTTATGTAACCCCTCTCCGATTGTTACATTATCATCATCATTTTACCATCACTTGTGATTCTTTTTTTTTTTTTTTTTTTTTTTTGAGATGGAGTCTCACTCTGTCGCCCAGGCTGGAGTGCAGTGGTGCGATCTTGGCTCCCTGCAACCTCCGCCTCCTGGGTTCAAGTGATTCTTCTGCCCCAGCTTCCTGAGTAGCTGGGACTACAGGCACATGCCACCATGCCCAGCTAATTTTTTATTTTTAGTAGAGACGGGGTTTCACCATGTTGGCCAGGCTGGTCTCGAACTCCTGACCTCAGGTGATCCACCCGCCTCGGCCTCCCAAAGTGCTGGGATTATAGGAGTGAGCCACATCACCCAGCCACTTCTGATTCTGACAATGTCTTCTTTCCTTTGTCATCAGGATGGTTCATCTCCACTTGCTTGAGGTGGACTGACAGGAAGCTGACACTCAGAGAATTTAGTAATTTCACCCAAGAACACACAGCAATTTGTTAGACCTAAATTGAGATGCATATCTGTTAACTTACCAAGTGCATGCTGTTGGTTTTACACCATTATAAATATACCAACATCATTAGGATTTATACCCAAATGGGTTATCAGGCAGAAAACTCTATTTTTCCAGTCCTAGTAAGTTTTCTGATCATCCAGCTTTCCAGGGATCACAACACTAATCTCCTGCCAAATCCTGAAAATGTGCTCCCATTCCTGGAGATGATTTTCCTTTACCTCTTCTCAACCTCTGCATGACAGTGACCATGAGGAGTTGTGAGTCTGCTCTTCAGTGGCTACACAGTGCTAACAGCTGTCCTGCATCCATTTTCTAGTGCAGTTCTGAAATTCTGACCAACCTCTACTAGCCAGGCACAAACATGAAATCCAATTGTAAGTAATAAAGTGCTGCAATGGAGCCTGGATGGAGCAAGGGCCTCAGAAAAAAGGGAGCAGCAGTGTAAGCCCCAACTTCTATGAAATCTTATTTCCTTTTTCAAGTTGATCTACATTCATTACATTCTCAAAGCCTCACATGAATGGAATGGAGAGTGTGATGGAAAAATCTGTTTAGAACTGAACCATTCTCTCCTCTTTCCTGTCAGGAAAGAGGTTATGCTGTGATAACAATACCAATCCTCAGTGACTTGAAACAGCATAGGTTTATTTCTTGCTGCTGCTGCATGCCCATTGTCATCCAACCAGAGGTTCTGCCTTGTCATCTTCACCCAAAGATGTGGACTGACAGAACACCCACCATCTCAAACACTCCTAGGTGCTGGGAAAGGAGGAAATAATAAGCATGACAAATGGCAAACTAGCACTTAGTTTCCAATCGGAAGTGGCATAACACTTTGACTCATTGGTCATTTGCCAAAGCAAATCTCATGGCTACATATAACTTCAAGGTGAGGGGAAATAAACCAATCATGTGGCAGGAAAGGGAACCAGAAATATTTGGTGGATGATATGAATGACTACTAACTGGCTCTTTGCCTCCAGTCTTGACCGATTGAAATTGATTATCCATGTTGAACCAGAGTAATCATTCCAAAATACAAATTTGAATATGTTACTCCCTTAGCCAAAAATAATATATAGAATCCCCCTGCAATAAAATGTGGAGCCCAAACTCCTAGATCGGGTTCCTGTTTTCCAGACTTTACCATCCCCACCTCCTAAGGCTCAACCACCTAGAATCCTGCAAGTTCACACAACTACCTGCAAGTGCAAGTGTATGAACCACACCAGGCTCTCTGCCACCTTTAGCCTTTGAACGTGCTCCTCCCTCTCTTTGGAAGACTCTCCCCTCCAGCTCCTCTCTACCACCAACAAAAAGCACTTCCCATGAAGTAACAGGATCTTTTTAATTGTCTGCCTCTCAAAGTACACAGTAAGGAAAGTGAGGGTCAGGGTTTTGGCTCACTTATCCTTATACTCTTAGTGCCTGGCATAGTATCTGGCACAGTAGGTATGTAATGAATATTTATTACAGTCACCCCTCAGTATCCCCAGGGAATTAGTTCCAGGACACCCCTCAGATACCAAAATCTGCAGATGCTGAAGTCCCAAAGTTGACCTTGCAGAACTCACAAATACAAAAAGTCGGTTCTCACATCCATGAGTTTAGCATCCTGAGAATATTGTATTTTCAATTCATGTTTGCTTGTGGATGCAGAACCTGTGGGAATGGAGGATAGACTATATTTACAGAAAGAAATCCTAGGGCCTGCGTCCTCACGAAAGCATTGGCCTCCAGCGTGGGCTAACAGCAGAGCAGGGCGGAGCTGGCCCATGGTTGCAGACCTCTGTGCCAGCCTCCCCTAGACAAGAGCGCCGTGTCGAGGAGAAGAAATCGGCTCAAGCTCTGGGCCCATGATGCCTGCTCCTTCCAAAGACTGTGGCAGATTACGCCAACTGGGATCCGGCGGTCGCAAGGTCTAGAGGAGTCAAGAAAGCCATCACCAACGTCGTTCAGCAGGAAGTAAAATCCCTTTGTGTCTTGGAAGCCTCCCAGGTTCCTGCAGAAGAAGCTGTTTCTGGAGCTAGTGAGCCCTATGACATCATCGACAGCAGTAACTTGAAGAAGAGCAGACATGGAAGAGAAATCTGCTTTTCACTTTATATTTTTGCCTGTCTTTTAAATGTTACAGCTGTGTGTGCTTTACATATTCAAAATAAATTGTGTGTATGTGTGTGTGTGTGTGTAAATTTTAAGCAGTTAATAGGTTCAAGGCAGAAGTGGCTACAAGTTTATGCCCCAGTAAGAATCAGTTCCAGTGCTCTTCATTAATTGCCAGGCAAAATAGCCATAGTAATGTAGTAACTAGAATAAAATTTAAATTAGGTTAGTTATAAACACCCTATCCATTATCGACTCCCAAAGCTGCTTCATCCATGAATATTTAATATGCCACAAAACTATCAGAGATTGCTAATATATCCCATAATATAATATGAAACCAAAAGATTTTTCAAAAAGCTAAACTTGGGAGAGACTCATAGCAAAATGACATGTAATTCTGAGGTCATCACTGAGTATGGTACTTGAGTCTATCGCCACATGTGAAAAGCATCTGAATATAATCCAAAAAGCTATTGCAGTCATGGGCTGCAGAATAATGCGGTGGCCAAGAGGCTGTAATATTGTGATATAATAAGATATACATATTTGGCCTTTGATCCCAGTTCCTGGCACAGAGTTCCTAAGGCCCTTGTAATTCCCTGAGCAATAGGGGTGCTAGGAGAGTCTTTTGTTCTAATATTTGGTCTTTGACCAAATATGTCAGTTCCTAACATTGAGCTCTAATCCCTTGGAATTTCCTGGGTAACAGGAGCATCTTTTGTTCTAATGAGGTGACCCCTTGGGGGACCCCTGAATGGGGACTCTGACTAGAAGGACCAAGCCATGATTAGAAGTTTGAAACTTTCAGCTCTACCCTCATCTTCCAGAAAATCGAGAGTGGCTAGACATTGAGTTAATAATCAACTATATCTATTTGATGAAGCCTCCACAAAAATCCCTGAACTACAGAGCTCCGAGAACTTCCAGGCTGGTGCACACACAGAAATGCTGAGAGGGCAGCATGCCCCAGAAGCTCTGTAACCCTTCCCACACACCTTTTCCTGTACATCTCTTCTATTTTGTTGTTCATTTGTATCCTTTGGAATATCCTCTATAATAAACTGGTAAATTGAACTAAAGAGCTTTCATGTATTCTGTGAACTGCTCTAATAAATCATCAAACCCAAGGAGGGGATTGTGGGAACCCCCAGTAGGGTTCCCAGTAGGTCAGAAGTTCCAGAAGCTTGGACTTGTGATTGGCATCTGAAGTGGGGAGCAGCCTTATGGGATCCTTTAACCTGTGGGATCTCACTGTATCTCCAGGTGAATAATGTCAGAAGTGAATTGAATTGAA
Organism: Homo sapiens; assembly: GCF_000001405.40. Lineage (NCBI taxonomy): Eukaryota > Metazoa > Chordata > Mammalia > Primates > Hominidae > Homo > Homo sapiens. The sequence continues at coordinate 29,579,091 of NC_000006.12, forward strand.
TTATAGGACACCAAGTTGGTGTCCACTGAAGAATGTATTGGTCAGTCTGGAAGAAAAACCAACATGTTGGCCGGGCGTGGTGGCTCAGCCCTGTAATCCCAGCACTTTGGGAGGCTGAGGCGGGCGGATCACAAGGTCAGGAGATCAAGACCATCCTGGCTAACAAGGTGAAACCCCGTCTCTACTAAAAATACAAAAAATCAGCCAGGCATGGTGGCAGATGCCTGTAGTCCCAGCTACTCGGGAGGCTGAGGCAGGAGAATGGCATGAACCCAGGAGGCAGAGCTTGCAGTGAGCCGAGATCGCGCTACTGCACTCCAACCTGGGCAACAGAGCAAGACTTCCATCTCAAAAAATAATAAAATAAAACAAAACAAAATAAAATAAAATAAAAACGAACATGTTTTGGTGACTAGAAGTGTTGAATGTTGAGAATATAGTAGGAGAAAATGGTCAGTTTGGGGGTTTTCTACAAATACACAGAGCCCTTTCGCATTGCGCAGCATCCAATTTGAATCCTGGACCTGCAAACTCATGCCCAGGATATAGTGCCATATCAAGGGCAGCATTTGCATGTTTCTGGCAGGCCGGACGTTCAGTAGCTGCAGGAGTTAGATCAGTGTTGGTGAGTGAAAGCCATGCTGTTGAACACATACAGACCTGCATCCTGCCACCATAGTTACTGCCTTCATAAGTCCATTTTTACCAGCACTAGGGTGGCCTGTGGAGAAGACTGCTTAGTGTGAACTGGCCTATAGTCACTGTTTACTTGGTTTAGAAGAGGTTTAGAGCCTCTTCTATTGTGGATGCTTTCTAGTGGGCATTAGCATGTAACACAAAGATATTCACAATTTTCCCAATTTCATAAATAAAAAGATTTCCCATTTTCATAAACCTATCCAAGTGCCTCTTCCTCAAATTTCATTGTTCTTCATCTTCTAAACCTCCTCCTTCCAAGCACTTGACCAACCAACCAAGCCATTTGCCACTGCCCATGTATTCACAAATATTCTTCCATTAGGCCATTATTCTTTCTACACAAAATAGATAATCAGGTGCACTACTCAAAGCTTTGCCCATTGGGAAGATTTACAATTTCTACTGTCTTCCAGAACTACTCTTGAGTGTGGCTATAATGCAGCAGCAGTCCATTTTCAGCTCACACCAATGTGTTGAGCAGATACATCCATGAACCAAGGTCATCTTATTTTTCCTCCATTAGCCAATCATAAAGTACCCCTCCCCCCCCATGACAGATTAAAGATGGCTGCAAACTATCGGACAATCATCCCATCAGGAGGGCTATCTATTTCCCCTCCCCTTGAATCTGTGCTAGTCTATGACTGTTTTGACAAAAACAGCGTGGCAGAAGTGACACCATGCCAGCTCTGGGGCCAGCCTGTAAGAGAACTGGCTGTTCCTCCTTGCTATCCTGGAGTCCTGAATTTCCAAGTAAAAAGTCTATCATGCTGGGCAGACCATGTAGAAAGGCCCTGAGATAGCATGAAGACAGAGAAAATGAGCCCAAACTTACAGTGAACCCACCAAGGTGCCAGGCATGTGAGTGAAGCTGTCTCGGACCCTCTAGAGCAGTCCATCTGCCAGCTGAATACTTCCAAGGGATCCCAGCTGATGCAACATGGAATATAAGGAAACCCAGCCAATTTCGTTCCAAATTCTTGGCCCACAACATGTGAGATACAATAAGGTTTGTGTTCATTTAAGCCATTAAATTTGGGGAGACTTTGTTATGCAGCAATAAATAACTAGAACACTCCCATGAGCCACTGGTATGAGCAAGTTGGGAAGTACCAAGGCCACAGCGTGGAGGACATGGGAATCTGGGCCCCCCACTTCAGCACCTTGCATTTACCCTCCAGTTCTGCCCATGACTGATGCAGGATATACGACTTCTCTCTTACAACTGATGATGTTGCAACCACTAGACCTCATCACTTGATTGATTTGACAGGACCCAGCTCATGATGGACAGTTGTAGCCTAATAGCCATTTGATGTCTCATGATCAGGAGCTCTGTCTCTAGTAAGGCCCAAGAGCAAGCTAGGACTTGTTTCCTAATGGGGTTTACTTTCCTGCAGCAGACAGCATAGATTTGATGAAGAACCCCAGGGATCTATGTTGTGATTTTCCTTTCAAGGCTTGCCCAAAATGCCACACTGTATCTTTTCCCACCACTGATACCTTTAGTGCCCCAGAGTCTATTGAGTCACATGACCAAAGCACTACCACACGGCTGATATGACAGCTTAGAACAGCTGCGGACCCCAGGTCTGCTCTGGGCTTCAGTCAGTCGCTAGTAAACTGTTCCATGTGGTATTCCCATGAGTGTGGAATATGTTTCCTCTAGATCCTAAATAGGACAACCAAGCATTCTCTACCCTGGAGAAGAGGAAGGAGAAGACCAAGATTCACTGCTGGAAGAAGAAAACAGCCTATGAGGCTACAGAAACAGGCAGAAAAGAACGTGGAGAAGAAAACTGACAAATACACACAGTTCTCCTCAAGACCTATGGACTCCTGGTCTGAGCCTAATAAAGACTGTTTATTCCAAAAAACACCTCTGTATTATAAATTCTTCTGTGTAATAGTGTGTTACTGTGCATCTCTTTCCAATTCTGCATTACTGGTGTTAAGTGTGAAATGCAATAATGTGTTCTTACTTTAGAGGGATGTCCTGGCACAAAGTCTAAAAACTTCAAAGATGTGGAGGATGCTGAATCTTCACAGGGTGTATTTCCCACTCTCTGGAGTGCATTTGTCTTACCAGTGCCGCCAATATGCTTGCCCTCATGGCTCATTCTGTTTGGTTAATAAGATATTGTTGATACAGTGGAACGATGTCATGTTTTGTGGAATGTCCAGAAGGTCCACGTCCAGTGGTGTGCTGCATGCAGCTAGCTCATACTGCCTCATGGAGCCAACTGTTAAATTTTCAGAAATTGTGCAAACCAGTTGTTAAACATGACTATTATTTTAAAATAAGTTATTTTAAGGCATAGGTAACAAATCCCTAAGCTCTTCATTTTCTAGGTATTTAACTATCTTATCATATTTTCCATACTCTTCTGGTTATTTATATCTGTTATGTCTATATAATAAAGATACTAAATAATGTTGTCTGTATAATAAAAATATTCTGGATTGGTGATGAGCAACAATCACCATCTTTCGTTTGAGTCTCATGGCCATGAGACCAACCCCATGCACTGCTCTGAGACCTGCCAGCCACTCCCATTCCTGGGGTGCGGTCCTCCTGGTTCAGAAGTGATTTTCCATTAGGCTATCTTTTAATTTAAACATGAACTCTGCTGTGCCCATCACTGTCTGTGTGCAGTCACAGGTAGAGGGAGAGCCTTCAGATGGCACCCTCAGCACTTCCCAACCCTTTCCTTCCCTCTAGGCCAGAAGGTGGTGGTCGTACAATGCGAGAGCATCAACATTTCTGGCAAGTTCTACAGAAACAAGTTGAAGTACCTGGGCTTTCTCCGCAAGCGGATGAACACCTTCTGGAGGCCCTGCCATTTCTCGGCCCTAGCCGCATCTTCTGGTGGATGGTGCAAGGCCCACTGCCCCACAAGACTCACCAAGGCCAGGCCGCCCTCAACCACCTCAAGGTGTCTGACGGCATTCCACCGCCCCATGACAAGAAAAAGCTTTGGTGGTTCCTGCTGCCCTCAAGCTTGTGTGTCTGAAGCCTACAAGAAAATTTGTCCGCCTGGACACCGAGCTTATGAAGTTAGCTGGAAGTACCAGGCAGTGACAGCCACCCTGAAGAAGAGGAAGGAGAAGGCCAAGATCCACTACCAGAAGAAGAAACAGCTTATGAGGCTACAGAAATAGGTGGAAAAGAACATGAAAAAGAAAACTGACAAATACACACAGGTCTCCTCAAGATCCATGGACTTCTGGTCTGAGCCTAATAAAGACTGTTTGTTTATTCCTCAAAAACAAACAAACAAAAAAAAACCCTCTGTATTATAAATTATTCTGTGTAATGGTGTGTTACCATACATTTCTCTACAACTCTGCATTTTCAGTAATCTCACATTGACAGTTTAAAATTGGCCATGGTGAGAATATTTACACTGCAGAAATCAGCAAATGATGTAAATCAAGGCTTTTTTGCCTGGACTTGCAGCACATCCATGTCCCATTGGACCCTATTATGACGGGAGAGTTTTAACATGGTACTGAAGCAAAAATGTAAATGTAAATGTACACTTATATCCATACCTGTAAATTCAAACTGCCTTTGGTCTTTCTTCCTGATAGTATTTGAAAAGAACACATTCAGCCAGGCACGGTGGCTCACGTCTGTAATCCCAGCATTTTGGGAGGCTGAGGCAGGCAGATCACGAGGTCAGGAGTTAAAGACCAGTCTGATCAATATGGTGAAACCCTGTCTCTACTAAAAATACAAAAATTAGCCAGGCGTGGTGGCATTTGCCTGTAGTCCCAGCTACTCAGGAGGCTGAGGCAGGAGAATCGCTCGAACCCGGGAGGGGGAGGTTGCAGTGAGCCAAGATCATGCCATTGCACTCCAGCCTGGGCAACAGTGAGATTCCATCTCAAAAAGAAAAGAAAAGAACACATTATTCACCAGATTAATAGCCATATAACATGGACCTGAAACCGTGCTAATCAGGCACAACAGCTGTAATTACAGCTATTTCTTGGTTGAGTTTGTGCTAGTCTGGTCATCTTTCAAGTTGCATCTGATATTTGTAGTGACCAGACTGGTGAATTAAATGTGAAATATGATAGAAACAAACCCCCGCACCCTTTAAAGGTGGCCTCAATCAGCCATTTCCCTTGAATTGTGATATTGTTCTTGATTCACTGTCTTTGCGGTAAGAGGTGTAGATTCAGGGCTTCCACTTCAATCTGTAGCTCGTACTCCACAGACTAAAGAACTATGTGGGGATTCTGCCAATGGCCAAGCATGTGCATTCCAGTTACAGATTTAGAGACTGCAGAAATGACTACTGGGTAGATCCATGGACCTAGTACATGCCATTTATTAGCTGATCTCATAGGCTCCCTTTCTAATGGAAGAGAAGCATAACGATTCAGTTATATGAAGATTGGCTAAATGTTCTAAGTACTCTCCAAACCCAGAGCTTTATAATTCTCTGTTACTACAGTGTGCTCCATCTCAGAATAACTAAATAGAAAAGGAGGAAGCTGAGAACTTTAAAAACTGAGGTCCTGAATAGATGAATCATAAGCCTGAGAGGACTATCAGGATGCCCGGGACTCACTGGAGGTGGGAGTAGAGACACTGTCCTTTTTCTTCCTGTTGACAGAAAGAAGCAATGAGTGACCTCTTTTACCTACCACAGTGATGACTATTGTTGGCATATTTCCTATAGATATTCCCCTGCCCCTTTTACCATAATTTGTGGCTAATGAATTGTCTGTGGGCTATGGACCCTAGAGTCTCAGCAGAATTAATGAGCTCTTTCCCTCCGTGGGATCCCTCTACCACCATACCATGTCAACATTTCTACCTCCAATGCCACTAAAACAGAGGCACACCTCTGCCTAGACTGAGGGGGAAAATTGTTGGCAAAGAACTCAATGGCAAAGAACTCGATGGCAAAGAACTCGATGGCAAAGAACTCAATGGCAAAGTTCTGACCTTGGCTTCATCCTCCCTGCAGAGATTTGGTGGGCTTTGGTTGGTGCAAACCCTCTACAGTTAGCAGATTTGGGTTCAAACATCAGCTCTGGTGCTTACTAACTATACTGCCTTGGGAAAGTTATTTATATTTCTTTGTTTCAACTTCTTCATATTGGAAGGAAGAGAATAATATGTAGAGTTGTGAAGGATAATCAGCAGTGTAGAGTAAATGTTTAATAAACAACTTGGTTGGTGGCAGATGGGGAGAGCCCTAATTTGTAGTGTTTGCCAATTTTCATAGTGTAAATATTCCTGCCATGGCTGTCTCAAGCCACTGATGGTTTAATAACTGTCTCACAAAATTCCTAAAAATTTACTAATCAAGAGATAATCTGAGCCAGCTCCAGCTCATCACACACATGTGTGCTTAGAAAAGTGCCAGATGGTCAGCATTAGCAATCCCTATTGTGACCAGAGATGCAGTTGCCCATTCAAGGATGCCCATTCCTTTTTATTTTTTTGTTTCTTCCTGATGTACAAGTGGAGGCTGGGCACCAGTTAAGAGCTCTGTCATGGGGAATTGCTGGTACCAGAAGAGATTTTTATTTGATTGAAGGTAAGCAGAACCTTTGCTCTTTGGCTGTGAGATATCAGTTTCCGCCTATCCTCAACACTGGAGGACCAGATTTGGAGTTAAACTTACTCTAAAATCCTAGTCCTAGCACTTATTGACTAGGTAACCTTCTACAAGTCTCTTGTCCCGTCTGTGACTGTTCACTTTTTGGTAAAATTGGGATAATTTTATCTCTTTGTAGGGTCACTGTGAGAACCAGATGTTCAGGGAGTTGTTTATCACCATGCTTTGATGGTAGCTACTAACAGCAAGGGTAGCTCATGGTCACTAGACTATCATAAACCCCTTTCAAAGGACCTCCCAACTCCTTCCCCAGCTCCTAACACAATGCTGGCACTTTGGGGCTCAAGAAATGAATAAATGCGTAGACCAATGCATGAATATTTCAGAAGGAAAAGGAGTAGGAGAAAAATAATGAGAGTGGAAAAGACAGAGAACAAAGAGGGAAAGGGAAACAGTCACTAAGAAAGGTGTAATCTAAAGAGATTCAGCGATATAGCAGAGAAAGGAAAGGAATGAAATGCCAAGATAATGACAAAGTTAGAAATGTAGAAAATTAATTAGGATGACACATGATGGATAAATAAGAAACAATTGGCTATTGTTTAAGGTTACATGCAAAGAATTTTATATTACAAAGAAAACAAAGGAGGGGGCGGCAGCCAATGAGCATGAGGTTTCTTTTGGGAGTAATGAAATATTCTGGAAGTAAATGGTGTTGGTTGCACAACTTGTGAATATACTTTAAACCACTAAATTACACACTTCAAAAGGGCGAATTTTATGGTACGTTAAATACATCTCAAAAAATGAAAGCGAAGGCATAATTAAAAATTTAGAGGCCAGGCACAGTGACTCATGCCTGTAATCCCAGCACTTTGGGAGGCCGAGGCAGGCAGATCACCTGAGGTCAGGAGTCTGAGACCAGCCTGGCCAACATGGCGAAACCCCGTCTCTACTAAAAATACAAAAATTAGCTAGGCATGGTCTTGAGTGCCTGTAATCCCCGCTACTTGGGAGGCTGAGGCAGGAGAATAGCTTGAGCCCAGGAGGTGGAAGTTGCAGTGAGCAGAGATCGTGCCATTGCACTCCAGCCTGGGCTATAAAACGTGACTCTAAAAAAAAAAAAAAAAAAAAAAAATTAGAATGGTGGTGACATCTTGAGGGGTGACAAATTGAGAAAATTGAGAGATCAGGGAGGGGCACACAGAAGCTTCTAAGATACTTGAAACATTTGCTCAGTTCCTTAACCTAGTTGTTTAAATATGTAACAATATTTTGAAAATTAAAAATATATTTTAAGTGAGAAAAGAATAATGGGAAAAACAGGAAGAAGACAGAGACAATGGCAGAGAGTCCTGGCAAAAAGGGAGATGTGATAGAGCTTAATACAAGATGGGGACCCTGTAAGAGGAAGACATTCCTGCCATCCTCTGAGCTCCATGGCACGTTTGTGGTGTGGCCCACCATCTCATCTCCTCCCCTCATGGCCTTCCTAAGGTCCTGTAAGACCCTGAGTCCTTGTCTCTGACCTGCCAGAGTGGCTTCAGTCTCCCACCCCCAGCCCTCAACTGACCTTCTATGCCCCAATACATCTCTATTTTAAGGAAAAAGTCCAGTCACCTCCTCTAGGAAGCTTTCCCTGATATACCCAACCAAATTGGTCAGTCATCCTACAGAACCTTTACTCTCATTCACCCAGTACATTGGTGTTACTGGCCTTTAAATTTTGGACTCTCTTTTTGGTGGTGTCTGAAAGACTACAAGATTTAGGGAGAGTGATTCTTGGAGTCTTTCGATAATGTTCCTGTGAACCCTGGTGATTTTAACATGCTTGTGGCCACTCTTGCCTCCTACTTGTAAGCTACTCATGGCAAGGACGAAGCATGTGGACCAATTTCCACCCCTCCCTGAAAGTCAGTTGGTTCAGAAACTTAGGTTGCTAAAAAGGCCAGGGCAACCAACCTGATCTCTCTATAAGTAGGGATATCTTAAAACAAAACAAAATCTCTCTCATAGATAAAACACTGTCTCTGATAAGCTTACTTGCAAATGAAAAAATACAAAATAAATGGAATGTACAGAGTTCTATAAAATTCATTCAACCAATAGAGCAATAATTGAGCCTACAGAGACAACTTATCAGAAAATTCATTCAATATACCTTACGAGATCATCCAATAGATAAGAGACAACTCTAGAACAGCATTCAGAACATAGTGGCACTCAATAAATTTCCCCTGAATGAATGAATTAATGAATTAGTGCATATTTTAATCAGCCTCCTTTGCCCTCACCCAGGAAGTCAGAGGCACCAGTGTGAGTATCCATCTGCTGTCCAGTACATTCATGGATTCCTCACTCTCACTAGACAATGTTTGACCAGGAAGAACAGGGAATGAGAAGGAGCTGCTGGATGGTGATGAGCCTTGGAAAGGGAGGCTGGGCGAGCAGAGACAGAAGAGAAACACCTACCTGCTGTGACCTCACAAACACCCAGGCTGAGTTTTGATAAGACAGGTTGAATCACACTGGAGTGACAGCCTCATCCCTCCAGGTACAAACAAGAACAGGCCATGGTTAACCAAAGCTCCACACCGGGCTTCCTCCTTCTGGGCTTCTCTGAACACCCAGGGCTGGAAAGGACTCTCTTCGTGGTTGTCCTCACTTCCTACCTCCTAACCCTAGTGGGCAACACACTCATCATCCTGCTGTCTGCGCTGGACCCCAAGCTCCACTCTCCAATGTACTTTTTCCTCTCCAACCTCTCCTTCTTGGACCTCTGTTTCACCACGAGTTGTGTTCCCCAAATGCTGGTCAACCTCTGGGGCCCAAAGAAGACCATCAGCTTCCTGGACTGCTCTGTCCAGATCTTCATCTTCCTGTCCCTGGGGACAACTGAGTGCATCCTCTTGACAGTGATGGCTTTTGATCGCTACGTGGCTGTCTGCCAGCCCCTCCACTATGCCACCATCATCCACCCCCGCCTGTGCTGGCAGCTGGCATCTGTGGCCTGGGTCATTGGGCTAGTGGAGTCAGTGGTCCAGACACCATCCACCCTGCACCTGCCCTTCTGCCCCGATCGGCAGGTGGATGATTTTGTCTGTGAGGTCCCAGCTCTAATTCGACTCTCCTGTGAAGACACCTCCTACAATGAGATCCAGGTGGCTGTTGCCAGTGTCTTCATCTTGGTTGTGCCTCTCAGCCTCATCCTTGTCTCTTACGGAGCCATTACCTGGGCAGTGCTGAGGATTAACTCTGCAAAAGGGCGGAGGAAAGCTTTTGGGACCTGCTCCTCCCATCTCACTGTGGTCACCCTCTTCTACAGCTCAGTCATTGCTGTCTACCTCCAGCCCAAAAATCCCTATGCCCAAGAGAGGGGCAAGTTCTTTGGTCTCTTCTATGCAGTGGGCACTCCTTCACTTAACCCTCTCATATACACCCTGAGGAACAAGGAGGTAACCAGGGCATTCAGGAGATTGCTGGGGAAGGAAATGGGGCTCACACAAAGCTGAGGGAGAGCTGCTTAATGTGCTTTAAAAGAGAGGAGATTCTATGTGCTTTTATCAGAAAGTTTGAGTTCCCTGCCCCTCTGCCTTCTTCACACCCATTACATTGTGGGAATGGATGAAAGCCACATGTCTGTGTGTGTGCATGTATGTGTGCAAGAGACAGCGACTGAAATGTAGTAAAGGGAGGTATCTTTATGCGAAAAATTATAGGCATCAAGTATATTTTATATTTTTTTCTACTTTAAGTCTTCGCCTCCATAGTCATGTTCCTACCTTTATCACTTCCATTTTTAATTCCCCTCCCTTGCCATATCCCCACTATTCCTTCACCTCCAATTCTAATTCCTACCATATCTTCTTTGCTTCTCCCTCATGTTTTTCCCACTTCACTATATGTCTGTTTTGTATTCTCATTCTATTTTATTCCTCAAATAACAGCAAAAGAGAAGGGGAAGCTGAAGCCCAGCTAAGTTCGGAAACTCACCCAAGAACACACAGTGTCCACAGCATCAGAACTAAAATCCAGGCCCCATAATTTTCAGTCAGGCAACTCTCAAATACACACTGTTGCTTTCACACCATAATCAAATATCCCAGTATTTCAGGCTTGAGCCTTACAAAGGAAACTTAGCTTCTTCAGTCCTATTTCTTCTCTTACAATGCCCACAAATCGCAGGTAAAGGAGCAGCCAAAAAGACACAAAAATATCTTCATGTTTAGGCTGGCACATTGTGGACCTTGGTGTCATCTACCGGCCAAATATGGTATTGCATGTGACATCCCAGACTTCTGCTCCAGGGTCATCCGAACTGTACTTTGCTCAAAGACATAGATATGGTTATGATACTATAAGCATTTATGTAATTGTTATGTTAACCCAAGTAACACTTAAAGTACAGATGCTCCTTGACTTATAATGATGTTACCTCCCAAAAAACCTATCATATACTGAAAATATTGTAAGTTGAATATGCATTTCATACACCTAACCTACCAAACATCATAGCTTAGCCTAGCCTACCTTAAACATACTCAGAACACTTACATTAGCCTACAGTTCAGCAAAATCCTCAATACAAAGTCTATTTTATAATAAAGTTTTGAATATCTCATGTAATTTACTGAATACTGTACTAAAAGTGAAAAAACAGAATGGTTATATTGGTACTCAAAGTACGGTTTCTACTGAATGTATCTCTTTTGCATTATTATAAAGTCAAAAAATGGTCAAAGTCAGGAACCCCCTGCAATTTACACATATTGACTTATTTAACCCTTATAACAACACTATGAAGCAGATAATATTATTATCCTTTTTCAGAGGTAAAAACTAAAACACAGAATTTATGTTACCACTTGCAAATGTGCAAGACAGGATTTGAACCCAGGAAAACTGGCTCCAGACTCCTTGCTCTTAACCTTGCCTTTTGGTAAAAATAATGCCTCCCAGGCCCAGGTGAAAAGCTTCAACTTCTCAACAAGCTTTGAGGAAATCATTTCAATCTAAAACTATATCTAAATGATCCCCCAGCCGAAGGGGTTTCACTTCCTTAAAATAAGAGTTTTTCAAATACTTCAAAGCATAAGAAACAACAGAACAATAAAACTTTTGGAAAAAGTTGTGTTACAGTTCATTGTGTGTGTGTTTCTGGCTTAGTTCACCCACTAGATTTCAGGCTCTCAGAAGGCAAGGACCAGAATTTTGCATAAAATTGGCACCCAGTTTTATAAATGTATAAGTGAATGAATGAATGAATGAATGAATCTTACTCTCCAAAGAGAATATATAAAAGGTTCTGGGGTTCCAATCCCACATACGCTGTCTCCCAGCTTTTCCCTGGCAAGGGCAGCAATACCAAATTCCCTTTTGAGTACACGCCGATAAAATAAGAAAAAGGAAAATCTTAGTTTTATTTCTAGTTCCAACATAAAATGATTTTGATTCAACATTTATCCTGGCATCAGCACAGAACAGCAACATTAATTCTATTATAATCCTAATCTTTATCCTAGCCATCCTTGTGTTAATCTTATTGTCTCCTTGACCTCGTTATTAGAGCATATTCTAATCTTAATGTAGAGCCCCCATTTTATATTTAATAATCCTAATCAGTCAGGCGCAGTGGCTCACACCTATAATCCCAGCACTTTAGGAGGCCAAGGCGGGCGGATCACGAGGTCAGGAGTTCGAGACCAGCCTGACCAACATGGTGAAACCCTGTCTCTACTAAAAATACAAAAAAAAAACTAGCCTGGCGTGGTGGCGTGCTCCTGTAATCCCAGCTACTTAGGAGGCTAAGGCAGGAGAACCTGGGAGGCGGAGGTTGCAGTGAGCCGAGATCATGCCACTGCACTCCAGCCAGGGCGACACAGTGAGACTCTATCTCAAATAATCATAATCATAATCATAATCTCAGCCCTACAGGTAAGGCTAAGCTTAATTCCACTTTTCAAATCACTGTAGTAAGACCTTTTTTTCATGACCCCCTCTATCTGCTTTCTCTTACTGGCACCTAGAAATGTCTACACTTTTCTCCTGTTTATCATCTCCCTACAGCCAGAGGCTATAATGTTTGTATATAGTAAAATCGTTTCTAGACTGACTCTAGGGGAAATGCAACAGAGAATTAAATAAAGCAGTCTAAAAGAATCTGCTTTGTTGAATAAATGGTTTAACATAGGACTTAGGACTAACATCTCTTATCCTAAATTCATTGTTTCCATGTGACAGTCATCTATTGGATACTCTGTGAGAAAATCCAATATAAAGTTACTCAGTCACAACCCCCACAATGTCCAGTGAAAATAGGGATGGTCAGGCACATAGTGCCAGCATACATGACAGTTACACAACTGAATTGGAGCAAATAAGAGTCTACAGGAATACAGAATTAAAGAATAATGTGTGTGAGTGCTTGGAGCGGCAGTGATCATGGAAGCCTCTTAGAGGTTTGAACCACAGAAGAGTAAACAAAATAAGAAGTATTTGCTGACTGTGTAGAAATGAGATGATGCAAAGACCCCCTTTTTAGGGGCTTGGGGACTCCTAAGCATGGAAATAAAGCAAAATCCTGTGTTTCTTCAAGGAAAATTCCAGGCACCTAGCTGGCTCTGAGAAATAAGTAGCAACTTGAAAAGCAACAAGGTAATAGCAGCCTAAGACAATAGCCAAGGAAGTTAAGCGTTCTGAATAGGTTTGCTTTCCTCATAGAAACTAAAGATAACCTCTTAACATATGTCTCTGCGTTGTCTCTCAGAAACTCGGAACCCCACCAAATGAATCTGCTGGCATAGACCTCAGAGGACAGGAAAATGACTGAACTTTATAACCATCATCCTTTGTTCTAAGTTTCTTCCTGAGGAGCTTGGAGAAAGTAACACCTTCTAGGCAGTTAACATTTTTCTACTGGACCCCAAATTTTTAAACAAAGGTTCTCTTCCTTAACTAATTGCAAATTTGGGGTTTTTTTGTTTTTGTTTGAGACAGGCTTTTGCTCTGTTACTTAGGCCAGAATGCAGTTGCAGTCGTAGCTCACTGCAGCTTAACCACCCAGGCTCAAGCAATTCTCCTGCCTCAGCCTCTAATTAAAAAAAATTTTGTGTGTGTAGATACAGAGTCTTGTTATGTTTCGCAGGCTGGTCTCAAACTCTTGGCCTTAAGGGATCCTCTCTCCTTGGCCTCCCAAAGTGCTGGGATTACAAGCATGACCCACACCTGGCCAGAAAAATCTTTGAATCTACCTATAACCTGTAAGTCCCTGATTCAAGATATCCCACCCTTTTAGATCAAAACCAATGTGGAGGCCGGGCACGGTGGCTCACAGCTGTAATCCCAGCCCTTTGGGAAGCAATGTGGGCGGATCATGAGGTCAGATCAAGACCATCCTGGCTAACACGGTGAAACCCCATCTCTACAAAAAATACAAAAAAAAAAATTAGCCAGGCGTGGTGGTGGGTGCCTATAGTCCTAGCTACTCGGGAGGCTGAGGCAGGAGAATGGCATGATCCTGGGAGGCAGAGCTTGCAGTGAGCCAAGATCACACAGCTGCACTCCAGCCTGGGCAACCGAGCAAGACTCCATCTCAAAAAAAAATGTGGAACCTCTATGCACTGATTTCCAATGTTCCTTGTAGCTTCTGCTTTTCTGAAATTTACCCCTGCCTTTTTTTGTTTCCTGTTTTTTGAGACAGGGTCTTGCCGTGTTGTCCAGGCTGGAGTGCAGTGGCATAATCATGGCTCAGTGCAGCCTCAACCTCCTGGATTCAAGGGATCCTCTCACCTCAGCCTTCTGAGTGGCTGGGAGTACAGGCATATGCCACCATATTTGGCTAATTTTTTTATTTCTTGTAGAGTTGGGGTCTCACTTTGTTGCCCAGGCTGTTCTTGAACTCCTAGGTTCAAGTGATCTTCCTGCCTCAGCCTCTCAAAGTGCTGGGATTACAGGTGTGAGCCACTGCACACTGCCTTACCCCTGCCTTTAAAAACCCATGTTACAATAGTTAGTCAGACACGAGCAGGGCAGGAAAGGGCCTCCTTCCCCACCAGGAATGTCAGGCAACCATCAGGTGATAGGCGGTTGTTAAGCTGTCTCTCTAAAATAATCATTGGTCACAGCCTGTGCCAGGGAAAAACAGTCTCCCAATAAATAGAAAAACCTGAAACTAAGATCTCAGGAGTTGGGCAAGTGGGCTCATGCATGGGCACTAAGGGAGAAATGACAGCATTTAACTGGTTTATAACCTTATAGGAACACTCCCTGGTAAGGGAAGAATGCCTCAAGTCAGCATGCATACTACTCCAGTAAACATACCGTGCATGCAGCCCCTCCCAAGCACTAGCAGGCCACTGTACATGCAGACAGCCCACCCCAAGGGAAGATTCAGGGGAGAAGGGACCCTGGAACCCTGCCAACATATAAAACCCTAAGTCAAGGTCAAAACCACGCACTTGATCTCTCAAGTTGCCTGCTTGGCCCCCTTCCAAGTTGGCTTTACTTTATTTTGTTCCTGCTGTAAAGCTTTTTAATAAACTTTTACTCCTGTTCTAAAATTTGCTTCGGTCTCTTACTCTGCTTTATGCCCCTCAGTCAGATTCTTTCTTCTGAGGAGGCAAAAATTGAGGTTGCTGCAGACCTGTACAGATTCGCAGCTGCTAACATATTTTCATGCCATGTAACTCTGATACATTCTGCCGCTAATACCCTTGCCTGCAAGACATCAGGGAGGCCAGGACTTGAGTGTTTAGCTGCCTGGTCCTCCCTGCGTAGTGTCCTGCAACAAATGCCTTTCTTTCTATTGGTGCAATCCTTGGTGTAAGTATCTGGTTTTATTGCACCAGGCAAGCAGACCCCAGTTTGGTTCTATAACAGAAAAGGCTAAAGACAAAAATAAGCATGTTGTGCATTAAGATAGGGAGATGTGGGGGAAGGAGTTACACCGAGGAGCAAAATGATTAAGCAGGAAGGTAGAGATTATTTCAGAAAGATACAGAAGCTACTGAATTGAATACAACCAGAAAAAAAAAAAAAAAAAAGGATCCCTTACAGATGTTTCAAACCTACATGATTTAGGTCTCCTGAGGGCAGGCACTTAACTATTCATTCTAACATGACATGTGAGTTGGAAGCCTTAAAGGAACATTATTCAAGAACCTCGTCTCTACTAAAAATATGAAGTCTCTAATAAAAATTAAAAAGTCTCTACTAAAAATACAAATAATAATAATAATAATAATAGCCAGGGCTGGTGGCAGGTGCCTGTAAACCCCTTGCTTGGGAAGCTGAGGTAGGAGAACCACTTGAACCCAGGAGGCGGAGGTTTCGGTGAACCGAGATCACGCCACTGCATTCCAGCCTGGGAGTTAGAGTGAGACTCCATCTCAAAAAAATAATAATAAAATAAAATAAACCTCAAACGTCTGAAGGGCTCACCGAATCATGAATAGATGCTTATGTGTAGGGCCCAGCCCTGTCTTATCCTTCTATCTCCCAGGGAAGGGGAAACCTTCTGGCTCCTCCTATGCAGAATTAATCGCTCACCCTTGAAGGGTACCAGTATATGCCACCTCAAACTATCTTTAGCATGTGGATTATTTTGAGCTAACAATTGAAAATCATCAGACTAGTGAATGCTGTAAAACAGGATACAAGTTTTCCTTTTGTAAATAAATTCACATCTGTAAAGGTACAACTCTTACTAATGGAGAAGACATCAGTTTAAATCTACATAACAAACCTTTTCTATCTGTAAAGGTACAACTCTACTAATGGAGAAGACAGTTTAAATCCACATAACAAACCTTACTAAACCACTTTGTTCCATATTTTCCTGGTCACTTTCCCATAACTTGCCTGCCCATCTACCACTCACCCAGAAGCCCCAAACTCCTTTTCCTTTACCTAGCCAAGATGTTATACAGTTGCTAAGAACAACACGATTTGAACTCCATGGATTCACTCACACATGATTTTTTTCAGTAAGTATATTGAAAATTTTTGGAGATTTGTGACAATTTGAAAAAACTCACAAACCACATAGCTTAGAAGCACTGGAAAAATTAATGGGCCAGGTGCTGTGGCACATGCCTGTAATCTCAGAACTTTGGGAGGCCAAGATGGATGCATTGCTTGAGCTCAGGAGTTGGAGACCAGCCTGGGTAACATGGGGAAACCCCATCTCTGCAAAAAAAAAAAAAATTAACTGGGCATGGTGGCACGCACCTGTAGTCCCAGTTACTAGGGAGGCTGAGGTGGGAGGATCTCTTGAGCCCAGGTGGTTGAGGCTGCAGTGAGCTGTGATTGCACCACCTCACTCCAGCCTCAATTAAAAAAATAAATAGGGCTGGGCACGGTGGCTCACGCCTGTAATCCCAGCACTTTGGGAGGCCGAGGCAGGTGAATCACGAGGTCAGGCAATCGAGACCATCCTGGCTAACACGGTGAAACCCCGTCTCTACTTAAAAAATACAAAAAATTAGCCAGGCGTGGTGGCACACACCTGTGATCTCAGCTACTTGGGAGGCTGAGGCAGGAGAAACGCTTAAACTCAGGAGGCGGAGGTTGCAGTGAGCCGAGATGGTGCCACTGCACTCCAACCTGGGCGACAAAGACTCCATCTCAAATAAATAAATAAATAAATAAGAGAAAAGTATGTCATGTGTAAACCAAAAATAAAATTCTAAGCCCCCTAACTGACAGGAAGAAAGGTAAGACATGCCAATGATACCCTCCTTCCTCTGGAGTTTAGGGACAACTGACCAGCATTAACATTACAATAGAGATCATAAGACTGACAAAAGATTCTCTGTAGCAATAAAATAGTCAACTCCAACCTGACTCTGATACAGCATCACACCACAGATAGCAGGCCCTGAAGGAAATCAAAGTATTTTACCCCAAAATATACTTATTTGACATTTTGAAATGACTCTGCAAAGCCATTTCTTGTCATGGGGATTTGCATTTTGTAGAGAATCCCCTTCCCCTTCCAGGTCTTTTTCTGATCCAGGAGGGATTTTACTAATGAGTCTGACATCTTTTAAGGTGCGATAAGAAACATTTACCATCTATTCTTTCTGAGGCCTGGAAGCTTCATCTACGTAACAAGAATCTTTGCTTCCACAAACATCTCCCCCAACGCCACCTCCACGCCCCCTTAACTCAAGCATTTCTTTCTGCTGACTTCAACTCTTTAGGCAGGGCTTAACTTTTTCAACCAATTGGCAATCAGAAAATCTGAATCCCCCTATGACCTGTGAGCTCCCTTGCTTCGAGATGTCCCGCCTTTCTGAGCTGAACCAATATATACCTTACATGTATTGATTTATGTCTTTGTCAGCAACTTCTGGCTCCCTAAAATGTATGAAACCAAGCTGTAACCCAACCACCTTGGGCACATGTTCTCAGGAACTCCTCAGAATGGCTCAGAATAAACCTCTTCAAATATTTTACAAATTTTACTTTTTTCATCAACAAATAAATGTATAAAATATATGTAGATACTACCAAAAAATATACACAAATCTACTATAAAAACCAAAAATTTGGCCAGGCACTTAGGGAGGCTAGGTGGGCAGATTGCTTGAATCCAGGAGTTCATGACCAATCCGAGCAATATGGTAAAACCCCATCTCTACTAAAAATACAAAAAATTTGTCCGGCATGGTGGCATGTATCTGCAGTCCCAGCTACCCAGGAGGCTGAGGTAGGAGGATCACCTGAGCCTAGGAGGTTGAGGCTGAAGTGAGCCAAGATCACGCCACTGCACTCCAGCCTGGGCAACAGAGTGAGACCATGTCTCAAAAAATAAATAAAATTTATCAAAACTTACGCACACACTTACAGACCATACATAAGCCACTCAAAGTCAAGAGAAAGCTTAACAAAAGATGCAGAATTAAATCATAACGGCATAAAATTAACTGTAGTGTATACTGTTCTACTGTAATTTGATAGCCACCTCCTCTTACTATTGCAAAGAGCTCAACTGTTGCAAGTATCTGCCTAAAATGCCAAGTGACACTAATCATCTCTGCATGAGCAGTTCATCTATCCAGTAAATTGTGTATAGCAGTAAAGAGTGGTCTCTCAAGATTCTTGCATATATTTCATCATGTCTAGAGCAATACTGTGAACCTTAAATAACACCATAGGGCCCATATGAAGTGCCAACAGTGATGCTGGAAGTTCTCCCAAGAAGCAAAGTCATGACTCTATAAAAAGTTGAATTGCTTGATATACACCATAGATCAAGGTCTGTTGCTGGGGTTGCTGCCATTTCAGACAGACGATTCATCATGTAAATGATGTAAACTTAAGGCATCAATAAATACAGTATAGTACCCTATATGTATTTTCCTTACAATTTTCTTGATAACATTTCCTTTTCTCTAGCTTACTTTATTATAAGAATACATATATAAGATGTATAGCATACAAAATATGTGTTGATCAACTGTTTACACTACTAGTAAGGCTTTCAGTCAACAGTAAGCTATTAGTAGCTAAGTTTGGAGAGAGTCAACAGTTATGTGCAGATTTTCGTTTGTGTGTGGGGTCAGTAACCCTAAACCCCAAGTTGTTCAAGGGGCAACTATATGAGCTCCAAATTCTTTTTTTTTTTTTTTTGAGTCAGAGTCTCGCTCTGTCAACCAGGATGGAGTGCAATGGCGCGATCTCTGCTCACTGCAACCTCCGCCTCCCAGGTTCAAGCAATTCTCCTGCCTTACCCTACCGAGTAGCTGGAATTACAGGTGCCTGCCACCACACCCGGCTAATTTTTGTATTTTTAGTAGAGACAGGGTTTCACCATGTTGCCCAGGCTGGTGTCAAACTCTTGACCTGAAGTGATCCCCCAGCTTCAGCCTCCCAAAGTGCTGGCATTACAGGCATGAGCCACCACACCCAGCCATGAGCCCAAATTCTAACTGCCCCTTTGCATTGTTCACCACTGGGTACTCCCATGTGTACATGCATGAAGCAAATGTTAATAAACTTCTATTTGTTTTTCTCTCATTAATCTGTCTTATGCCACTCTAATTTACACAGCCACGGCTGGAGAACCTAAGACAGGAAGAGGAAAAGGATTTTCTTTCCTACACTCCCTACACACACCTGGGGAATGCACTCTGCAGGCCACATGACGTTGCTTCTGCATCTGTCTCCCTAGCTTTGCTGCATCAGTCCCAGTGTCCAGCCCACACAGGCCTCAGTACATGTCCCTATCACAGCTGCTGCTGGTGCTGAACTCACCTTCCAGGAGAGTCTCCAGCATATCCTTCCACACTCCAGGGAGCCATGTAAGTGGATGCCATACTGGTTAAATATTTTGAGTAGCATCCCATTTGAGGGAAGCTGTCACTTAACATGAACCCACCATAAGGTGGCTAATGAATAGCACCTTTCTGCCTGCCTTCAAGTGACAGCCTCCCTTAACATGAAGCCTACCTTTTGGTAAGCTTCATGTCAAGTGATAGCTTCCCTCAAGGGCAAAGTCACAGAATTATCTGTTTCAAAAGCCTGAGTGGATAAACAAACTGTTGCCTATCCAGGGTGTCCTAAAACTACCAAGGACTGTGGGAGGAGCAATTGGCAGGACCATCTTCAACACTTCCCATTTTCTGCTGGGGTGAGATCACAGCTGGCCCCCAAGCATCCAGAGGAATCCAGGGCCTGGTAAGAGGCTGTATGACAGCAAATATACAAGGCTAGGGTGCTCAGCTCAGAGGGCGGACAAAGAACATGTTAAAGTGAAGTGAACACTGGCTTTGCAGCAGGCAGACCAGATGCAGCAGACTGCTTTTACCAAAGCAGCCTGCAACACACATTTGTCCCATTCCACATGTTCTCTTTACAGTGTGACTTACGCTCATCCCACCAACAGGTGAAGTGTTTCCTCTCCTGAACCTAGGCATGGCCTTGTGACTGCTTGGACCAGTGGAATATCTCAGAAGTGATGCTACGTGACTTTCAAGGCTTTGTCAGGGAAAAAAAAAATACAGCTTAAACCTGGCTGACTCTCTACAACTGCCTCCACTTGCCTTTGGAACTGTCATTAGGTCATGAGGAATACCAGGCCACATGGAAAGGTCATGTGTAGGGGTCTCAGCTGACAGCCAATACCTCCTTTAGATGCTGAGTGAAGGATCTTTTGGACAACAACCCTCAGACTTCAGATCTTCCAGATGCTGTGGAGCAGGGTGAACCCTCCCCACTGTACCCTATCTGAATTTCTAGCCCACAAAAACCATGATGGATAATAAATGATTATTGTTGTCTGAAGCCATTTAGGGTAACAGGTTTTGTGGCAATAGATAATAATATATGCAGTTTGAATACTGGCTTTGCTCCTTAGTTTTGTGACCCCAGAAAATGAACACACAGTCCCCTTGCTTTTAGATTTGTCCTTCACACCAGAGCTAATGGCTGTGAGATGCCCAACACTCCTGGTTGCTCTCTTAAGTGATCTCGTTTGTTTTTCTGCTTACTGGTCATCTTCCCACGTCGAGAAGGTACAACGCTTGAAAGCCATCTTACTCACCATTTTGCCTCAGTGCCAAAAAAAGCACCTGCCACAGCAACTCACCATCAACACTTGTTGAAGATCACCTAACTAATGTAGCAGCCAAGTGCACACAAAGTGCTCTCTACTGGTAGACAACCAACAGGAGGGCAGGGAGGCAACAGGCTAAGTCAGGGAAAAGCAGGGGACATGGAAGCCTGCAGGCAGTCTACATTCTAGGACATTCCAGAGTTAGAAAGTGATCTGAACCCTACCCAAAGGCAGGTCTGAAAGGCAAAGCCTGCCTCACAGTGCACAGGGAGCAAGTCCTCCCAGAACTGCCAAGCGGTAGCCTCTCCACCTGGCAACACATCTCCTTTGCACCCCTTGGGGTACAATTATATATTAATTATATATCATTGTGTGTGTGTATATGTATATATGTGTGTGTGTATGTGTGTGTATATCTCATTGTAATTATATATAATGTACTAATAATTAGTATTAGTGCTAATCAATAGCACCATTCACCCTGAAAAGACACTTTCAGAAATGAATACATGAAGTCTCATTGTAGATAAGCATTGACAGATGAACATTTGCAACTGATCTTAATCATCAGGAACATTAACTGTGAACTCAAATAAGTAGTTATCTCAAAATTGTTTTTCTTATTAGTAGGAGGCCTGTATGAAAAATAGTGCTCAGTCATGTTTTAAATTTGGCCAGTAAAAATCTTACAAGTTCTCTTCTAAGTACCTTTTTAATATTCTCAATCTCACTCCTTCCCACCCCTTTGCACTGGGCACTCTGCTAGCCGCACCGTTTGGCTCTCGACTCCTGCACTCCTGCTAGCAGAGTGTCTGGCTTACCTTTGGCCACAGTAGAACTTTTCACCCTTTGTTTATAATTTACAGCCCACTTAAGTGCAATGCAAGTTTGAGATGATAATTTGGGTCTTTTAGGTTCTACCCAGGGCTGTTCTATAGCTCCTGCTACTGTTGTTTCTTTTTTTTTTTTCTTTTTTTTTTTTTTTGAGACAGTCTCACTCTGTCGCCCAGGCTGGAGTGCAGTGGCACAAACTCACTGCAACCTTCATCTCCTGGGTTCAAGCAATTATCTGCCTCAGCCTCCCGAGTAGCTGAGATTACAGGCACCCACCATCACGCCCAGCTAATTTTTGTATTTTTAGTAGAGACAGGGTTTCGCCATCTTGGCCAGGCTGGTCTTGAACTCCTGACCTCGTGATCCACCCACCTCAGCCTCCCAAAGTGCTGGGATTACAGGCGTGAGCCACCACACCCAGCCTCCTGCTGCTGTTCTGATGCCAACTATTCATTTTCCAAACTGCAGGCTTATCTACTCCATAGACTTCTTCTCTTTTCCTAGCGGATATTTCACTGTGGGAAGAAGAGAGACTCAAATTAAGTCCAACTGGTCCAAGGTGGATAATCACAGTGGAAAGTTTTTCAAGTACTGGTCTAAGATTCAACCAGCCCATGCTTTAGTGGAAGTTCAGAAATTGGCTCTTAACAGGTCAGTGAATGACAGGGCCCATCCAACCCTTGCAGCTGTCTTACAAAAATCTGAGAATCACTTTAAAAATCAGTGCCAAAATAAAAGAAAATTTGAGCTTCAAAAAAGCACTCTCCAAGATGACACAAAAAATGTTTAAAGTCTCAGGCAAATGTTTTTGCCCTTGTCCATTCAAGATTTTTTTTCAGTTTGATAGCAAATTATTTCCAAGATGCTCAGAGTTCCTAAACAAAGATGTTTAAGGTTGGAAGCACTCAGCAGCCATCTCATCCATTACCTTCTAGCAGTCATCATTCTTTTACTCTTCTTAGTTCCTGGGAAGGAGCGTCCCTAGAGGGGATGCTTAGGCACTTGCTCCAGGCTCCCAATACATGCCCACTACTGTCAAGGAACTCATTAAACAGCAGGGACAGAGGCTAACATTCACGCAACATATACCATGGCCCAAGGGCCAACCTAGGCACCTGAATGCACAATTTATAATAGTCTTTGTACCCAACCTATGGAGGAATGTATTACTGTTATTCTCATTTTCATAAATGAGGACATGGGGAATAGAGACTAAGAAAATGTTTGCATGTGGTTGGATCTGATACCCTGGCAGTCTGACTCCAGAGCCCACACTTTTAACCAGTAGTGTCCTCACTCACTAATCTCAGACTTAATCATGTCCTGCTTCATTCTGCTAAGCCCTCAATGGATCAATAAAACACCTCTTTTCACCCTCCGCTTTAATGCCTTTTCATGAACTTGGAGTCCTCTGAACCTCCCTTCTTGGATTGAAGCCCATTCTGTTCACAGGAAGACTGCAAGGTGCCGAGTCACACTGTTCACTGGTTTATTGAGATTCGGGGAGATCCTTCCCCAAGAGACACCACAGTGTGAAAGGGACACCACCTCCCACCCCATAGGTCCATCTGTCTATCCCAACAGTCAAGGGTGCCTTCCTTTGGTCAGGATTCTCATCAACTATCCACTGGAAGCAGCTCTCCAAACCTGCCCCCACTTATTTTTCCTTAATTCCCCTCAAAAAAACACAAAACAAAAGGGAGCAGTCTTGGGAGAAGATGATTGTGAGTGTAGACTGAGGGTAGTACATGAATGCAATGGAGATGGGGGGAATCTGAGCAGAAATGGAGATTCTGTGACAAGGAGAGGGTGTGGATGGCCCCACCAAACATGAATTGGGGAAAAGTGCATAACAATGTGCAGGGTAGGGTACATATGGCTCTGTCAGAAGAATACCATGATTTAAGGGAAGAAAGTACACAAGGTACATGGAGGGTACACAGGGAAAGTACATGGATAAACATGGACGTGTGCAAATAGGAAAGACATGACTCAGCATGCTAGACAAATTGCACATGCCTACCCAAACACGCTCAAGGGCAGACCCATGACCATGAGAGGGGCACACGTAGCTGTGAATGCAGGGCACCCGAGAGCACATGTGACTGAACATGAAGAAAGCATACGGGAAAAGCGTGTGTACACATGAGCATGTTCAGTGGGCACACGCAGGAGAGGGGAGGATGCATGTGTGCTGAGCGTGAGTGCACAGAGCAGAGGCAAGGAGCATGTGAGCCTTGGCGAAAAGAATGAGCTCCCAAAGGAAGCAAAATTCAGGGGGAGCCACATGTGAGAAAGTATAGAAGGGCAAGTAAGATGGAAAGAGATTATGACAGTGGAGAAAAGGAGAGGCCCCTTTGGGGTGGAAAGAGCACTTGTTGGGAGACCCCTGCTGGACAGGAACAGAGCACAAAGGCAGAGGAGCTGCAGGGGTTGCCGTGGTAACTAGAAGAGGGTGTTGCATGGGAAGAGAAAGATGCAGTGAGGCTGCTGAGGAGGCAGCGTGTGAGCAGTGAGCAGCTTCAAGCCAGGTACGAACTAAATTGTGAAGAGGTGATACAAAATTACATGAAGCAGTAAGAGAGAAAAAGGTCTGTTTCCCAGAGGTATGAGAGACCCAAATCAGCCCAGAACTCACAGGGGGACATGTATTTACAAGAGATGAGATTGGATAGCATGTTCTTCCCAGCTGGGGATGGGGACCCCCTGCTTCCTGAGTCCCCTGCCCTTCCCCTCTCCCTTTCCCTCCCCCTACTGGCCTGTCCTCCCTCACCCTACCCTCACTTATAAAGCAAATGCACTCGACTCCCATCACAGCTAAGCCGGTCGGGGGGCTCAGGGGGTCCCCTGGGCAGGCCCCCAGAGGGTTCTGGGGGTGTCGGTGGGTGGCGCCGGGAGCGGAGCTGCTGCCGAGACTGGAGTTGATGGCGCAGTTCAGAGACACGCTCCTCTTTCTGGAGGAAGAAGCACAATTGGGATAGTAGGAGAAGAGGAGGTGATGAAGGAGTGGGGAGGAGGGAAAGAGAGGAAGGGCACAGGGAAAGAGAGGAAGGGCACAGAAAAATGTAGGGGGAGGACGTAGGGTAAGTGGACAGAATAAATTAAAAGGAGAAATCAAAACAGAACAAGAAAAGCCAGAGAACATAAGGATACCGATAGAAAAAATGCGATCAGGGAAATAAGAGAGAATTTAAAAACAAAAGGAAAAAGTGGGGAAGGAGAGAAAAGTCAGTGCACAGAGCTTCCAATAAATCAGAGAGATGTGTCAACCCAGTTGGAACATCCCTCTCTTTGGCATTGCACCAGCCCCTAATGACAGCCTGGGGCACAGTGAACGCCTGCCCAGGTCCTTTATGCTGGGGCTGCATGCTACACCCAGCTGCTGTGAGTGTTGACTACTAGAGGCTCACAGCTGCCTCTCTCCAGTTGTCACCTACAGCCAACAGCCATCCTCTTGCCTTAAGGAGGCTGAGTCAACCACATAGCTCCCACTCCAGAGCCCTTCCACCTGCCAGGCCAACACTGGATTTTGCCTGAGATAGAATCTTGCTCAGCCCTTTCCCCTCCCCTATGCTGCTCCATTCACTCCTTACAGGTTGTCTCCTAGGACCCTCCCTCCATGAGCCAAGAACATCTGACCCTGTATCTCAGGCTTGGCTTCAGACAACCCAAGCTAAGACGCAAGCCTCCTGGACCACTCCAACACCCTACCCTGACACCCACCCCCGCACCTCAGCAATGATCTTTTCCAGTTCACGGTTCTCCTTCTCCAACAGCCGGGACTTCTCCTCCTCGTTGTTGTTGGTCGATGACCCTGTCTTCATGGTGTCCTGCGCCTCCGACTGCCATTCCCCTCGGGTGATCAGCCTGCGCATCTGGGGGCAAATGTTTGGGCGTGGGGTGGCCCAGCAAGGACTGTACTAGTGACTGGCTGATGGAAGGTTGGAGGTGGAAGGAATGCTGATAAGAGTTGGGCCCAAAACAAGGGGAGGAGTGAGAGGAGGGTGAACGGAAGGGCAGAGGAACTCAGTAATATAGGAAGGAGGGATGGAGGGAACATGGGAACAAAGAGGGTGGGAGAAAAGCCAGATCCTTACCTTGGGCACAAAGAGCACAACAAGAGTGATATAGGAGGAGAAAACTATGGCAAGAGAGGCAAAGGCAAAGGCTGCATCCTGCTGGCTGGACAGAATCATGGTGACAGGAGCAGTGATGAGGCACAGGACCTAGAGGGAAAGACACATTGAGGGAGTCTCAGGTCTGCAGGCTCAGACAAGATCCAGAGTTTACTTCCCATGGGAGGGAGTCTATGCAGACAGTTTCCTGGTGAACTTTCCCTTTGAAAAGGATCCAAATTCAGGATCATCCTCAAATATAGATTGAGAAAAATCTCAAACTGTCCCAAACCAGTTTTCACTCTTGGTTAACCCCTCCCCTCAAGGCAGGAACTCCCAGGATCTCTATGCACAGATTCCGGGTCCTCCAGAGTCGGTCCCTGGCAGGAAATGTCAATAGAGTCCAGCCCATTAACCACAGACAAGCAATTTAACGTCTCTGTGTTTCTGTTTCCTCACCTATAAAGTGGGGATACTAATATCTACTTCACTGGGTAGTTGCAAGATTAATGATACAATGTCTGTAGTGAGCTTTGTAAACTGTAAAGTGCTTTATAGACCTGAAGAATTAACAAACTTTTTAAGACTTCTAAGCAACCGATCCCAGATCTAGCATTGATTCTTCCTAGTCCTCTATATCTGGGCTGCTGTGGTCAGCCTACAGGGTCAATGCCATGGGGTCAGTGCTCACTGCCACATTGTAGATAGCCATGCCCACAGCCCGGTGATCATTGATCTTCTCAGTGGACACACTCTTGGTCTCATAAGCAAGGAAGATTCCCAGCAGCAGCAGCAGCCCCTTGTAACCATAGAAAATGCCTAGGATGGCAGGAGAGAGTCACTTGAGCAACAAGGACCACAATGCTCCTCACTCAATCCCCATCCCCTCTCTGCCCTTCACCTACTCTGAAATGGAAAGGGGGCCCTCCTCTCCAATCCAACCCCTCTGACCTAGCAAACCTCACCCTGTGTCCCCTATCCCTTATGTCCACCCAACTTGCCCAGACCACATCACTTTTTCCTGGGATTCACACAGGAAAGCAATGGTGGCAAGCTGCTGTCAGTCAGGCAAGGGCTTGTTGAATATCTAGAAATAGGCCAGTCTGGGCCACACATGCCTCACCCTTACCCTACAGGTGGGAAGGTGGCTTTCCAGGCAGAGGGTAGGTTTGCAATTTGTGACCATGAATCGAACAATGCTAATAAGGCCAAGGGGGATCTAAAAGATAATGTCAAGTCTGGAGGTGGGGTTACCCCCACTTGTTCCTCTGCTGAACACAAGTTCTTCATCTGTGCTTTCTGTGCTTTGGGCCCTAAGCTCCTCATAGCAAAAGAGCAACTCTCCCCTATTCTCAGAAAAGATTAGTGCAATAACAAAGAGTAGGGTGTTCAAACTGGGTTGACAAGCTCTCTACCTCCTCTTCCAAAGACCCCTCTCCCTCCAAGCCCTCTACCCCTGCCTTCCCTCCTGCCTTTGTGCATCCCTGCCCTCCTTTGCCCACATCCCACACACCAAGCCATGTATTCATCTTCCTGGAGCTGCAATGCTCCAGCTGGGGCAGAATAGAGACGTCAATATCTTCCTTAGGTTCCTCCTTGGCAAATGTCTAGGGCAGAAACAAGGTCACAAGAAAGATGGTTGCCAGCCTCCCCTCCTCTCCTCAACGCTTCTCAGTCTCTGGCTTCCAACTGTTTTCCTATGAGACCCTCAATGCTGATGCCAAATCTCATTCTAGGCCTAAGAATGTTTTCCTGAACCCTTGGAGGTGCTTGTTCCCCACTTTCCCTGATGCCTGGAAGTTCTACACACCCTTCCCAGATTCCCACCCCTTCCTTTCTTCAGCTGAATCTGGAGGCCTATGAGGGGCTCCTTCTAGGAAGGAAAGGAAGAGCTTCCAATACGAGGAAGGCACTCTCTCCAAGTAGCTTCATCCCTCAAGACACACACAGCCCCAGGGCCCTGATGGCCACTGAGCCCTGCTCATTCTCCTGACCATAGCACCTCCTCTCCAGTGGTACCTCAATGGTCCGGTGCAGAGGGTCCACGATCTGCCAGATGGCGAGAGTGAGGACATCCATGCCCACCAGCAGGCCCACTGTGGCATACAGCTTCCAGGGTTCCAGAGTCTGGATAAATATGTGGGGAGAACAGGCACGTCAGGGGAAAATGCTCTGTGCCCCAGGAGCCAAGGATCTGGGGGCTGAGGATTGGGCAGCAGCTCACCTTCCTCCACTCCTTCTTTTCTTCCTTCTTTGTGAAGACCGTGTGGACCCACCAAATCTTGGTGAACATGGAACCGTAGCCCAGACTAAAGCCCAGGCCCAGGAGCCAGAGGCGGGCCTAGAAAGGAAGAGAGGGCACAGGCAGAACAGGGTAGAGTAGTAGCCGGGACTGCAGTAAGGATGGGCAGAACCCTAAGGGAGAGTGGGCAGGGAGCACGGGCAGGGAGCTCATGGTGGCACAGGGAGGATGCGAAAATGTGAGCAGGACGGGGAGCGGCAGGAGGAGAGCAGTCTCCCCACCTTGAACAATTCCTCCCATCCACCCTCTACTTCCACACCACCAGGGTGATCTTGCTAAAACCTCCTGGCTTTAGTGGCCAAAAACCTCCAACCACTCCCCAATATCTATAAGTTATAGCCTGAACACTTCTGGATATGACACAGACCCTTCACAACATGCTCCCATCCACCTGTCCAGCTAGGCTCATCTCCCAGCCCCACACCTACCCCACGCTCCAGCCATGCTGAACTACTCACTTTCTCTTCATCTACTCTCTTTCATGTATTTTCTAGCCACACGATGCTCCCTATGCCCCTGAAGTAGCCTTCCTCTATTTCTCTAGCTGATAAAATCCTATTTGTCCTTCAGTATTCAAATGCCACCTCTTCAGTGAGGTCCACCCAATCACGCCAGCAGTGAACTGTGTTCCCTTCTTTGCCCCCAAAGCACTTTGTGCAGATCCCTACTCTGGAACCTCTCCTATTGCACTACAGCTAATTGTCTGCTTCTCCAGCTGCACTCTGGCCTCACTGGGAACAGAGGATTCCTGATGAACTGCATGTGCATGTGCATGGAAATGCCATGTGCACAGATGTATGATCAGGACAGCACAGAGCAGAGGAAAAAGAGAGAGCAAGGACAGGCAGGCAGATCAGGAGAAAGAGTGGGTGTTTCCACCAGTGGAAAAGAGAACCACTCAACTATCACTGTTGAAGCTGGCCTCTCCCCACAGCACTAGAACCTTCCATGTACCAACAGTCCCAGAGCCCCTCCTCCCTGTGTGGCAGTGGTCCCTTCCCCCCAACTCTCTGCTGTGTTTCCATCTCTGCTTCTATCCTTCCAAACCCAACAAAGGCTCCCAAAAAAAGTCCACAGTTCTGATTCTCAGCCCCCATACCACAGACAAGCCACCATTGTTCAGGAGACCTTTGAGCAGATCCCCTTCCTTTGCCTTCAATGGCTCCCTCCTCTTCTCTGCAAGGCCTGCCATGGCAACCTTGGAACTGACAAGTAAACTACAGAATGAAAATGGCCTGCAGACACAGAAAGAAGGGACAGAGCCAAACAGAGAACAGAGGGGTGATGCTAGAAGGAAAGAACAGGGACAAGAGTCAGGGAAAGCTGAGGAGGAAGGGCAGAGAATCATAAATCATGGAAGGTGCTCCTGAGACGGGTGGGAGAGTCACATCCTGTAAGGAATTTGCCCACCACCTCCTCACCTGGCAGACGAAAGGAAACTGGTTCCTCCCAATGTGGTAACCATCGAGCCCCAGGGGGAAGACAGCAGCTAAAGCCAGTGAGCAGCCCACAGCAGTCAGGTTGTTCAGGTTGGGCTGTGAGTTCTGGATATAACTAGGGCAGAGGTGGAGAGGGTGAGAGGGAGAGAGAATTACCCCTCTTCTCCAGGGAGGCTGAGCTCTCCAAATACCACGCAATGGCATGACCCTAATTTCAGGGCCAGGGGCTAAAGGAAGACAGGATTGGAGAAGACAGTGGAGCCTTGAGAGGCAGAGCAATGCAGTCATGGGGCTGAAGATGGAGTTGCAGAGGGCTTCCCAAGCACAGGCCCCCACTAGAATACAGGCTATTTATGTAGAGTCCAAGACTGTGAGACCTGGCCCCAAAGGTTGTTTTTTTCTCTTCTTTTCTTTTTTCCTCCCGTTAGCTACTTTGGAGTAGGAGTGGGGGTTATATCTGGTTTCCCTGTTTTCATTCTCAACAAGTCAGAATGAAAAACTCCATGATACATGGCCATGGGAGTTACACAGGTTTTATTCTCATCCTGTCCAGGAACATGATCAGTATCTCAGAGAGGCAGACAAGGAAAACGTCAGAAGAGAAACTTACCGGACATGTGAGTTGTAGATGTTAAAGGACAGACAGACAACAGCTAGGACAATGCCCAGGCTGGAGAGAACTGAGACGGAGATAAAGAGTTTCTGTGACAGGAAGCGGAATGTCTTGATGACCAGGGTCTGGTCAGCTGGGGGGGACCCTCCTGCATGGCACAGGGGAGGAAGAGGGGAAGGGAAAAGAGAAGGGAAGGAGGACAAAGGAATGAAGACGGGATAGGAGAAAAGGGCAAAGAACTAGATTGCTGATGGACATTCAGTCATTGGCTGGGGACATGAGGCCCTAACTGCACTGGACAGAGGTTACTGCAGGCAGAATGCTCAGTGCCACTGGGGCCGTTAGGAAGCAACCAGAAATGAGATGAGAAGATGGAGTGAATGGTCTATCCATAGGTTGGGAAATGCTGAGGCATGTCCCCAAAGTTGTAGTCTTTGTTTTTGTTTGTTCTTTAAGTTTTTCTGTCTTTCTTACAGCAAAGGAAAATGGGAGGAGAAAGAAGGGGATCATTAAAAAATGTTATAAGGTTTCTTATAACCCAAATCAAAGTTTTAAATGACAATTATGGAATCATAAAGCTAAAAAGGCCTTGAAGTATCTAGTGTGGACACCTATTCTTAAGACAAACAAAAAAAGAAGGAAAGCTAATCTGAAATTTTAATCCTGGCAGGGTAATATTCCCAAATATGTTTTCCAGTTATTATTAGGGGGAAGTTCAAATTTGTCAGAGTTCACCAAAAAAAACTAATTTCAATTTGCTTAGTTTTTTTTTTAAAGAATAATTTAGGCCATGCAGCATTTATAGCAATCCAGAACATTGTCCTAAATTCGAATTGTAAAAAAAAAAAAAAAAGGGCAAAACTCCAGCAGTGCTGGGAATGACTGGATATCTGCTGGGCAGGGCAGACGGCAGCCATCTTCAATGGTTGAGCCTCCCCTTCATTCTCAAGGAGGCTTTCTTTTATCAGTAGGTCCTTCCTTTTGTCCACCTTCAGTTTCTCTCCTATGTCCTATCATTTAGACCAAGTACACAAAGAATAACTGCTTGCTTTCTCTCTTTAAAAAGTATATTTTGAGGGATGTAATACTACCTATTAGGTACAAGGTGCACTGTTCGGGTGACAGGCACACTAAACGCCCGGACTTCACCACTATGCAATATATTCATGTAACACAACTGCACGTCTACCTCTAAATTACATAAAAATAGGAAAATTTTTAAAAATACATATAAAAATAAAAAGCACATTTTGGCAGATGACAATTACATGAGGTTTTCCCTCCTCCTCCATAGTTTAAGCAACCGTTTTCCTGACAGAGACAGACAAAGAGACAGCTCTGGGCTTGAAGTAGCTGGTTCAAATATATCAAGACACCAGGACATCTGGGAAACCCAAATGGAGTTTCCATTTCCCGCCCTCTGCCCACCCCCTGCCTCTAATCCCCAGTTACCCCAGCAATGCACCATTAAAAATAGTACTAACCACCGCCTATTCCCTCTCCAAATACACCAGTCTCCCCTACCCACGCCTTAGGGGTTGTATTCACTCTCACTTAACCCTTTCTCCTGGCCCAGCTGCCAGCCACATTCCAACCTAACAGTCTCTACCATTCCATCCTCACTCAAAGGCATGACTTTTTCCCTTGACTGTCGAGAGGGGCTGAAGGAAAATACAAACAAGATCCACTCACCAATCCATTTATCTGTTTTGGACCAGGAAAGATCATCCTTGGTGCTGTCATAGTAGCCAATCTTCTTGTAGCTGCCACCTGGGCAGACGACAATAAAAGGAGTGACCACAGGTAGCCAAAGAGCTGATCCTAGGCATTTTCAACTTCCCACTTCCCTAGAGCTTTGCATGGTTGTATCTGATTTTATTTTCACCTGAGGCCCTAAGGATGCTTGGAAGGACCTACGAGACTCTTGAATCAGCAACATGACTTAAAAGCAATATAAGGTGGTTCCCAAGACAACTCAAATAAATAAGAATATCTATGTTTAAAAGTCTTCAGTGAGGAGGCTCCACAACATGTCTGCCACCTATTCCATTCCTCACACCTCTCTCGGCGAGATGTCTCTCACTTTGATTTTGGCTTCTAAAGCTTTACACATATTTCTGCTTATTCTTCCTCTCATGATGGGCAGGCTCTATTTTCCCAGTGGCTTTCATTTTAATTTTAGAACATTCTCTTCTGTTGGCTTGGGTTTTAATTCCTTGGATAAGTTATATCTGCCTCTTAAAGCGCCATTGAGTAAAATTTGGTCATTTCTAAGATTTCTGTTCTAGAACTGTTTCCGTTACCATAACTTTTCCTTCAAAAGCCAACTCACACTCCTTTCACCATGGCTGAAGTCCATTTCCTCTTGTCCTGGATACAAAGAGGAGCTGAAAGGATGTGGAGGTGGGGAGAAAGGAAGAAAGAAACTTTTCACAGGAGGCCAAGAAATAGCTCTCTTGGCCATGCCGTAAAAGACTGAGAGCCGAGTGGAGCAGAAAAATTAACTCCTAGAAGTTCTGCAAATACCTGTGTGCTAAGTTTCAAGAAAATACAATCTACAAAAGCCAAGCTATACACATTGAAGCTTTACACAGCAAGGAAATTTGGCAGATTCCCTTAAAAAAAAAATAGCGGTTCTCCTAGATTCAGCTTTCTTGAGTCTAACTGACAGGTCATCAACCTCTCAACCCAAGCCACTCAAGGGGAAATTCCTGAAATTAATGGAAGCCACTGGGAAAGAGAGTAGCTGTTTTTAATTTGCATGTCTCTTTTCTTTTCTTTTTTCTTTGAGACAGAGTCTTACTCTATCACCCAGGCTGGAGTGCAGTGGCGTGATCTCAGCTCACTGCAACCTCTGCCTCCTGGGTTCAAGTGATTCTCCTGCCTCAGCCTCCCAAGTAGCTGGGACTACAGGCACCTGCCACCACACCCAGCTAATTTTTTTTTTTTTTTTTGTATTTTTGGTAGAGACAGGTTTCACCATGTTGGTCTGGCTGGTCTCAAACTCCTGACCATGATCATGATCTGCCTGCCTTGGCCTCCCAAAAGTGCTGGGATTACAGGGGTGAGCCACCACACCCAGCCTGCACACCTCTTTTCAAGAGCAAAACCAGTGCAACTCAAAGACATCAATCTTCTTGTAGTTAAGCTTATTATTATTATTATTTACAAGCTTGATGAACAGAGTTAAAAGAGAAGGGCAGAAGTTGGGAGGTGCCAGGGCAATCTTGTGATGTCTCTGGCATTCTTCCCCAGGGGGCATCCCAGCCCAGCCCCAGCCTAGCCCCCATGTCCGGTCCCCTCCTGCCCCTGTACTAACCCTGAAGCTGCTCGATAAGCGTCCATGCCATCCGAGAGCCGCTGGCATCAAACACCACATGGCCCTGAGGGAAGGAACATGTGGAGCAAGGCAAAGGAGACAAAAGCAAGAGTGAAAGAGAACATCAGGGACTCTTTAAATCCTTCTGTTTTTGATGTAATTGAGCCTCTGAATGAATGCTATTTATGGCATTTGCCTGCATATAGGACATACCCCAGATGCCCATACCCTAGATTTTAGAAACATTATTCTTTGGAGAAGGAGCTTCACTTATGAGATTTGAATGGGAAAAAATCCCCAGACAGAACACCAGCAGGCTTCTGGTTGTGTGGCCTAAGCAAGTCAGCAAATCTCTCTGGAAACTAATCTTTTCATTTTAAAAGGAATAAGAAGATGACCTTTCAGACTGTTTTGTCTTTCAAAATCCTATAGTTCTCATCTGACTCATGAATACTTGGTCTAGTTTGAAAAGAAATGAGGGGAGGGGTTTAAAAAAATGGAATACATCATTTTTTTTCCTCTAGTCTTTGATGGGTTCTTCTAATTTGAAGGTCCCTACTTCTCTGGTCGGAGACTGATTCTGCAAAGAAGTAACTGAGAAAAACAGAGAATGCATGTTTGTAGAAGGTGCCTCTTGGGAGTCTCTCTCAAGATTGGGAAGACAGGGGAGTATGAAGGAAGTTTTAACTCACAGAGACACCCTCAAAGGACGAAGAGTTCATTGCCCGGTAGATTTGGTCGGTAATGGTCTGGTTGTTGTAGTTGAAGTCCTCCAGGCGCACACCAGAACGGCCGCCTCCTCCAGATGTCTTGTTCAGGGCCAGTGCCAAGGCCCAGATGGCATCATAGGCCAGCGGTGCCTCCTGGAAGCCTCCTGTCTCCTCAGGGTGTCTTTTCAGTCGCTTGGTTAGTTTCTCCACAAATTCCTGGGATGTCTTGGGAGGAAAAAATCATGAGGAAAGAACTGAAATGTGTGTGGGTGTGGGGGAAGGGGTGCAATCCAATTCTGACTCAATCACTTCTACTTGAATGGATGGTTTGTGTTACTGTTGTCAGATTGGACACATGTACATTCAAAATCTTTAACTATACCCATGTGTCTGCCTTAGATCGGAAGCTACTAGACTAGAGTAGGTATTAGCTGTGTCTGATGGTGTTAGTGTGTACAGTTGCTAGCTCAGAACTGCAAACAGAGAATTTTGACAAACACTCTGGATAATTAGTGGCAAAGGATGGAAGGTAGAGCAGAGTAAAGGAGGAGACATGGATATTCCAATGAAGAGCTGTGACACTGATGTTCTCTGATCCTTCTGACTTTCTTCATAGAGTTAACCCAGGATCTAACAGCTCCTACAATTCCAAAAGATTCTAGAAAAGGTGATAGCAGTCTTCTCACTCTGCTTGCCAGCCAGGAGGATATTTCTTCAGCATGCTAACTTCTTGCCATTCTTGTGTGCTTTTGGTTCACTGCCTCTTAGAAGGCTTTCAGAAGAATGAAAACTACAGAAATACCCTTCACATTTTTGAAGTCCATTATCAATCCTACCCACACCCCTCCCAACACTCAACCTTCTTTTTCCATGAAAGCTAAAAAGAATGATAGTTCCTTTAACTCTCTCATGAACTGGGTCAAGAGACCTGACTTCATATACCTTGCAGTAACCTTGTTTGGCTAAATAACTGTAAGTAAATTACTTAACCTCTTGGAACTGCATTCTACATACTGGAGAAAATCACATCATTCCTTCCTTACCTCACAGAAACCATACAAGGAAAAGCTTAGCAACTACTTCTTGGGAAACCACAAGTAATACACAGGGGACCATACAAATAATTGTTTGGGTTTGGAATGTTTTAACACAAACGGTAATGAAAGAATAAATAGATGAATGAAGAATAAATAAATAACTTTGTTCCTCATGCCTTGCTCACTTTTCTCTCCAACTTTCTAGAGAGATAGAGGAGTGAGATACGCAAAGGGCACAGGCAAGGTACAGCAGTTGCTACTACACTGGGCTTTGAAGGAGC
The DNA here is from genome assembly GCF_000001405.40 of Homo sapiens. Classification (NCBI taxonomy): domain Eukaryota; kingdom Metazoa; phylum Chordata; class Mammalia; order Primates; family Hominidae; genus Homo; species Homo sapiens. Next base: position 29,614,579 of record NC_000006.12, read on the forward strand.
CTGGGCTTTGAAGATGCAATGGGCCTAGGTTCTACCCTTGAGGACAAGACCAAATCCCATGCCCTCTCTTAATCATCAGCATCTAGCACTGTGCCCAACCATAATGAAGTAACAATAAATGTCCATTGGATTAGGCCAGTGAAAATACTCTGTAAAGTATTTAATAGTAGATACGTCTCATTATACATTTGTCCAAACCCATAGAATATATAACACCAAGGGTGAACTCTAATGTAAACTATGGACTTTGGGTGATTATGATGTATCAATGTAGGTTCATCAGTTGTAACAAATGTACCACTCTGGCGGAGGATGTCGATAATGTAGAAGGCTATGCATGTGGGAAGCATATGGGAAGTTTCTGTACCTTCATCTCAATTCTGCTGGGAAACTAAAACTGCTCAAAAAAAAAAAAAAAAAAAAAAGGCCAGGCACAGTGGCTCACACCTTTAATCCTAGCACTTTGGGAGGCCAAGGTAAGCAGACTGCCTGAGCTCAGGAGTTAAAGACCAGCTGGGCAACATGGTGAAACCCCATCTCTACTAAAATACAAAAAATTAGCTGGGCATGGTGGTGTGCACTTGCAGTCCCAACTACTCAGGAGGCTGAGGGCTGAGGTGAGAAAATCACTTCAACCCAGGAGGTGGAGGTTACAGTGAGCTGAGATGACGCCACTACACTCCAGCCTGGGCGACAGAGCAAGACTCCGTCTCAAAAAAAAAAAAAAAAGGCATTATAAAAAACAAGTCAGGCTGGGCACAGTGGCTCACACTTGTAATCCCAGCTCTTTGGGAGGCCAAGGAGGGTGGATCACCTGAGGTCAGGAATTCCAGACAGCCTGGCCAACCTGGTGAAACCCGTCTCTACTAAAAATACAAAAATTAGCTGGGTGTGTTGGTGGGCTCCCGTAATCCCAGCTACTTGGGAAGCTGAGGTAGAAGAATCGCTTGAACTCAAGAGGCAGAGGTTGCAGTGAGCAGAGATCACGCCACTGCACTTCAGCCTGGGCGATGGAGTGAGACTCTGCCTTTAAAAAAAAAAAAAAAAAAAGGCAGCCAGGCACAGGGGGCTCACGCCTGTAATCCCAACATTTTCATTTTCAGAGGCCAACGCAGGAGGATTCCTTGAGCCCAGGAGTTTGAGACAAGACTGGGCAAAACAGAGAGGACCCAACTCTACAAAATTTTTTTAAAAATTAGCCAGACTTGGCCTGGGCACGGAGGCTCACATCTGTAATCTCAGGACTTTGGGAGGTCAAGGCGGGCAGATCATGAGGTCAGGAGTTCAAGACCAGCCTGGCCAACATGGTGAAACCCTGTCTCTATGAAAAATACAAAAATTAGCTGGGCACGGTGGCTCACGCCTGTAATCCCAGCACTTTGGGAGGCTGAGGCGGGTGGATCACCTGAGGTCCGGAGTTCGAGACCAGCCTGAGCAACATGGAGAAACCCTGTCTCTACTAAAAATACAAAATTAGCCGGGTGTGGTGGCGCATGCCTGTAATCCCAGCTACTCCGGAGGCTGAGGCAGGAGAATGGCTTGAACCTGGGAGGCGGAGGTTGCTGTGAGCCAAGATCGCGCCATTGCACTCAAGCCTGGGCAATAAGAATGAAACTCTGTCTCAAAAAAAAAAATACAAAAATTAGCTGGGTGTGATGGTGGGCTCCCGTAATCCCAGCTACTCAGGAGGCTGAGGCAGGAGAATCGGAGAATCGCTTGAACCCAGGAGGCGGAGGTTGCAGTGAGCCAAGATCATGCCATTGCACTCCAGCCTGGGCAACAGAGCAAGACTCCATCTCAGAAAAAAAAAAAATTAGCCGGACTTGGCTTGGAGCAGTGGCTCACGCCTGTAATCCCAGCACTTCAGGAGGCTGAGGAGGGTGAATCATGAGGTTAGGTGTTCGAGACCAACCTGACCAACATGGTGAAACCCCATGTCCACTAAAAATACAAAAACTTATCTGGGCATGGTGGCACGCACCTGTAATCCCAGCTATTCAGAAGGCTGAGGCAGGAGAATCACTGGAACCCAGGAGGCAGAGGTTGCAGTGAGCCGAGATCACACCATTGTGCTCCAGCCTAGGCAACAGAGCAAGACTCTATCTCGAGAAAAAAAAAAAAAGTTAGCCAGACTTGGTGGCATATGTCTGTGATCCCAGCTTACTTGGGAGGGGCTGAGGTGGGTGGATGACTTGAGCCCAGGAGGTCAAGGCTGCAGCGATTGTACCACTGCACTCCTGCCTGGGCAGCAGAGGGATACTCTACCTCAAAAAAAAAAAAAAAAAAAGGCTGGGCGCGGTGGCTCACGCCTGTAATCCCAGCATTTTGGGAGGCCGAGGCGGGCGGATCACGAGGTCAGGAGATCGAGACCATCCTGGCTAACACGGTGAAACCCCGTCTCTACTAAAAAAAAAAAAAAAAAAAAAAAAGTCTGTTGGATAGATAAATGGATGAATTCATATTCTAATCATTTTACCTGCTATGAAATCTCAAACAAGTTATTAAACCTCACTAGTTGGTTATTCAGCTTTAAAATGAGAATAATACTATCTAAAATAGTATGAAATGAAATTAGAACATGTATAAAAATGCTGGGTATGAAGTAAGTTACATTTTCTCTACGTGAATTTCCTTGACTCTCAACCTCATCTTTGTTATTGATACTCAGATCTATAATTTCAGCCCAATATTTCAAGTCCATATTTCTTTTCTTTCTTTCTTTCTTTTTTTTTTTTTTTTTTTGAGATGGAGTCTTGCTCTGTTGCCAGGCTGGAGTGCAGTAGTGCGATCTTGGCTCACTGCAACCTCTGCCTCCTGGGTTCAAGCGATTCTTGTGTCTCAGCCTCCCAAGTAGCTGGGATTACAGGCACACGACACCACACCCAGCTGATTTGTGTATTTTTAGCAGAGACGGGGTTTCACCATGTTAGCCAGGCTGGTCTTGAACTCCTGGCCTTGTGATCCACCTGCCTCAGCCTCCCAAAGTGCTGGGATTATAGGCGTGAGCCACCGCGCCCAGCCTCAAGTCCATATTTCTAACTGACTCTGAGGCATTTTTAATGTATGATGAATAATCTCAAAATCAAAATATCCAAGATGAAGCTCAATTTTTTCTTACTCCCAAACAGCTCCCAGTAAATGAGACTGAAGCCTTGGAATTACATCAGACCCTTTCAAATCACTGAGTCCTCTTAACTCTTTTGTTGAAATGTTTCATTGATATCGATCCCTCCTTACACAGGATGATGATGATAATGATAACGATGATGGTGGCTAACATGTATACAGTCCTTAGGACGTATCGAGCATTTTCCTGAGGAAACTATATTACCTTATTTAATCCTCAAACAATCCAATGAGGTGTTATTATCCCCATTTTAGAGATAAGAAAACTGAGGCACAGAAAAGTTATATAACTTGCCTATAAAAAAGTTATACTATTAATGAGTAGCAGAGCTAATCCATACTCTTACCAGCCACCCTACACAGTCTCTGTACATGAGACTGCCTCTCTCTAAGAGCACCTGCACAAATAGCAGCTAGGCTAATACTTTGAGTAGTCTTTTGGCTTCAAATTGAAAGATTGGTCTATCCAATCTTCAGTTCAAGGTAAATATGGCATCAAAAAAATCACCCAGAAAGAAAGGGATTAATCTGCTCAGCACGATGCGGTCCCCTGCTCAGGTGGTCAGACCCTGTGCTCACGCCAGGTCACTACCACTAACACGCCTAACCACTGGGGGCACCACTGCTCCTGCCACCCCAAGAGTAAAGAAGAGTAGAATGCTTCCCCCTTGAGTCAGTAAAGATACAGTTATAGATTGTCAAAGAGACACTCTACTCTGCAGCTTAAGGAAATCTGAACAATAAAGACCCCTCAACCCACAGCAATTAGTTAATCAACCAAGTGCAAATTTATACCTAATTTTTTTAACAGCCTTGTCTGGCTCTCAAGAATGGATGCTTGACAGTGGGCTAAAATGTATATCTTGAGGTAGCTTTTTAGTTTGTACTGGTCCTAGGTCTGATGGGATCTCTACCCCAATCAAGATTTCCTCACAATCTTATCTCCAGGATGCCACCTCCCACATTCCCCTCTAGCCCACAGCTACATTTCTCTAAAACCACTCTAACCCACTCTCCATTTCCACATATTGCCCCTAAAGATGTTTTCTCTAAACTAGGGTTTCTCATTCTCTGCACTATTAACATTTTGAGCAAGATAATTCTTTGTTGCCAGGGGCTGTGCTTTGTAGGATATTTAGAATCATCTTTGGCTTCTACACATTAGATATCAGGAGCATGTATCCCTCCCCATCCCCTACCCCCAACTGTAACAACCAAAAATGCCTCCAGATAGTATAGCGTCTGAGTCTAGGGTAGTAGTTGAAAACCACTACCCTAACTAATAGTTCTCGAGGTGTGATCCCCAGACCAGTACATCTGCATCCCCAGGGACTTGCTAGAAATGTCAGTTCTCAGGCCCTAGCCCAGATCTACTGAATCAGAATTTCCAGGGGAAGGGCCTGATAACCTGTGAACTAACTACCTTTCCAGGTGGTTCTGACGGATGTTAAAGTTTGAGAACTATTGATCTAAACATAAGGCCATCCTTAGGGAATAAAAGCAACTCTGCTTCTTTTCTAAGTCTCCATGGCTCCGGCCCCCTAGGTCCAACCCTTGCTTTGATCCACTTCTATTTGTGCTGTTTGATTAATCTATAATCTCTTTTGCCCCTAACCTATTGTTAAGACTGCTCTATCCTCTTCAGAAAACATTGGCTTCCCCACTGGCATTTTAGGCTGGTCCCACTGGAAGCCCTATGGCCTCAAAAGCAGGAACCATCTTTCTCTAGACACAAAGTCAGAAAGGGACCTTCCAAGTCTTCCCACCCCAATGCTCAGGTGTCCCTCTATGTCCCTAACCATCTCTCTGTTCTCTCTCTCTCTCTTTTTGTTTAGAGCTGGGGGTCTCACTATATTGCCCAGGCTGGTCTTGAACTCCTGGGCTCCAGTGATCCTCTGCCTTGGCCTCCCAAGGTGCTGGGGACTACAGGTGTGAGCCACTAGATCCAGCCAAATCCCTGTTTTCTGTCAGCCTCCTCTAGCTCCCTGCTATAAGACAGAAGCAACGATTGGCAAGTCCTGGGCTCAGGGCACCAACAAGTCTTTCTGGCTTTGGTAGCCAGTTCCAATACTTTCCCAGGTTTTATGGATGACTCACCTCTTGGGTACTCTACAGGAAAGTGATCTTCCAAAATTTTTTCATTGTATTTTTCAACTAACATACCTTAAAACATAGAGTCCATTTAGAATGTCCCAAAACAGTGTGTATCATCAGAGTCCATGTGGCAGCAGATCTTTCATCACAACACACCACCAGAGTCAACTTCCTAAATCTTATTTCTCCTTTGCTCAGCAATTGCCAGTAGCTAAACAGTGTTAGCAGATAAAAGTACAAACTTTTTAGTCAGGCTTCATGGTTTTCCATGGGAAGTGATGAGCAGAGCAGTTTGGAGCCAGATTTAACTAGGATTCAATTCCAGCTGGACTGCTGAGTAGCTGCATGACCTGAGACAAGTCATTAAACCACTCTGAGTCTCATTTTCCTGGTCTACAAAATGTAGATAAGTCCACATCAGAGTTTTGCTGTTAGAATCCCTGAAATCATGAATCTAAGTACCACACAAATGCCACTGTTAGTAAAACTTTTTAAATCAAGCTATTTTGGGGCTTTACAACCATTAACTCACCCCTAACATGCTCTCCAAAGCAGGTACACACTTGGTGTAATAAGCAGACACATAGGTGGCCGTATCGAGCTTACCCAAAATTCCTGTACTCTTTACAATGTAGTGCTGAGCAACAAAGAAGCCTCTTCCCCTGTGCCCACACCCACACTCACTTCTGCCCCTCAGCTGCAGGGCTGCCCCAGCCCTCTCAAATCAGAGAATGCGCCTCCTCGCTCCAAGTCTGTCATTAACCAGCTGTCTGGGGCTAAATGATTTCAAAAGCCCCTTCTCCACATAAAATTCTAAAAAAAGAATCATTAAAAAAAGCAACAGGATCCAAGCTAATTGCATATCAATCATGAGTGAATATTAAGCAACTCTAAAACACTAACATAAATCACCAAGAAAATGAAATGCAATTCTGCCCAGACACAGTGCTCCTGTAAAGGTGTGCTTGAGTATACAAGCATCCATATTATCATTAATGCCGGTTCCTCCTGACTTCTCACCAACTGCTCCTCGTCTCCATGGTAACAGCCCTTCCACTCATCAGGAACCTACTGAACATACAACTCCATCGTTTTTTTTTTTTTCTCTCTCTACCCAAGGAAGTCAGAGCAAAGGTAGGATCCACAGGAAACATAATGCAGACAAGTTCAGGGTGGGCACAGCCCCCTCTTCTCCTTTATATCCAAATTCCGCACCCTCTCCCTGCCACCCTTTCCCCTGCAAGGCCCCCTCAGTCCTCTCCACCCTCCCAGGTGCCAGACTGCAAGTCCCCACACTCTCACCATGTTGGAAATGCTGCGGGTATTGGCAGGATTCAGCATGACAATCTCAGTTGTGATGTGGCCCTCCACCGCCTCAGTCATCTCATCCACTGTGCAGTTGATAGAAGGGTCGTAGATCTTGAACCAATTGTCAGCATACCACCCAATGAGGAACCAGACGTACTTCTTCCCAAAGAGACGCTCCTTGTACACCTGAATACAGAGGAGAATGGCTGAGTTTTTGTTTGCTCATTTGTTTGTTTTTGTCTTATCTCACTTGATACTATTTAGCCTCTTGGGAATCAGGGAAGAGCAGTAGAACTAAAAAGAGAAATCTACAAGTCTTGGGGATAGTAGGAAAGGCTGACAATTCTTCCTTCTAAGTTTCTCCCCAGCCCCTGTATTTCTGAGTGGCCTTTTCCAGCCAGTCAGGACAGATGGAATTCATGGGCTTCTCAGGAAACACAAAGCAGTAGAAAAATGAGATCTGAAGAAAGTATCATGTGTGTGCAGACAAGGGATGCAGTCAGAGCCAACAGACAGAGACATCCTATGAATCGTCACCTCAGATCATATGCTATCAACTCAGGCACAGATGCCAAGAGGAGGCCCCACAAGAAAACCAAGGGAAACTCCCACCCAGTGCCCCTCCCTCTTCAGATCCAACTCCACCTCACAAAAAACTTTCCGGGCTTCAGTCTCATAGAAAAGTCCCACGATGATTCGGGCATCCTGGCGCTACAACAGAGAAAGAAACAGCTCCTGAGGGATGCCCGGGAATGCCTGAGGGGCTAAGCCAGATGTCTTCACAGCTTTGATTTCCCATCCCAAAGTGCTTAGTGCAGGGTAACGCTCAACGTATAGTGAATAAACGTCAACTGGAAGATGGAGCTAAACTTCCCCAGGAGATGCTATTGCCTCAGAGAATCAAAACCTGCCCCCGCCTGGCTTTCCTCTCCAACCAGTCACTGTCCCCCAGCTTGGTCCCTCCGTAAACAGAGCCCACCACTCCCAGCCATCTGACCTTCAGGTTTTTGACGGGCACAGCTGGATCTGAGAAGAAACTCTGGCGGAAAGTAATCTCAATTCCAGCCTCCTTCACTCGTTCCTCCAGGTCGTCCAGAGTCTTGGGTGGGAATAAAAAACAAGTTGGAAAAACACGGGGTGCATGAGGGAATAAAGACCAGAGAGGTTAACTGGGGATTTCAGAGCAATACTCAGATAGAGCAAAGAAGCAGCCATTCTGAACCTTCCTTCAACAGCTTCTGTCCCTGAAGTGAGGAGTTCGGGAAGGCATCTGGTCTTAGGATGTGGATTCCAAGTGGGAAGGTGAATGGTGAGCCCCTGCTGAGGCTCTGTGTGGGGGAAGCCACTCCATTCACCCACTCCTACCACTGAAGGCAAAGATGGGGTAAAGAAACATAAAGGAACCAGGAAAAGACAAGGCAAGGACTGGGACAGACAGCATGATGTCAACCTCAAGAGGCAAATGGGCAGACAGACAAAGGATCAGAGAAGAATGGTCTGAATCAGAGTGAAAGTGGGGGAGGATTAAAGGGCCACTGAACACAGTGGATAGAAGACCCAAAGAATAGAATAAAAGGGAGGGAGCAGACTGCCTTCTTCAGATGTAGAGCCTGTATTTCCTCTCTACCTCCCCAAATCTCCCTCTTCCCCCTCAACCTCTCCTTGTCTGTCGGCTTCTCTCTCTTAGTACCAACTACCAGATCCATGCAGCTGCCTTTCTGCCCCTCTCTCTCCTCTCCCTCATTCCTCTCTCTCTCTCTCTTTCCTCTCCCTCTCTCCTCTGTAATCCACTGGCTCCATCCCCTCTGTTCCCATTCACACCCACCCACCACCCCCCTTGAAAGCCTCTGGAATCTGCTGCCTTCCTGGATTCCTATCTCATCTTCGCTCCCATCTCTTGCCCCCACTTTGGATTGAACCTACTTTAACAGAACTGAGTCATTCTGGGTCTATATGTCTGGGGAACAGGGCATCAAACAGGGGAAAAAAATCATAAAATCATAAAGACAGAGAGGATCCCAAAAACTCAACTCATTCTTTCCCCTGGCTACAGAAAGAACTGCACTTAATCCACATGGAATGCGTTCTCTTTCAATGAAGAATCAAGTTCTTGCCCCTAAAAGTGACTCTCACGTCACATCTCCTGGTGCTGGAATTTGAGCTTATGTCCCTTTACCCCTTGCCCAACCCCTCCTCACCGAAGTGAAGACCTCAGTGGTCTGCTGGATGGTAGCAATCTTCTTCCAGCCCCACTTTTCAAAGAGTTTCACGCGGGTAGGGTTGTGGAGTGTGGCTGATGGGTGCGTTCGGAAGAAAGTGGGGAAACGCTGCCGGTTTGACAGGGCTGGTGAGCTGGAGCCATAGGAAAGCTGTGGGGCAGGGAGAGTGAGTGCAACAGGGTCTGTTCACTGAGGACACCAAGAGTGGCCAAGAGTTCCTTTAACCCTCTTCCTGCCTTTGGGTTTCTCTTCCTTACTCTCTCCAAACCTCCCCACCTCTGGTCTGCCTAAGGAAAAGAGATTCTCAAAGGCCCACACACCCCTCACAACCGGGATGCTCTTTCACTGATCTAATTTCAATTCCTTCTGAAGAAGGAGGTCAGCTGCAGCACTGTCAGGCCACTGTTGCTAGGAGGCTGCCTAGCTCAGGTCTGCAGAGGACTCTGAATCTTAGTAGCAGGTCCTCCACACTCCTTTTCAATACAAACCCACAATCGCCATCGTCCCTTCAGTAGAGCTCAAAAGGGAATGACCCCATCTTCTGACCCCCATAGCCCTGCTTACCACAATGAGGTTCCACATCCTAGCAGCCTCAGCCACCAGCGTGGAGACAGAGCTGCAGCCAGGCATAAGGATGATCTTGATAGGGTCGTTGTAGAGCAGCTCATATAGGTACTTGGTGGCTTGGCCTGGATCACACTGAAAGACAAGAGGAGATGAGGGCAAGCTCTCCTGGGGCCCCTCCCCTGTCTGCAATTCCTGCTCTTATCTTTCTCGAACAAATTAGTTCCTTTCTCAATTACTCACTTTCATCATTAATTACCGTTTTCTTCTCCTTTCTGGCATCTCTTCCTGTCAAGTGCCTTTTTTCTCCTCTTTCATTAAACTTCCTTCTCTGTCTTCCATCTGGAGCCTTACCCATCACCTCTCCTGCACACCCCTCCTTTGGTATTAATGAACATACCACCTTACCTCCTTTCAGCTCACCCTCAGACATCCCCCTTCCCTCTGTCACCAAGCCCTTTACCCCATGTTTCTATGCTTCAAACACCAGTGGGTGGAAGAAGTCAGTAGGAATACGGTAAACTCTTTCCACATCCCCAGATAGCTTGCTCAAAGCCATATTATGAAAATTCCTTCCTCACCTCTGCAAACCCCTTCTCCCCACCTTCCATTTGTTTCCTCCCTCTTCTCTTTTCAGAGCTAGTGATAAGTAAAGAGAGAACAGGAACAAGACCAGTAGGGGGTCCCGCTCAGTGATCCATCCCTCCTGCTGGGCGCTGACATTTGACAGGTCCATTAGAAAAAAAGACACTGGGGGGTGGAAGTAGGGAAGAATGTAGGATGAGGAAAGAACAGAGAGAATGAATAGAATGGAACTCTCAAGAAACCAGACAATTTGAGAGGTGCCTTAAAGAGAGGCTTGGAGCTAGGGAAAGTAAACAAGCAGAAAGCTGGAGAAGAAAGGAAGCTTGGGAGGAGGGGAAATGGGGGAGGAAGAGCCAGCCTTGGGTCTCCCACTGCCTGTTCCCCTCCCACTGATATATGACATTTCAGAAGCTGCTGGAACCCCAATGCATGTGAAGACGAAATGGCAGCCAGTGGGGAGCCAGGGCAGAGGGGACACAGACAGGGGGCTCAGGGGACTAAGGAGGGTGAAATGTTGCCAGGAGGGGAGGATAAGTAGAAAGGAAATAAAGAAAGCACTCTGGAGCCTGCTTACCTCCCACTGAGGCCTGACATTTGGGACACGGTGGGAAGTTGGAGAAGGGGGAGCCAGGGGAAGCTGTTGGAATCTGAAGAACCAGCAGTCACTGAGAATTCTCTGTTGCCCACCCTACCCTCACTCTGGCCAAGGGCAGTGCTCAACAACATTGGAAGGTTTTCTCTTTATGCCTCCCACTAGGGCAACTTTGTAAATCTTTACCATTCTCAGGACCCACCTTCCTGCACTCTCCCCACATCTATTACTCCAGATCCTGCTCCCAGCTTCTCCCACAGCCCCTCAGTGCCCCTCCACTTCTCTAAAGACAGGGTTAATAGGAACAATGAGGACATACAAGAACATATAAGATACATATCAACAGGGCAAGGCATGCCCCCCATTTTGTTTCCTGATTTCTTATCTACCTTTTCTTGCAACCGTTTCCCTCTTCCACACACTATTCATCACTGCAGATTCTCTCCACCACGTGATTCTCTCCCCCTCCCCAATAGATTTCCTTAGTTCTCCTCCCTCTCTTTGCTCTTGCAAGGATCTGGATTTGCAGGCAGGAAACCGACTCATTCCAATTGACACATTCTGGTTCTTCTGCCTTCCCATCCCACCCCGCTTGATGCCTCTGATGTTCTCCAGTTCCCTTCTCCCAGGTCCCACGTCTGCTCCCCGCCACCTCCAGGGAATCACCTGTCATGGTGGATGAGTTTGAGCTCACAGCCAGGCCTCCCCTATCTCCTGTGATCCCCTATCATAAAGCCTGCACCCATCTCTCCCTGTCATTTTCTTCACACTCCACTCCCCAAAACCAATGATCTCTCTGACTGTCCCAAGTCTGACCCTCTACCAGATCTGATCCTCTACTTCTCTTCCTGCCTCCCGTACCCTAATACCTAATTATTTTCCTGTACCCTGCTGCTCTTCCCATAGGCATTCTGGGGTTAGCTTACAGCTCAGGAATCCACCAAGATAGGATGTCTATTAGTAAAAATACAGATAAATACTTGGGATTCATCCCTGACCAAGGAGCTAGAATCTGTATTTTTAACAAACTCCTCTGGTGATTCTTATGTACACTGAAGGCTGAGAACCACGAGAAAGTAACAGTCAAAAAGGATTTTAAGTTCTCTTGCCAAGCTCCTGATAATCCTTGTGCTCTCTTCTCTTCAAGCACCCTACCTTCAACCTCACTTCTGTCCCCTCACACACCTATCCCAGACACACACCTATTTCTAGGTGTATAGTGATGTTCTAAAAATGAATATAAATCCTTGGATCACCCCAAGGTTGATATTTGGTAAGATCACCAAATTCTCACCTTGTGTACTCTATTTCACCCTAACCCAATTCCTTAAGTCTCTGGGGCCACATGTCAGTGAAGATAAATTTGAGATCTTAAATCTCCTTCCCTGTGTCACATCCTTCCCTGCACCCCCAATTATTCATGTAGGGGAGAGGGGTGGGAAAAAAAACCTCATTATAAGCTATCCCCTAATACCCCTGGACCCAAATTTGCTTACCTTCTCTCTCTCCCTCAACTCACCTCCCTAATCCCTACATCCCATTTCCCTTCTCACATCCTAGAGGCCACAATGCTATAAGGGAAGGGAAGGTCAGGACCCAAGTTCCATAAGGTGCCCCAAGATCTCTCATTATCCCCACGCTACCTCCTTGCCCCTCTCCCCCACTGCCATTCTTTTCTGTTCTCTTCTCCTTGTATGTTGACTCTTCTTCATCCCCATGCTATTGTGGGGGTTCCCATGTGGATCCCCAATCCAATTCATTTTCCCAGTGCCTCTGCCCACCTCTTGATCATTAGCCTTCCCCAATCACCATATGCCATCTATCCCACAGTCTGGGAATGCTCAACAGGGTTGGGAATAGAAGGATGAGAAGGAGTCAGGTAGGGCTCACCACTACCTTGCTGTTTTGTTAAGATAAATAAACTAGAGCTCTCAAGTCTCTCAAAATTTTCCTCATTCTGTCCCTATTCCTTCCAGCTCCAACCTACGCCAAGATTTTACCTTGTTACCATGGTAAATGTAAACCCCCAATCCAGCTCCCCACCTCTGACATTCCCTCCACCCCCAACCCATTCCAGGGTTAGTTTACTCCCTCAGAGGATCAGTGTCTCCTAATACCTTAAATCCACCACCAGTTTCTCCAAACCCCGACACTTCTGCGAGACTCCCGCAGCGGGGCAGAAGGGTCTGCCTTGCAGCATGCTTAACCATCTTGAGCCCCTAGACCCTCATCTTGGACCTCCAGCCCCTGCGACTCTCCCCAAGCTCCTGCACCCCCAGCCCATCTCCTGCCAGTCACACAAGGGAGGGGTCTGCCTCGCAATCCCAGAGACGACTCAGACAGATGGGGGCGCGTGCAGCTGGCTGGCCCCCTGCCCCGCAAGCCCCCACCTCCCACCCACCCCCATGTCCAGGGCTACCTTGCTGTCGTGGTGGATGAGCTTGAGCTCATAGTCCGGCAGGATGTCCCTGCGGCTATTCACGTCCTCCAGCGCCATCTCCACCGCGGGCTGGCAGGCCTGGCCCCCTGGCCAGCCCCCGCTCATGGGAAACAGTGCCCCGATGTACACTGCGCGCCGTTCTGAGGAGGGGTGCGGGGGGACCCGCGAGTGAGGCCGCGGGAGATGGGGGGAGTGGGAGGCCCACACCGGAGCCACCCCTGCCGCCATCACAACCAGAAGCGGCAGTGGCCACCCCACCCGGGCAAAAGGGGCCCCGGGCCCCATGGCGTGGGGGGCAGGGGTAGCTGTTGGGGAGCGTTAGGAGCTCAGGGGGGACACTTTTCCTGGGGAGGGCTGCTAAGAGGGTGCCGGGGAGGCGCCTCCATCCCTGATTTTGTGGGGAGGAGGGGGCGAGGGCCCCGGAGAAGCAGGGAAGGTTGGCTTCCTACGGCCCCCGCGGCTCTCGCCACCGTCGCCGCCACCGCGGACTCTCCTCGCGGACTGACTGACCGACGGAGGGGAGGAGGAGGAGCAGGAGGGAGATGTGGGGCTGGGAGGGGGCTCTGACGTCACGGGCGGCGCGCGGCAGCGGGGGGTGGGGGGGCGGGCGGGAGCTGGGGAGGCAGGAAGGGGGCGGGGAGGGAAGCGAGCGCCGAGGTGGGAGCGACAGTCGGAGGGGCGGGGAGGGGAGGGGGGATGCAACCTCGAGGAGGAAAGGAACGAAAGAGGAAGGGAGGGATCTCACTTAAGGGGACCCGAGGGGAGGAGAAATGGGGACGGGGCGTGCCAGGAGGGCGGGGTGGGCGGAGGGAGCCGCGGGAGGCTGAAGCACGGAGGAACCAGGGTAGGAAGGGAAGGATGCGAGTGGGACGGGAGAGAAACGGGGCTGGCGCCTGAGGTCTGAAGTGGGAGTATGAGTCGATACAGTGAAGCACTGAGGATGTGGGGGAGAGGAAACGGTTTTGGAGGGAACGAGTTGGGTACGGAAGGGAGGCTGGTTTGAGGGAGTGGTGGGGTCGTGGAAGGGAGCCTGGGGCTGGGTAGACAGAAGCCTAAGAAAGGGAGACAGGACATGGAATTGAGAAAAGACGAGGGAAGGGGTACACGGAAGGAAAAGATGTGGGGAAGAGCGCGAGAGGCCTGGCCAGGGTTGGGATGGGTGGGACAGGCTGAGAAAGTCCATTAGGTGAAATCCTAGGAGGCAGCAGGCTGGAAAAGGTTCCAGCGAAGGTCGCAAGGAACCCCACAGGGGAAAACGTGGTGGGAGCTCAGGGTCTCCCAGCACCCTGCCGCCCTCTGCTGGGCTCTGCCTGACACCGGCGAGGCTCAGTCTGGGAGGAGGTGGAGCCCAGGGAAGTGTAGCCAAGCAGGGACAAGGAGAGACCGCAGCCTCGTGGAAAACCGGGACTGGAGGCAGGAAACAGGTAGGGAGGGAAGGGGGTGGCCGCAAACTGGGGTGGGTTGGGGAAGGTGCGAAAGGACGACGCCCCGTAGCCTAAGGGCAGAATTTCAGGGGGGTGGAGGGTGCAGAGTGAAGGGGAGGGCATTGCAGTGCGCGCGGTAAGGGTTTCTCATCTCACCTGAGTGTGGCGTTCGATTCACTGGCAGCAGGAAAGACGGGGATCAGAGAAGAGTTACCACTGGCGCCCAGCTTCCCTGGCCTGATCCCCAGCCCCCTCCCACACCTGTCCATGCTGAAGACCGGGGAGAGCAGAAGCCTGCGTTTCTGAGGGGAGGGTGCCTGGGGATAAGAACAAGGTGGGTCTGGGGGTAAGGGGGTCAGGACTTATTTTCTTCTTCGATTTTTCATAGGACAACAGAATTTGAGACGGGAATGCCAATAGCTAAGTTTGGGGCAGATCTTGGTTCTGTGGTGCCTGAATATTACAAAATTGGGAGTCTTTAAGAAAAAAAATTACACATACAATTGGCTTTAAGCAATTGCTGTTAAAATCTTATTTCTGCAATTTTTACAAAAGCCTGTTACCATATGAACACATATCCATCGAGCCCTCTATATTATTAGAGCACAGGAAGAGGGCCCTGTAGGTGAGGAACCTTGAAGTCTAAGTTTCAGTAGTGTCATAAGTCCACCCCTGGATGGGACTCTCAATTTCCAGAATAAAATGGTAAACTAGAAGCAGAATAACTGAGTTATGTGAGGAAAGTAAAGCCCAAGGATCTTGAAAGAATCTACCAGGGTAGAGGAAGTATGAGGCATACAAATGGGATGACTGCATCCCAGGAGAGAAGATGGCAGAGAGTTCGGGTGCCTAGAAAAGGGAGAGTTTGTAAAATTACGTGGCAAAAAAAAAAAAAAAAAAGTAGACAGACACAACACTGATTCCCTTAGGGAATAATGGAGGTTGTCTAGGAAGTACAGAAAAGGACCTGTCTTCTTCCCACCCCATCCCTGAGTTGTTCTTCATCTTCTGATAATGCTGCCTCCAATTTTAAGTCTTTTACCCTAATATGTTTCCACCCCCAGAGCTCCCCTTCTCAATTTTTCTTAGTAGAATGTTTGATTTATTTCTGAGTCTTTACAATAAATCAATTATATAAGGAATGGTGAGGGATGAATTCTAGAAGAGGGTGATGCATGGAAATTTCTAAGTTTAGAGAAAGGGAAAATTGGAGTATTTAAACCTGAAGAAGGTGAGAGAGGTGAGATTCATAAAGGAAAAGAGAAAACGTGAGGTCTAAGAATCGGGAGCAGGAAGATTTTTTTAAAAGGTAAAGGAAGGAAGCCCCCAACCTACAGAGGATACCGGGGACTGCAAGAGGAAGTTTGAGGCAGGTGATGGAGGAAAAAGGGACTTTCATCTCCCCTTTCCAGTGTCCTCCCCCACATTTTTATAGCTCTCCATTCTTTCCCATTATCCATTCCCACCCCACTCCCATCCTCACACAAGCGTCCTCATCAGCTGCATGCAGGCAGCTGTTCCCCTCACCCTGGCAGTGGGGCTTGGGGGTGCTCCACTGGCCCTGACTACAGATGCTCCGGGAGCTGCCCACCAGATGGAAGTCGGGGTCACACCGGAAATCCACCCGGGCTCCGTCCAGAGCTGGGAGGTCCCCACCCGTCAGGAAAACCTTCCCATTTTCCAGGGTCAAATAAGACTTGGAGCAGATTCGGACTGTGGAGAGATAGGAAAATAAGAAGAGAGGCGAGTTGAAGAAGGCTCTTTCCCTTTAAAGAGCAGGGGACTCAGGTGCAGGTTTGGGTCCACAAGCATCCTGCTCTAAAGAAAATCACATGTGAAAAGGATTTGCCTACCTATCTTCCAATCCTCCCTTACCTGTGCAAGCATCCACACATTCCCAAAAGAAAAAAAAAATTACCATTTTAGGAACCCAAGATGGGGCTATAAGCACACAAAATGGGATCTCTTCAAAGTCAGCTACAGTGGGCGGTTCTCTGGCTTTGAAATATGTAGATGTATATAACTTTGGATGCACAATCAGATTTGCTTTTCTTATTATAGTTGGCTTCTATTAATATTAAACTGGCTTTTGTTTCTTGGGCATATGGTCTCTGGGTTGGTGACAGAGGTATTCAAAAATGTGATGAAATCATTTTAGAATTTTTTTGTCATCATCTGCCACTAATGATCCTCAAAGAGAATAACTGACAAGATGAATTATCAATGTTATAGGCCAATGATCAGTGGCCTAATGAAGGGAGGATGAAATGAACTGTGCAGGCTGCTAGCTCTACTACCTCCAACCGCACAGAGCAAAATTGCTCTTATGTAGTAGTCATTCAATAAATGTATTTGTGAATTTTGGTATACTGGATTTAAAGTGCTGACTTGCAAGCAGTAATGCTAAGTTTGCGGCAGGAAAAGGAATAGTCTTGAAGAGGGGAGGGGCTTCCGAGGCTACTCACCACAGCGGCTGGGTGTGTCCATATCTGTCCAGGAGCCGTTGGCCAGGCACTTGCGGACCTTGGGCCCCACCACCTCGCGCTCCCCCCGGCACACATACTCAATCTCATAGTCCACTGGCAGGAAGTTGATAGCCTTCACCTGGTCCCGAGTCAGGCCCCGGTACCTGATGCCCCCTTCCCAGGGCGGGTGTATGATCTGGCAACCTAAGGGGTGAGTCGGGGAGGCATACAGAGAGGAATGGTGGGAAAGAGGAAAAGGCAGGCTCCCCAGTGGGAGGAAGGGGAGAGTAGGGCGTGGTCTGTGGGCAGGCTGGGGACAGAGGAAGAGGGATGGGGCACTAGAGGGTGGGAGTGGGGACAGGTACAGATCCCCTGGCTAAAGGACAGAGAGTAAAGGGCCAGGGTTAAAGCTGATGAGAGAACCCACAAGTGGGGAGGGAAGGGTGCTGGGTGGAGGTAAGAAAGAAAAGTAATTAAGAAATCATGAAGGGTATGATATGTGGGTGGAGCTTTTCTTTAAAAAAAAA
Organism: Homo sapiens; assembly: GCF_000001405.40. Lineage (NCBI taxonomy): Eukaryota > Metazoa > Chordata > Mammalia > Primates > Hominidae > Homo > Homo sapiens. The sequence goes on from NC_000006.12 coordinate 29,631,923, forward strand.
GGCTAAATGAGGATATTCGAGTTGAATTAGGATAGGAGGATAAAGGGAGGCTAATAAGATCATCTGGACAGCAAAGTGGGACCAAGAAAAGGGAGTAATTGAGGTAGTAATGTGGGGCTGGGAAAGGGGATTGAGGCGGAGAAAATGCACAGGAAGGTGGTATAGTGTAGCAATGTGGGCAGAGAAAAGAGGTGCTGGATAGTAACGTGGGGTGACAGAAGGAGGTCAGCAGTAGTAAAGTCGGGCCGAGCAGAAGGGGTTGCCAGACCGGGATGATATGTGGGACTGATGGGATAGTGATGAGGACCAGAAATGAGGAGATGCAGGGAAAGGGAAGTGGAGCGAAGGAGGGCCGGAGGTCGTCGAAGAAGGATGCACCTTCTGAGGTGGCGTTGGGGGTCTGCGCCCCGCCCGCGCCCGGGGGGCGGAGGAAGAGTGGCGCCAGTAGCAGCAGCAGCAACATCTAAGTGAGAGGCGGCCATGAGGACTGGACCGAGCCCCGCCGGCGCGGCCCGCACCCGGAGACTACTCGACCTCTTGCCGGTTGCCTCGCAGGCTCCGACCGGGCTCAGCCTGGGGACCAAGAGAGCGCCCCGCGGAGGAGGCGGGGGCGGAGCCCCGCGCGGGGTGGGGGGAGAGGAGGAGAGAAAGCCTGTCCCCACCCTCCTCCTGCCTCCCTCGGCCCCCAACCCTCCCGGGACTCCACCTCTCACCACCTCCTCTCCCCCGGCCCCCGCGGCTCGCAGAAGCCTGGCTTACCCACGCTCCCGGCATCGGCCGCCTCAGCGCTCCCCGATTCCATCCCCGCGGTTCCTCCTCTCCCCCAGCCCCGCTTCCCCCAGCTGGGCCCTGCGCCCACTGCCCCCTCCCCCACCACGCCGCGCGCCCCCTCTCCGAGCCCTGCTAACCCGGGGCCCTGGCTCTTACCTCGGCGCGCGGGCCCGGCTCCCCGGCTCTCCCCGGGCCTCAAGGCCCCAGGCCCGGCCGCTCCTCCCCGCTCCCCCCTCCCTTCTCCTCCACCTTTCTCCTCCTCCCGTCCCTCCTCCCCTCGAATCCAGGCTCCAGCCTGGCCAGGGTCTCTCCCCTCCTCTCTCGCTTCCCCCAAACCCCACCCCTGTCTCTTCTTCCCCGGGGCGGCGGCAGCCACGGGAGCGGGGAGCGGGGAGCCGGGAGGGAAGGAGGCGGCGCCGGGGACCAGGGAGAGCTCCCGGGCGGAGGGAAGAAGGAGGGTGCAAGGGAAGGCAGGGCGGGGGGAAGAGAGGGGAAGACCGGGGAGAGGGCGCCTCCCACAACCCGAGCCCCGGGAGCCGCCCCGGATCCCAGCCCCGCCCTGGACCGCCCACAGCGCGGTGGGGCGGGCGGTGGAGAGGCGCGGGGCTGAGAGGTGGGGGAGAGGGAGGTGCCCTGGTGCACACGCACTCGTCGGGGGGCGCCGGTCACTGCCGAGGGACCTGCGGGCCAAACAACTGGAAGCTGGGGTGGGGGAGAGGGAACCCGAGCCAAAGGCAGAGGAGCTGGCGCTGAGACAGGGAGTCTGGGATGAAGGTGGAGAAAGACGGCTGCACAAAGAGAAGGCAGCCCTAGATCCGGGTGAGAGGAGAGAGGCAGAGGCAGATGCCCAGGAGAACTGCGACCGGAGGGCGAGAAAGAAGCCTGGGTCAGAAGGAGGTGGGGGAGGGGGACTGAGGACCACCTAAGCGCAAGAAGGGTTGGGTGTAGAAGAGATTTCTGGGAGACTAGAGCAGCTCCATGGTCCAGCAGCATTGCTACTCGCCTGCTCTGCAGGGAACGCGCAGAACGGATTGGAGGCAAAAAACAAAACAGGGAGGGGGACATCAAGGAGAGAAATTGAAGTACGAAGGGAGTAAAAGGACAAGAGAAAAGAACCTCAGGGTGGTTTAGAAGCCAGTATTACCTGATGTACTCCAGCAGAGCCTAGCAAACAGTATTTCTTGACCAAGGGCAAACTGGAAGCTCTAAAGACAGCAGGTACAGACCTTTTTGACGGCTCCAGAAGCTCTTGGCTATACCTTGAAGTGGAGGGGTGTGTGTGTGTGTGTGTGTGTGTGTGTGTGTGTGTGTGTGTGTGTGTGTTGTGCTGTTGTTGTTCGTAGGCCTGAGTTTGGGCTGGGAGAGGAAACAGTGGGCTCCTTGTTGGGGGGGACAAAAAAAAAGCTGCTTTCTGGCTGGTCCTAGGGGGAAAAATGGTAGGAAGAAACCAAACACTGAGAGACTGACTAGAATTGAGATTCTCAACCTCCAACCCTTTTTTACAATAAATATTTTGTAATGACACTTTTACTGTCCTAAATTGAGATTCATAGATGAGGCTCACGCCTGAAATCCCAGAACTTTGGGAGGCCGAGGCGGACTGATCACTTGAGCTCAGGAGTTTGAGACCAGCCTGGCCTGGCCAGCATGGCGAAACCCCATCTCTACTAAAAATAGAAAAATTAGCGTGGTGTGATGGTGTGCGCCTGTAATCCCAGCTGAGACACCAGAATCGCTTGAACCCGGGAGGCAGAGGTTGCAGTGAGCCAAGATCGCACCACTGCACTCCAGCCTGGGTGACAGAGCAAGACTCCATCTCAAACAAAAAGAAAGGGAAGGAGGGAGAGAAAGTCATAGATGATATAACCTACCTACATACACAACTTTAAACAGAAAGCAAAATGCTTCCCTTTCTGTAACGTAAAGGGGAAATGAAAGAAAAGTAACTTGCAATAAAATAACATAAACAGTATTTTAATGTGTGAGTGCCAAGGCCCGACTACCCTAGAAGTCCTGATGGAGTAAGCAGATGCTTCCACCTATTCACAGAACCACGGGGATGAAACTGCTACCAACACAGGCTGATCCAGGTGCTGAGTTGGTGACTCAACTACCTCCAGCATGTTGCCATCAATGAAGTGATTTAACAAAATGTTGAACAACTCTTGGTAGCAAAGTTAATTTTCCCTAATTTTACACACAACTATAATTGCATTCCTAGAAAGTTCACTGTATATTTAAAAAAAAATTTTAAAACTGTATTAAGTTATAGGCTCAGATAATTAAACACAGGTTTTCACTACGTGAATGTCCTGGGGGACTTTTGAGAATCTGGGTGAGGAACAATTCTTCAACATGTAGGTAGTGCTTTGAAGAATATCTTACACCTCTGCCCCAACCATAAATGTCAATAGTGCCCCTTCCCTTATCACCTGAGGTTGGGAGTTCGAGACCAGCCTGACCAGCGTGGAGAAGCCCCAACTCTACTAAAAATACAAAATTAGCCAGGCATGGTGGTGCATGCCCGTAATCCTAGCTACTCAGGAGGCTGAGGCAGGAGAATCACTTGAACCCGGGAGGCGGAGGTTGCAGTGAGCCAAGATCATGCCATGCCATTGCACTTCAGCCTGGGTGACAAGAGTCAAACTCAGTCAAAAAAAAAAAACAAAAAAAAACAGCTAAAAGATGCATCAAAATGTTAACAAGGATTGCCTCTGGGCCATTAATTGTTGCATAACTTTTCTTTTTTACTTTTTTTTTTTTTAAACAAGAAGTTTATTTAAACAACAAGACGCTTGACTTGAAGGGAAAACTATCTAGGATTCTTTTTTGTTTTAGAGTAATTTATCCCTACTTAAAGACAGATTGCTCTGCATGTAACAGCTAAGTACAAAAAAGTTATAAAATTGTCCTTGGTTTTACAATGATAAATGAAAAACATTAAAATTCTCCAATTGAACAAGGTATGCAAGGATTTTTATGTTGTTGTTTTTTTGTTGTTGTTGTTAAAACAGTGAGAGCAAAATAACTTACTGGAATATAAAGATAAGAGCTGAATGAGCATGCCACTAATGGAGAAAGGGGGTATTTTCACAGAATCAGTATTTTTCCGCCCCGTCTCCACTTGATGTCAATCAAAACATACCATTGGCTGTTTAGTTTTAAAAAAAAAAAGTAATATGCTTGTGCACATATACCAGTTACTTTATGTACAGTAAAGGAATGGGGAAGGGGGAAATGAAAGAATAGAGAAAACTATACGGTAGTAGTCAGGATGTGGTGGAAGCAAATTGCAGTTTTCTAATTGAGAATGTAATCTTGGTCTTTAAAGAACAGAGTTCTGGAGTAAAGAAGCAGGTTCCCTTTTCAGTAGACACCTCCCGTCTGCTGTTGGAACACATCAATTGTATCTTCATCCTCCATTTCCAACTGTGCAGGTGTGTCTGTTTCATTGGTTGCCCGTCGAATCGGAATCTGATCTGCCTCATTGACAATCCCTGTCGTTCACAATAGGCTTTCATTAGTTTACTAAGTGGTGTATGCCTCTTAATCTTAAACTGCACCACAGAACCATCCTGCCCCGCCACCTTCAAATTAATATGATCGTTGTTCTCAGTCTTGACTCCTTCCTTGGGCTTTTCTTCGGCCATGGCGAGCGCCGGAGTCTCCTCAGCTGCCGCTTCACAAAAGAGGTACCAGGTCCGCTCCAAACGAGCACACAAGCAGCACCAGGAGCGGCAGAAGAAGGAGGCGGCAGCAGTGGACAAGGGGAGAGGGTGCGCGCACGTCGTGCTCTCCCTCCCTCCACCCTCACTTTTCTTTTTTTTTCTTTCTTTTTTTTGGTGGGGGGACGGAGTTTCACTCTTGTCACCCAGGCTGGAGTGCAATGGCGTGATCTCGACTGACGGCGACTTCCGCCTCCCGGATTCAAGCGATTCTCCTGTCTCAGCCTCCCGAGTAGCTGAGACTACAGGTGCACACCACCATGGCTGGCTAAATTTTGTATTTTTAGTAGAGACAGGGTTTCACAATATTGGTCAGGCTGGTCTCGAACTCCTGACCTCAGGTGATCCACCTGCCTCAGCCTCCCAAAGTGCTGGGATTACAGGCATAAGCCACTGTGCGGGGCCTGCACACTTTTCTTTCGTCATATTTGTTGTTCAACTTTTATTCAAATGTTTTACAAGTGTCTCCTCTATAAATCATTTTTAACTGATTTATAAAGGTTTAAAGAAAACCTTCCTAGCAAGTTGCATCAGTATAGCTAAAATCTGTTACTTGTTTGGGAGGCAGAGGCATTTGAGGGTACAGACAAGGGCTCCAATTATGTTCATTATACAAACCACTCACCTTTTTCCACCAGTAGCTACAACTTCCCCCTTTCACATCTTTTCATATTCCAATGTCACTGCCAGGATTCCTGGCCATATTTTTCAGGATATTTGTAGAGGTCCTTCCAGAACCACTACTTGAGTATCCTAATTTCATCCTCCCCACAATCAATCTACTTCCTTCTTTTCCTTTTACATCAAGCACAAAACTTCTTTCCTCTGGAAGGATCCCCAGGCTTGATCCCATCCTTCTCTCACTTCTGTACAATTTGTGCCTTTGGCAATGCCATCTCCTTTTGTAGTTTTTGACGGTTTTTCATAGAGATAGTGGAGTTCCTACTCAGATTACTGGAAAATGACAAATCTTATTCATTTTAGTTCCCATACTTTCTTTTTTTTTAATAATTTTTATTTTTTATTCTTATTTATTTATTTTTATTTTATTTATTTATTTATTTTTTGAGACAGTCTCACACTGTCGCCCGGGCTGGAGTGCAGTGGCGCGATCTCGCTCACTGCAACCTCTGCCTCCTGGGTTCAAGCAATTCTCTTGCCTCAGCCTCCTGAGTAGCTGGGAATTACCGGCGCCCCACCACCACGCCCAGCTAATTTTTTGTATTTTTAGTAGAGACGGGGTTTCACCATGTTGGCCAGGCTGGTCTCAAACTCCTGACCTCATGATCTGCCCGCCTCAGCCTCCCAAAGTGCTGGGATTACAGGCATGAGCCACGGGGCCTGGCCTCCCATACTTTCTTTCTACTTCCTTTTCTCTCTTCTGCCTCATCTTCCATCCATCCCTGAGAGCATATAGCCCAGAATTTAACACTCTGGGAGCCCTGAAAACATATTAACCAACGTAGTTCACTTGATTGATGATCAGGTAGATGCTAGGTACATTTTGGGAGTATCTCATTAAATTCTCACCTAACCACACAGAGTGGATATTCATGTTCTATACTGAGCCTAGTAAACTACCATTTAAAGAAAGTAAGAAGCAAATCAGAGGTCACACAGCTATAAAGCTGACAGAGCCAACATTTGAACTTAAGTTCGTTACCCTATTTTCAAATTCTTTCTACTGCATTGAGAGGCTTAGTTTTGAGGCACTTCTCTCACCCAACTCCCACTCCAAGTCTTTTTCTTTCTTTCTTTCTTTCTTTTTTTTATTGAGACGGAGTCTTGTTCTTTTGCCCAGGCTGGAGTGCAGTGGCACAATCTCGGCTCACTGCAACCTCCGCCTCCCGGGTTCACACCATTCTCCTGCCTCAGCCTCCCGAGTAGCTGGGACTACAGGCGCCCGCCACCATGCCCGGCTAATTTTTTTGTATTTTTAGTAGAGTCGGGGTTTCACTGTGTTAGCCAGGATGGTCTCGATCTCCTGACCTCGTAATCCGCCCACCTCGGCCTCCCACAGTGCTGGGATGACAGGTGTGAGCCACCACACCCGGCTCCAAGGCATTTTCTGTCAAGGGTCAAACTGCAGTTCTATTCTCTCATCTAAAGTAGTGGTGATCACTGGGTGAATGGAAGATGTTCATGTCCTCTTGGGTTAGGATGAAAGACCTGTCTTCTGGGAGAGTTTTCTGTCCTGTAACAGCTCTTGCTCTTTAGAAAAATGTATAGGGCAAAGGTTTATTATTCAAACGTGAAGTTATTTACACTCTGGGATTCACTCTGGCTTTTTAGTGAGGTTTTGAATCCTTTGCATCATATTTAATATCACTAAAATAGGATATTTTTGTGAAACTGTTTGATCCTTCCCCTCAGTTTCCATTTGTGTGTTCTCTTTCTTCCCGTCTTGATAGGCACAGGCACTCAGAATCACTGGGCCAGAAAGAAGTAAGAGAGTAGGCCGGGCACGGTGGCTCATGCCTGTAATCCCAGCACTTTGGGAAGCCAAGGCGGGCAGATCACGAGGTTATGAGATCAAGACCATCCTGGCTAACACGGTGAAACACCGTCTCTACTAAAAATACAAAAAAAATAATTAGCTGGGCGTGATGGTGGGCGCCTGTAATCCCAGCTACTTGGGAGGCTGAGGCAGGAGAATGGCGTGACCTGGGAGGCGGAGCTTGCAGTGATCAGAGATCGAGCCACTGCACTCCAGCCTGGGCGACAAAGTGAAACTCCGTCTCAGGAAAAAAAAAAAAAAAAGAGAGAGAGTAAGGGAACATCTTTCGTTAATAAACCCTCTCTATTGCTCCCCACACACAATCCTAGTTTGGTTGCTGTCTTCGTCTGTTTGGGCTGCCATAACAAAATCTCTTGCACCGGGTAACTTATGAACAACAGAAATGTATTTCTGACAGTTCTGGAGGCCGGGAAATCCAAGATTAAGGCACTGGCAGATTCAGTGTCTGGTGAGGGCTGGCTTCCTCATAGACTGCCATCTGCCATCTGCGATCTAGCTGTGTCTTCACATGGTGGAAGGGCAAACAAGCTCCCTGGGGCCTCTTTTAGAAGGGCACTAATCTCATTTGCAAAAGTCCCCACCACTTAATACCACATTGCATTGGGGATTAGGTTTCAGAACATGAATTTTGGGGGAACACAAACATTCAGACCATAGCAGTTGTACATTCTTGGCAGTTCTGGCCTTGGTTTATTGTGCCAATAAAAGTAAGCTCATGAAGCTATTTCTATCATGTCTTTACAGGCATGTACAGGTGAGCCCAGTTTGGGAGTCACAAAACTTCAGTGAAATTAAAAAGCCACACTATGAGTACCTGCACTAGCACTTACCACTCTCACACACAAGAATCCCTGAGGCAGTGGGGATCCTACCCCTGTCTCAGGAGTGCACAGAGCCAATAACCAAATTACAACATTGACATTGTGAAGTTGCCTCTAGAAATAATTTCTCAATAAGTACACCTTTATATAATAAGTGAATGAACACAATGTAATTAAATGCTAGATTAACCTAAGAAACAAAAAGGAAAATAGCTTCTTTGTCCGTTCATCTACAGGATAATGAGGTCATGTTAAAAGACTTAGAAAAGGTTCAGTTCTCCTGCCGGGCGCCGTGGCTCATGCCTTTAATCCCAGCACTTTGGGAGGCCTAGGCGGGCGGATCACCTGAGATCAGGAGTTTGAGACCAGCCTAACCAACATGGAGAAACCACCCATCTACTAAAAATACAAAATTAGTCGGCCATGGTGGTGCATGCCTGTAATCCCACCTACTCGGGAGGCTGAGGCAAGAGAATCGCTTGAACCCAGGAGCTGGAGGTTGCAGTGAGCTGAGATTGTGCCATTGCACTCCAGCCTGGGCAACAGGCAAAACTGTCTCCAAAAAAAAAAAAAAAAAGGTTCAGTTCTCATAAACACAAATTTAATGAGCATTTTGAAGATCTCAAAATAAGTATTATATTTAATTAAACGTGTAATTAAGTATATACTGGTATGAATATCTACAAATAATTATTCATACTAATCTGAAAAACGTATGCATCATAATGTGTGTATATAATTGGTTGCTAGGGGATTTGTTTGTTCATTTTGCTGCAATAGATTTCTGTCTCTCGTCATATTCTGTTCAAGTACCTAAAATGATTGCTCACTTATTCGAAGCACACTAATGAAATAATACTCAGAGTAAAAGGATATATCACCCAGATTTTTCTATTAGAAGCTACACAATACTCAAAAATCTATCATTTAATATGTGTATGCAGGTCTAAAGCCCATAATAAGCAAAAATATATTTTCACGTTAAATGTATGGCTATTTACACTAGATGAGGTAAAGAAAGACTATAAATAGCTTCACATCTCGTTTTGTCACAGAATGAATGCAAGTCAGGCCAGGCTTTGCCGCCAAATGAGTTACAAAATTTTGGTTTTCAGAGTATTGTGAATTTTGGAATTGCAGAAAAGGATATGTGAAACTGTTTATAAACATGAGAAGATGTTTACAGATAGATGTTTTAGAAGTCAAATGAACAAATCTGAAGCAACAGACTAGAAATTCTATTCATGGAAATATGATAAAAATGCCAGTAAGAGGGCTGGGCGTGGTGGCTCACACCTATAATCCTAGCACTTTGGGAGGCCGAGGCGGGTGGGTCGCTTGAACTGGAGTCCGAGACCAGCCTGGGCAACATGGCGAAACCCCATCTCTACCAAAAATACAAAACCCCGTCTCTACCAAAAATACAAAAAATCAGTTGGGCATGGTGGCAGGTGCCTGTAATCCCAGCTACGGGGGAGGCTGAGGAAGGAGAATTGCTTGAACCTGGAAGGCAGAGGTTGCAGTGAGCCGAGATCACACCACTGCGTTCCAGCCTGGGCGACAGAGCAAGACTCCATCTCAAAATAAAATAAAATAAAATAAAATAAATTTTAAAATGCCAGTAAGGATCTCCATAAAGGCTATGTATGAAAACCTGACCATGTCACATCCATGACCCTATTACAGCAGGTCAGATTAATCTTACCCTAGTCCAGAGAACCACGGGAACCACTGAGTCCTAGTGGAGGGAAAGCCTGGAACAGATGTGAAGCAAGCTTGGCTTTTAGCAATTGAGAGTAAACAAACACCTGCTGAGTTTACTCTTCCTTGCCTGTCTTTCTAAGCCATCACTCTGAAGACCTAAAAAGCAGACATGACTCATACACACCTTCAGATGCTTTCAGTATTTGTTACACCTAGATCTGTGCAGAAACTGAATACCTTATTGGTGCATAATTTACAAAGAATTCTCACATTAGCTCTTCTAATTCTTTCTGTTGTTTCTATATGATAATATCTCCATTTGTCAGATAGGAAAACTGAAGCTCAGAAAGTTTGAATGAACTTCATAAGATCACACAGCCAATAAATACCAGAGCTTGGCCTCAAAGTCAAGTCTCAGGTCCTTCTGCCCTTCACTAACAGTGCTCCAGCCATGGTCGTCTGACTGCTGTTCTTTAAACTTCCTTAACTTTCAACTCAGAAACCAAACACACCCAGCTCCCTCTGCCTGGGCGTGGTGCTCTGTTCAGCCTCCTCACCCCACACCCATGTTGCTAACAGCTTAAATGGCACCTCCTCAGTAAAGCCTCCCCTGAATTCCCCAGACTTAGAACACTGTTTCCCCAATCCCACTAGCCACTCTCATATATGGCATACTGTAGTCATTGTTTTGTTTGTTTGTTTTTTAGAAAGAAAGAGAGAGAGAAAGAAAAGAAGAAACGAAAGAAAAGAAAAAAAGAAAAGAAAAGAAAATCAAAATCCATGTGGGTGTGGTGGCTCATGCCTGTAATCCCAGCACTTTGGGAGGCCGAGGCAGGCAGATAGCTGAGGTCAGGAGTTCCAGACCAGCCTGACCAATATGGTGAAACCCCGTCTCTACTAAAAATACAAAAATTAGCTGGGGGTGGTGGTGCATGCTAAAGGGAAGGGAAGGGGAAGGGGAAGGGAGAGAGGAAGGAAGGGAGGGAGGAAGGAAGGAAGGAACTTATCTCCGTCTGGGTAACATGAGGAGACCCTGTCTCTACCAAAAATTAAAAATATTAGCCGAGTGTGGTGGCATGAGCCTGTAGTCCCAGCTACTTGGGAGGCTGAGGCAGGAGGATCGATTTAGCCTAGGAAGTCAAGGTCAGTAAGCTGCGATCATGCCAATGCACTCCAGCCTGGGTGACAGAGAGAGACTCTGTCTCAAAATAAAAATAAAACCACAAAACTTATCTCAGTGGTAATTAAGGTAACTGTGGAATCGTGTATTTACATTTGCCTTCCTGACCAGACCATAAACTCCAGGAGGGCAGGGATTTTGACTATGTGGCTCATTTTATCCCACTAAAAGAGCTACATATTTTCTGACTCAGAGATGAGTTTCATTCCATTGTACAGAATGATCACACCAGTTTCCAAGTCTATTAATCTAGCGGTCTCTGTTGTTTGTTGAAGACCTACTAGGTATTGGTAAAATGGGTTGCTTTGTTCCATGGGCCATAATAGTGACACATTCTAAACACATTTAAGTCATTCCACCCTATAAGTTACAGGATAATAATAATAATAGCATTTATTTTACTATAACCAGTTTTGGGCTGTGTGTTTTACTTGGATTGTCTCACTTGCTCCTTATAGCATTCTCTGATATAGATATTAGTCTTCCCATTTACAAAATGGGAAAACTGAAACTCAAACATGTTTAATAATCTGCACAGTGTCTCACATGTAACAAGCCAACATGAGATTAGTGATTCCAAAGACCCTGCTCAGCCCAATGACAAGATGTGGAAAGCACCCTCAAGGCACCCAGGGGTCTCTCTCCCTGAGAGTCCTGTGCATATCAGCAATGCTGCTAAGGATTAAATCACTGCGGTTATCACTATGTGGGTAAGATTTCTGTTAGTAGAAGATCCAGAAGATTCACCCTGCCATAGAGCAGGGGGCCTTGGCTGAGCCATAGGCAGAATCACTCTCCAAAAAGACTTACCAGTGTTTATCTGAATATTTTCTTTTAGCAATAACTTTACTTACTTGCGTTATTTGTAGGTGCTGCCATTTTGCTGTCCATGATGCTACTATGCTCAGTACCCTTACTGTACTGCCCAGTAGCCCTTACCATTAGCAAACTAAAGCTTCCTCACCAGCATTAGACCTGGCAAGACCTCTGTGCATCCCCCACCACCCATGAGCATTTTGATAGCATTGCAAGTATAATCTCTGGTGCATGCACAAATTCTGCTCCACATAGCAGCGCTAATGGTGGCCCACATCGGGAATAGGAGTAGAGCAAGATGTTACCAGGAAGAGGGCCTTACTTCTCTTCTCTCTCTTCTCGCTGCTTTTTTGTTTGTTTGTTTGTTTGTTTGTTTGTTTTGTTTTGTTTTTTAGATGGAGTCTTGCTCCATTGCCCAGGCGAGTGTAGTGGCGCAATCTCAGTTCACTGCAACCTCTGCCTCCCAGGCCTGTCCCAGCCTCCCGAGTAGCTGGGACTACAGATGCCTGCCACCACGCCTGGCTAATTTTTGTGTTTTTAGTAGAGATGGGGATTCACCTTGTTGGTCGGGCTAATCTCAAACTCCTGACCTCAGGTGATTCACACGCCTTGACCTCTCAAAGTGCTGGGATTATAGGCATGAGCCACTATGTTCAGCCATTCGCTGCTCTTAAGAAAGTACTTTTCCAAAGATCATTCTCCTTGGTCTTATCTTAAGATCCTGCTATGAAATAGGGACACGGGTGGAAAATTTTCACCTGTGCCTGCAGCAAACTTTCATTCTGTCTGAATAATTATAAGTAGGATGGGGGAGGGGAGAAGAAAAAGAAAGAGACCATGATCTGAAGAACCTTAACTGTTCCCCTGTTATCCCTGGTTACTGTCAAGCAGCTAGCAGGCTAGGCTAGGTGGGGTATCTTCTTTAACTCTACTCCTGCATTAGCTGTTCTAAATCCTAGAACTCATGCCCTGTTTGAAATTTCTTTCCCTATGCCCAACTCAAGTGATGCCATCCTATTTTCTATTTTCCACCATGGGAAAAATGGAAAATAACAGGAGAAATGTATTAAGAAAGCATTCTTGAATTTGAGTTTGTTAACTTTTTTTTTTTTTTTTAACAGTCTTGCTCTGTCACCCAGGCTGGAGTGCAGTGGTGCAAGCTTGGCTCACTGCAATCTCCACCTCCTGGGCTTAAGCAATTCTTGTGCCTCTGCCACCTGAGTAGTTGGGATTATAGGCATGCACCACCACGCCCAGCTAATTTTTGTAATTTTAGTAGAGATGGGGTTTCACCATGTTGGCCAGGCTGGTCTTGAACTCCTGACCTCAAGTGATCCTCCCACCTCGGCCTCCCAAAGTGCTGGGATTACAAGCATAAGCCACCACCCCCGGCCTGAATTTGTTAACTTCTTACCAACATTTTACAAAGAAGATTGAAGGTAATGTGGGTTCTAAGACTGAAGAGTACAAGGTAAGCTGGTGGTTAATGGGGAGGAGGGATGATGGATGAACTGGTCAGGGAAGAGGATGAAATGGCTCAAAATAGAGGTACAAATAGAATGGGCTGGGCTCCTCCAACCATTCCTTGTGATTTTATTTTTACTTTTTTTTTTTTTTTTTTTGGTGGAGTTTCACTCTTGTTGCCCAGGCTGGAGTGCAATGGTGCGATCTCGGCTCACTGCAACTTCCACCTCCTGGATTCAAGTGAGTCTCCTGCCTCAGCCTTCTGAGTAGCTGGGAATGCAGATGCGATCTCGGCTCACTGCAACTTCCACCTGGGTTCAAGTGATTCTCCTGCCTCAGCCTTCTGAGTAGCTGGGAATGCAGGCGTGTGCCACCACACATGGCTAATTTTTTGTATTTTTAATAGAGATGGGGTTTTGTCATGTTGCCCAGGCTGGTCTTGAGCTCCTGACCTCAGATGATCCGCCCACCTCGGCCTCCCAAAGTGCTGGGATTACAGGTGTGAGCCACCGCGCCTGACCTATTTTTACTTTTTTAAAAGACAGGTCTCACTCTATTGCCCAGGCTGCTCTTGAACTCCCGGCCTCAACCAATTCTTCCTGCTCAGCCTCCTGAGTAGTTGGGACTACAGCACTCACAACTGTGCCTGACCCTTCTCTTAATTTTAACTCCTGAGTGATTTTCTTCTCTGGACCCCAAGGAGTCATGATATCTCTAAATTATATCCTGAAGTTATTTCAACTTTAGAAAATAAAGTTTTAGGCCTGGTTCAGTGGCTGACACCTGTAATCCCAATACTTTGGGAGGCTGAGGCAGGCAGATTGCTTGAGCCCAGGAGTTTGAAGCTAACATGGCAAAACCCCATCTCTATCAAAAAAAAAAAAAGAAGAAGAAGAAGAAGAAGAAAAGAAAAAAGGCTAGGCGCGGTGGCTCACACCTGTAATCCCAGCACTTTGGGAGGCTAAGGTGGGCAGATCACGAGGTCAGGAGTTCGAGAACAGCCTGACCAACATAGTGAAACCCTGTCTCTATTAAAAATACTAAAATTAGCCAGGTGTGGTGGTGGACACCTGTAATCCCAGCTACTCAGGAGGCTGAGGCAGGAGAATCACTTGAACCGGAGAGGCAGAGGTTGCAGTAAGCTGAGTTTGCGCCATTGCTCTCCAGCCTGGGTGACAGAGTGAGACACCATCTCAAATAAAAAAGAAAAGAAAAAAAAGATCTTGGAATGCTTTTTTTCTGCCTGTGTATTGATATTATTCTTAAGGGGCTCATAAGAAAACTAAATATATATATTTACATATATATATATATATAAAATCACCCAGGTTGGAGTGCAGCGGTGCAATCTCAGCTCACTGCAATATCTGCCTCCAGGGTTCAAGCAATTCTTTTGCCTCAGCCTCCCCAGTAGCTAGGATTTCAGGCATGCACCACCATGCCTGGCTAATTTTTGTATTTGAAGTAGAGACAGGGTTTCGCCATGTTGGCCAGGCTGGTTTTGAACTCTGGACCTCAAATGACCCTCCTGCCTAAAGTACTGGGATTACAGGGGTGAGCCACCATGCCTGGCCCAGAAAATATTATTGTTATTTAATATGACCTGCCATAACTACCATTAAAAGTAGTACAGGTGTGCAAAAGAAACTTATCTGGCTATGGCTGGGCGCGGTGCTCACGCCTGTAATCCCAGCACTTTGGGAGGCTGAGGCAGACTGATCATGAGGTCAGGAGATCAAGACCATCCTGGCTAACATGGTGAAACCCTGTCTCTACAAAATATACAAGAAAAAATTAACCGGGCATGGTGGCGGGTGCCAGCTACTCGGGAGGCTGAGGCAGGAGAATGGCGTGAACCTGGGAGGCGGAGCTTGCAGTGAGCAGAGATCGCGCCACTGCACTCCAGCCTGGGCAAGAGAGCAAGACTCGGTCTCAAAAAGAAAAGAAAAGAAAAGAAATCTTACCTGGTTGTAAGATTTTTTTCTCATTTAGTCAATAAATATTTATGGAATAGGGCAGTTTGGGATCACACACATGAGCTAAGCATGATGTCAGCCTTCATAGCTCCTACAATGTGGTATGGTGATTTTTTTTTCTTTTTGAGATGGGAGTCTCACTGTGTCAACCAGCCTCAAACAGTCCTTCCATCTCAGCCTCCCAAGTACCTGGGACTACAGGTGCATGCCACCATGCCCAGCTACTTTTTTGTATTTTTGATAGAAACAGGGTTTTGCCATGTTGGCCAGGCTGATCTCAAATTCCTTTCCTCAAGTGATCCGCCTGCCTTGGCCTCCAAGAGTGCTGGGATTACAGGCATGAGCCACTGCACCCAGCCAATGATTTTAAAACTGGAATACAGAAAGAGAAGAAGAAAGTCATGCTCCATCTTTATTATTTAAAAATCAGAACAGATACACATATTTGTTGTGAGCACTAATTAAAATATCCTTAAAGTTTCCTTACCTTGGAGTGGAATTATTTGCATATGTATACACATGATGCTGACTTTAGAAGAAAAGTTACAAGTTAAAACACGTTTGATTAATAAAAGAAAAAGAAATAAATTATACATAAATTTAGCTTTGTTGCTGAAAATCACCTCTCCAAACATAGAGTTCAGGTTGGGGCAAATAAAAAATTGCATAAAACAAAAAGGCTAAGAAATGGTACAAAAAACTCAGAGAACCACTACTTCACGTTTCCCAATAAAGCATCTTTTATATTTATAAAAGTTAAGCCTGCATATCTCTGCCCCCAATTGCAGCAGAAACACCTGAAAAAGAATGCCAGTCTGGTCTTGCTCTGACAATGGTTTTCTGACTGACCTTGAGCCTGTCACAACCCGTCTGGCCTCAATTTCATCAACTGTAAAATAAGAATAAAACTATTTGATATCTTTAACTCACATACTATTGTGAGAAATAAATACAATCATAGACAAATGTTTTCAGAATGTGAAAATGCTATAGGAACACACTTTTTCTCCAGTGGCTGGCATAAAAGTGTTGGTATGCTATACCACCAAGTCATTAGATATGAGTTAATTTCTGGATTACTGTTTCAGTAAGAATAAGCTCTACACAACTTCAGCAAGTGATGTTGGTATGTCATCCACAAAGTTCTATCACCCTATTCCATAGCATACCCCTGTTGAACTTCCCACATCCCTGTCTTCCCTTAGCTTCCTGTATCCAACCTCAGCGCAATAGCTCAGTTTGACCATTAGATGGTACCAGTTACAAGGCAAACTTAGGTCCCTTCAGAAACTGAGCATTTCTAAAAAGCAAATATTTTTTCAGGTTTGTTTGTAACTTAAACAACAAAAAAATCATTATTTTAAAGGCCATATGCTCACTGTGAAAATATATCAGGTGGTGTATGAAATAATAAGTAAATTATCTGCCGGGCGCGGTGGCTCACGCTTGTGATCCCAGCACTTTGGGAGGCCTAGGCGGGCAGGCAGATCACGAGGTCAGGAGTTGGAGACAAGCCTGGCCAACACAGTGAAACCCTGTCTCTACTAAAAATACAAAAATTAGGCCGGGCGCGGTGGCTCACGCCTGTAATCCCCGCACTTTGGGAGGCCGAGGCGAGCGGATCACGAGGTCAGGAGATCGAGATCATCCTGGCTAACACGACGAAACCCCGTCTACTTAAAAAAAAATACAAAAATTAGCCGAGGGTGGTGGCGGGCGCCTGAAATCCCAGCTACTCAGGAGGCTGAGGCAGGAGAATCGCTTGAACCTGGGAGGCGGAGGTTGCAGTGAGCTGAGATCACGCCACTGCACTCTAAGAGTGAAACCATGTCTCAAAAAAAAAAAAAAGTCAAAAATACTAATAAAAATACTAATCTCGTAGTTAACAGATTGCTGTGACCTAGAGCAAGTAAAGGTGTAATTATCAGCCTATAGGGGTTAGAGTGGCAAGAAGATGCCTGAGGGTGAGCCTACAGCCTAAAAGATAATAGAATACAAAGGCTGAAGACCTACAGGCAGGGATTCTTTGTCATTCATTCTTTCAGCAAACTTATTCTAATATGTATCCCTCACTATTCAATGCCCAGGAGGGCACAGGGAAAATAAGACGAAGTCCTGCCCTCACTGGCTAACATTCTAAGCACAGGTGCTGCACAAGAGGTGTTATGTTTTTTGGGGGAGCCAGACACAGGCCTAAGCACTTTATGTACCTTGTCTCATTTAATCCTCACATCAGCACCACGAGGTGACAGAATTATCATTTTGCAGTTAAATAAATTGATATTTCTTCATGGCCAGGTGCAGTGGCTCACGCCTGTAATCCCAGCACTTTGGGAGGCTGAGGCGGGTGGATCACCTGAAGTCGGAGTTCGAGACCAGCCTGACCAACATGGAGAAACCCCATCTCTACTAAAAATACAAAATTAGCCGGGCATAGTGGCGCATAGCCTGTAATCCCAGCTACTCGGAAGGCTGAGGCAGGAGAATCACTTGAATCCAGGAGGTGGAGGTTGCGGTGAGCCGAGATCGCGCCACTGCACTCCAGCCTGGGCAACAAGAGCAAAACTCCGTCTCAAAAAAAAAAAAAAAAAAAAGAGAGATTTCTTTAAGCTCTTTGCCTAGGGTCACAGGTCTTTCCACAGGACCGTAGACTAGAGTCAGATGTGTTCCTCAATCAATTAGGAAAGGGTGGTGCTGGAATTTGCATCTGAGTATTCCAAGCTTCTATATTCTCATATTCTGGAATGAGGATATTATGAGTCCTGAAACAACTCTAGAAATTCTAGGCTACATAATTATCCCTCCATAACGTGTTCTCTGCCAGAATAATAATGAAAAAAAAGTACTGTGGTGGCCAGACCCCAAGATGATTGGCGAAGTGAAAGTTGCCCAGTTCCAAAATGGCCACCACCGCACTTTCCTGGCGTCGGAGCGACTACGTAGTGACAGAAGGACCATCAGCAGGTGGGTGCTCACAGGGACTGTGCCAGTTGCCAAACTGGCCACCTGGGCCTTTCTTCTCCTGAGCAACAGCCAAGCAACATTATAGGCTTCAGGCCTACCTAGCCCAGGCTGGGTTAAAGCAGATAAACGAAGCGGACAGCGGAGGAAAAGCACGTAACCAAGTGCAGTGGGTCTGAAGCGAAAGGCAAGAAAAGCTCTGCCCTTAGGAACGGGGTGTCACTGCGCGGCTCGCAGGCACCTCTCTTTGACCTATTTATAATCTGCGCCTTATTCTCCGCCCCCAAAGGCTGCTGGCAACCAATTCTCGGTGGCGAAGTCGTGACGTCAGCTGTTGCGGGTCAGATTGGGAGAGCTTCCTGGTCCTTACCTAGCAAGATTCTGCCGCTAGGTGGCGAAAAGCGAAGGGGCCAAAGAAATGGAAAGAAGGCGAGGAAAAGCGGGAGAAGATGGGGAAGGAAAATGTATATTCTTGTATCATCCTACAGCTAGGCAAAAATATTAGGATAATGTGGCCTAACCTCCAGTTCTATGTTGGCTGGAAAATCCAGGAATGGGAAGCTCACTCCCGTAGTTCCCACTCATTCCCACCACGGTTGGACAGCTCTGAAGGAGGGAAAATTCTTTCTTTTGAGCTGAAATCTGCCTTCAGAGTCTTGCACCCAACTGTTCTACCCCACGGGGACCTACAGAACAGCCCAAAGCCTCTTACGCAGGACAACCCATAGCAGTTTGATTAAAATCAGCGCAAACCCATTCCCATTTGGTGAGGGGGGAGGGGGAGGGGCAAGCCTCAGTGCCTGACTCACTTGACTCACAAGAAGCTGAATGTTTTTCCTTTTGAAAGATAAAAATATTGGTGAATCTCAGACTAACAATAGGGAATACACAAAAATGGAAAAAATGTTGATAGATAAAATTTAAACCTTTGGTAGAACATAATTAGTTTTTTGTTCTCTACATTTTTCCATATCGTTTCTAATTTTTCTACACTGTATGTGTTACTTAAAGAAATAAACCAGTAGGCCAGGCGCGGTGGCTCACGCCTGTAATCCCAGCACTTTGGGAGGCCGAGGCGGGCGGATCACGAGGTCAGGAGATCGAGACCATCCTGGCTAATACGGTGAAACCCCGTCTCTACTAAAAAAATACAAAAAATTAGCCAGGCATGGTGACGCACCCCTGTAATCCCAGCTACTCAGGAGGCTGAGGCAGGAGAATGGCGTGAACCCGGGAGGCGGAGCTTGCAGTGAGCCGAGATCGTGTCACTGCACTCCAGACTGGGCGACAGAGCAAGACTCTGTCTCAAAAAAAAAAAAAAAAAAGAAAAAGAAATAAACCAGTATGGCCGGGCGCGGTGGCTCATGCCTGCAATCCCAGCACTTTGGGAGGACGAGGCGGGTGGATCACGAGGTCAGGAAATCGAGCCCATCCTGACCAATATGGTGAAACCTCGTCTCTACTAAAATACAAAAAATTAGCCGGGCGTGGTGGCGGGTGCCTGTAGTCCCAGCTACAAAGGAGGGTGAGGCAGGAGAATCCCTTGAACCCGGGAGGTGGAGGTTGCAGTGAGCCAAGATCGTGCCATTGCACTCCAGCCTGGGCAACAAGAGCGAAACTCCGTCTCAAAAAAAAAAAAGAAAGAAAAGAAAAAGAAATAAAGCAGTATGAAAGAGCAGCCCCTGGCTGCATTCACCACAGCACCCATGCTCACACATGCTACAGGCGCTCACTTGCTGGGAGCTGCCTCACATTGATTCGGATCAGTGTTCTCATTTCTCCGACCTACCTAGGAAGCATCTGGCTAAATTGATGTAAATTAGACATTTTATAGTCTATCGGTCATTGAGCCTCAGTGGAATATCTAGACCAATTTAAACACACAAATATTATGGGAAATAGGGCCACAAAAGTAGAAAAGAAAACGTGAATTCCTCTTTATATTTATGCCACTAGAGGGAGTTCCAGAAGAAAATCACTGCATGTAAGGGCTAATGACTGTATTTACTGAGTGGTTACTGTGTACCATTCACAGTTCACAGGGACTCATTCATGTCATTCTCATGATAACCCTGATGAAGTGGATGATATTATTCCCTCACTCACTAAGGAGAAAGCCAGGGTACAGTGAAGTATACAACTTTGTGCAGGGCAATTTATCAATATTTATTGAAATTACCAAAAAACATGCTCTCTGAACAAACTATTCTACCAGTGTAGAAAGCAGAGTAAACTTCATGGGTGAGTGACCAGGGCAGTCACACAAGGGCCCCATGCTTAGAAGGGATACTGTGTTTGGGTTCTAAAGCTCTGTGGTTCCTGTCTTGAAATTCTTAATAATTTTATCTTTCAATTTGTGTCTTATAATGAAGTCCGATGAGAAAGCAGAACATGGGCTAGAGACTTTTGGAGCCTGGCTCAAGCGAGGTCCTGCTCCCCATGCCTCCCAGCCTCCCCAGGACTGGTTTTCAGCTGCCGGCTCCACCACCTTCTGTGCAGGCTCGCTCCCAGCAGGGGCCTGGGAACAGTGGAAAGGAGGGGAGCGGTCAGGCATACACACCTCCCTTGCCAAATGGAAGGCATGGCCCTAGGCACTTGTGAAGATCTGCACTTCCCCCTAGGTACTCCTGTGCCTGGAGTGTGACATTAAATTAAAAAAAAAAAGGCCGGGCGCGGTGGCTCACGCCTGTAATCCCACCATTATGGGAGGCCAAGGCAGGCGGATCACGAGGTCAGGCGATCGAGACCATCCTGGCTAACACGGTGAAACCCCGTCTCCACTAAAAATACAAAAAAATTATCTGGGCATGGTGGCGAGCGCCTGTAGTCCCAGCTACTTGGGAGGCTGAGACAGGAGAATGGCTTGAACCCGGGAGGCGGAGGTTGCAGTGAACCGAGATTGCGCCACTGCACTCCAGCCTGGGCGACAGAGCGAGACTCCATCTCAAAAAAAAAAAAAAAAAAGAAAAGAAAAAAACCCCACATAATAGGTTGACAGTGGAACCACAGAAAAAAGGAAAAGGTTGGGTTTTTTTTCTGCTTTTTATTTTCTATTTTATTATTTTTTAATAGATTTATTTAACTAGAGATGGGGTCTCACTATGTTGTAAAGGCTGGACTCGAGACCCTGGGCCCGAGCGATCCTCCAACCTGGTCCTCCCAAAGTGATGGGATTACAGGCGTGAGCCACTGCACCTGGTCTTTTCCTGCTATTAAACAAGGAGCTCCATAGTTTCATTTTGCCCCTCAAAATATGTAGCTGGCCTTAGTAGACTGATATTCATTGCCAAATTATATGTAAGAGCAAAAAGGTTGAAAATGATGGCCTGACATTGATCAATTTGTGCCTTTAGGTAACATATAACTGTAATATAACTGCAATACAACTAGAATATAACTCATAAAGGCAAGAATCTTGTCTGCCTTGCTGAAAGTTTTATAATCAGGGCCTAATATAAAGTATGACACATAGCACTTGCTTTTAAATATGTATTGATTTAAATTAATTGAGTACATTTTTGCTTCATCCTAGTAAAAATAGGTATTTAAAAAACTGAAACAGTCTAAATGTCTTGGGATGCTACTTAAATAACTATATTATATTCATCCAATAAAATATTGTAAGCTGTTTAAAAATAACAAGGATGTTCTTTAGGTACTGATAAGGAAAGAGCTTCAAGATAAATTGTTACCATTTATGTAAAACAGGTGGGAGAAGGGAGAGGGAGGGATGTGTGAGCGCTACTTGCAGTACTCACAGGCAGTGACTTTCGTGGAGCGCCCTCTAGTGGTATATATATACAAACGGAAGGATTTAGAGAAAATACAGATCGGCTTTAGCTGGCTGAGATTTATTTTCAAAGCATGTTACTTTATAAGAATCAATTTTTATTTAAAAAATTTTTTTGAGATAGGGTCTCACTCTGTCGCACAGGTTGGAGTGCAGCAGCACGATCAGTGCTCACTGCAGCCTCTCTCTCTTGGGCTCAACAGGTGCATGTCACCACGTCCAGCTAACAATCAATTTTCAAAAGTACAAAAAAGCCATATTATGTATTAATGTGGAATTATGAATTAAGTAGACAACAAGAATCAAAACAGGGTGTCTATTATCACTTCTGATAACATAAATAATGTAAAGATACATATTTTACAGATTATCTGTAAAAGCTTATACAGTACTGTTGCTGGGTATTTATGTAGGAAAGCTACCATTTATTGAATGCTTACTATTTCACATATGGACAGCATAGAGCATGTTAAAAAATTACCACACACATTTACTGTATTCAATGTGTCACTCTGAATATATTACTGTGTACATGGTCTGTCATTGGACATGGTGAGAGATGCAGATTAAGCTGAAATTACTGAGGACAGCAACACTGGAAGAAAATTGAGCTGGGTGTAGTGGCTCAGCCTGTAATTCCAACATTTCAGAAGGCTGAGGCAGGAGGATCACTTGAGTCCAGGAGTTTGAGACCAAGGGAAAGAAAAGAAAAGAAGCTTTCATTTAGCCAGGCATGCTGGCACATACCTGTAGTTTCAGCTACTCAGGAGGTTGAGGCATAAGGTTCACTTAAACTTGAGAGGTAAAGGCTGCAGTGAGCCCTGATCACGCCACTGCTCTCCAGCCTGTGACAGAGAGAGACCCTGTCTCAAAAACGAGAAAGAAAGAAAAAAAGAGGCAACTCAAGAACTCAGGAATACTTGCAGGATCTCATAACATATGCTATACAAAATCAATTAAAATAATATTTAAATGCTGAAAGAAATGAGCAGCTCCCAGGGTGATACAGGGTGGTTTCACTTCTTGGACACATCTACACTGAGCTCTATTCCTGGCAATACCTGATGTTCCCATACCCCAGATTTCTTTATTTTATTTTGAGACGGAGTTTTGCTCTTCTTGCCCAGGCTGGAGTGCAATGGCGGGATCTTGGCTCACCGCAATCTCCGCCTCCTGGGTTCAAGGGATTACCCTGCCTCAGCCTCCCGAGTAGCTGGGATTACAGGCGCACGCCACCATGCCCAGCTAATTTTTGTATTTTTAGTAGAGGCAGGGTTTCTCCATGTTGGTCAGGCTGGTCTTGAACTCCCAACCTCAGGTAATCTGCCCGCTTCGGCCTCCCAAAGTGCTGGGATTACAGGCGTGAGCGGGCCCAGCCCCTATACCCCAGATTTCTGCAAGTGGCAACACCACTGGCTTCATTTTGCTGGTGGCCCCTCTGGCCTTCCCTTGTATATATCACCTTTGCCCAAAGACCATGTCAGCCAAGGGACTGCTCTCACAGCTCCAGGAATCCTCCCCTTTCAGGAAATTTGAGGCAGTTGAGGGCATGAAAGTAAATAAGCTGAGCTCATCAGAGGCCTTGTATTGTGGTGGTTAAAAGAGCCAGTTCTAGGACTAGAAAGCCTGGCTTGAAATCCCAGCTCTGCCACTCCCTAGTGGTGTGACTTTAGCAAGTTCCTTTACCTCTTTTGTACCTCCCTTTTCTCACCTGTAAGATATGGGTGATAATAGTTTAATATTTGTTTTGTTGTTGTGAGGATTAAAGGTGTTAATGCAAGTAAACCACTTAGAACCACAGCACATAGAATATCTCAGTAAGGTGGTTAGTTTTTTTTATTGTTGTTTTCAGAGATGCTGTGATTTCTCCAAAGTGGCTGTGATGGCTCGGCAGGCTCCTGACCCTCTCTGCTCCCACATGCCTCCACCCTCATCCTGATCTCCCATCCAGCTTTTGACAGCTTGCTTGGTGCTGGACAATTGCACACATCTTACCACCCCCAAATCCTGCCCAGAAGCATCTTGTGCATAACTCTCCTACCTGAATATGCAACAGGGAGAAAGAGCGTCCCAGGACATTTTAGGTTTTTGAAGAAAAAAAAACCCCTTTGGTAAAAAGCCAGAGATCCACAGCGGCCACTTTTTCCATGGGATTGACCCCTGCAATCTTGACTTTCAACCACACAGCACCAGAGTAGCCAAACATTGCTTGTGTCCAAACGCTGGCTGCCTTGAAGGGTGAAAGAATAAGCAGTTCCCAAACTCAGCTGACCTTAATGTCCTTCTAGCTCCTTACGCCCATCTCGGACAAAAGCAGAAATGTATGTCTCAGTTGTGTTTCTACCCCTTGCTGCCCAATATAAATTTTTGTGTTGCCCAATATAATTTTTTGTGACGATGGAAATGTTCTGTATTTGTGTTGTCTGATGAGATAACCACTAACTGTAGTGCTATTGAGCATTTGAAACATGGCTAGTGTAATCAATGAACCAAATTTTTAATTTTATTTAATTGTAATTAATTTTAAGTGGCCACATGCAGGGAGTGACTGCTGCATTGGACAGCACGGCTCTAAATTGAGCCTTTTTTCCTTATTTGGTGAGGCATACTTGCCTTAAGATTGGGAAGTCTATTTTTGGAACCTGCTACCAATGCTGGTCTCACACTTGCAATTCTCAGCTGAGCCAAGAGGTGAGAGAAAGGTCATTTTCCATTCCAGATCTCACTCTCCCCTGTGACACTGAGGAAACTGGCAAGTGATGTGAAGGCTGGAGAGCGTGTCCTGTATGCTGGCTCTGTCCCTTCTGCCTGTGTTGACTGACATAGTTAGTTGCTGCCCTTGCTGGTCTCCCTTCCTCCAACCTTGCCTCTCTGAGCACACCTGACATTCATCTCATGACTTCCCTAAAAACATTCTTTGGGAACAAGAAACTAACAAATCCCAAGTGACCTATCACATATACAAACATACAGGGCAGAGTTTGGATTCGCGGTAGAAGAAAGGGAGGTTAGACATTAAGAAGAATGGTCTGGTGATGACAGTTGTGAGATAATAGAAACAGGAAAAAGAAATCTAAGTTTTCTTTCTTTTTTTAAGAACCAATAATAATTTCTCTCTTTTGACTAGTCAGTAGGGCTGGGGTGGATTGGAGGAAGCTTACATATTCCATGAACAAGCCTCTTCCTAAGGTCCTGTAAGTGATCCTGCCCCACTGATTAGCCCCTAGAAGACCCTTCAAAGGTTGGATCTCCAGGAGGGAGTGGGGGAGGAAAGCCCTGTACCAGGCAGCCTCTGCTCCATTGCTCTGGGGGGGTGGGGAAGGCAAACCCTGGTCATCCCCTCAGTCTGTAGCCCTTTTGTGTGAGTGCCTGGCAAGGGTGACGTGGGGCTGTTTCTGCGGGCACAGCTGCAGCAATTACCGGAGTGGAGGCAGGGCCCAGGCAGCACTGCCCTCCAAGATCTTCCCTTGGGCTTTTCAGCAGTAAGGGGACATGCACCCCAAGGGCCTCCACTTGGCCTGACCTTGCTGCGGGGGCTCTCTGTCCCCAGGAACAGTAGAGATGGCAAGCTTATCAAGACCCTCTCTGCCCAGCTGCCTCTGCTCCTTCCTCCTCCTCCTCCTCCTCCAAGTGTCTTCCAGCTATGCAGGTAAGACATGTTTTTTTTCCTGCCCTGGGGAGACCCTGAAAACAGAAAGGCTAGTTTCCTGGGGCTTAGCTCCTTCAAACATCCTCAAGTTGCTATATTATCTTTCTAAAACATAGACCTACTGACATGCCTCCCTTCCTCAGAAACCTTCCGTGGGTGGTTCTTACAGCCTTCAAGATGGAGTCCAGACTCTTTTTTTTTTTTGAGACAGAGTCTCCCTCTGTTGCTCAGGCTGGAGTGCAGTGGCATGATCTCGGCTCACTGCAACCTCAGCCTCCCTGGTTCAAGCGATTCTCCTGACTTGGCCTCCCAAGTAGCGGAGACTACAGGCGCCTGCCACCACACCCAGCTAAATTTTTTCTTTTCTTTTTTTTTTTTTTTTTTTTTGTATTTTAGTACAGACGGGGTTTCACATGTTGGCCAGGATGGTCTCGATCTCTTGACCTGCTGATCCGCCCGCCTCAGCTTCCCAAAGTACTGGGATTATGGGCGTGAGCCACTGCACTAGGCCTAATTTTTTTATTTTTAGTAGAGATGGGGTTTCACCATGTTGGCCAGGCTGGTCTGGAACCCCTGACCTCAAGTGGTCTGCCCTCCTCAGCCTCCCAAAGTGCTGAGATTACAGGCATGAGCCATTGCGTCTGACCCAGACTCCTTAATGTGACTAACTCAAGGCTTTCCTTGAACTACTTCTTACTTGTCTTTCCAGCTTTGTCTTTTCACCTCTCAAATTGAGATAAAATAATAACAACCTCTTGGAGTTCTCATCAGGATTACATGAAATGAGATATGTAACATGCTTAGCAGTGCCTGTCCATAGTAAATCTCAATAAATGTTTGTGGAATTATAATATCTTGTCATGTTTGAGACTTTGCTCTGCATAATCAGGCACCAGTAGGTTTTTATAAAGGAACCCGGCTGTCACGTGCAGAGGAGAAATAAACAGAAAGTTTCCCATCCTCAGGGAGCCACCTGACTGACAGAGGCACAGTGCATCCACTCTCCAGGTCTAGGGGAGAAAGCAGCCTTATTTCTTAGTAGCTCAGAATCTGACTTGAGAAACACATCCACATAGAAAAAAACAAGGAACTTTTTCGGGTCAGGGTCCGGGAGCCACAGTGAGGTGGAAGATACAGGGGAAGGAAGAGGGAAATAGAGCCATCCCCAGGGTGGAAGATCTCAGAAGAGAATTTGGGAAACAAGGTATGAACAAGGACTGAATAGTGAGAAGTGATGGAGAGACAGTTAAAGTAGATGGAGTGACAAAAGCAAAACCTCTAAGGGTAGAATAGGCAGCAATTTGGCCAAGTCCTAACAGGGAGGCCCATAGGAGGATTCAACCTCAAGATGCTGTGCCACATTCCAAGAGGGAACCTAAAGGCTGGGCTGAAGAGTCAGAGATGGCTACAGCTGGCAAAAAGATGGGCAGATGCTGAGAGGAGATGATTGCTAAAATGTTCTGTCCAGGACATTCACAGTATCTCTATAACCAGAGTCTTTTTTGTCGTTGTTGTTCTCAAGAAGGAAACTTGAGGCCGGGTGTGGTGGTTTATGCCCATAATCCCAGCGCTTTGGGGCCAAGGCAGGCGGATCACCTGAGGTCAGGAGTTCGAGACCAGCCTGGCCAACAGTGTGAAACCTCATCTTTACTAAAAATACAAAAATTAGCTGGATGCGGCGGTAGGTGCCTGTAATGCCAGCTACTCGGGAGGCTGAGGCAGGAGAATCACTTGAACCTGGGAGGCGGAGGTTGCAGGGAGGCGGAGGTTGCAGTGAGCCAAGATTGCACCACTGCACTCCAGCCTGGGCGACAGAGAGTAAGACTGTCTCAAAAAATAAATGAATAAATAAAAAGGAAGAAGAAGAAGAAGAACAATTGCAATCCTCCCTGGCTCTAGAATGTCATTTAAAAGTCGAGTGTCTTCTTCCTTCCCTGTTTTGAAGCAGCCCTTCTCATGACAGGCTTGCTTGCCAAGGTTCCCTCTGACCTTAAATCTCTTCCTTTTGGTGTCTTGGACAGGGCAGTTCAGAGTGATAGGACCAAGACACCCTATCCGGGCTCTGGTCGGGGATGAAGTGGAATTGCCATGTCGCATATCTCCTGGGAAGAACGCTACAGGCATGGAGGTGGGGTGGTACCGCCCCCCCTTCTCTAGGGTGGTTCATCTCTACAGAAATGGCAAGGACCAAGATGGAGACCAGGCACCTGAATATCGGGGCCGGACAGAGCTGCTGAAAGATGCTATTGGTGAGGGAAAGGTGACTCTCAGGATCCGGAATGTAAGGTTCTCAGATGAAGGAGGTTTCACCTGCTTCTTCCGAGATCATTCTTACCAAGAGGAGGCAGCAATGGAATTGAAAGTAGAAGGTGAGTAGTGCCATATAATATTAGGTATTAACTGTTGGGTGGCCAAGAACAATTATTCTCTCAACTGAGATGAGATCCCTCAACCCAAACATCTCAGTCCTGGGAATGATTTCCATAAAAATGTACACATCAATAAACAGAAACTCATGCTTAGGGATGTCTGTTGCATCATTATTCAGAGTAGCAAGGAAATTGGGATCAAAATCAATGCCTTTGAGTAGGTAAGTGACAGAATGAACAATGGTAGCCATACTGTGAATATTATGCAGGCATTAAAAAGATTATTTTAGCACTAGGCCAGATGGTTTGGAGGCCTTCTATAAGGTATTATTGAGTGATAAGAGCAAGCTGCTGTAGGATACAAAAACAAAAACAAAACCCTAGGGCATGGTGGTTTGCCTCGCAGCTACTCAGGAGGCTGAGACGGGAGGCTGGCTTGAGCCCAGGGGTTTGCAGTTACAGTGAGCTATGATTGCACCACTGCACTCCAACCCGGGTGACAGAGCAAAGACCTTCACCCCCACTCCCTACCCGTCTCTAAAAAAAACAAAAACAAAAACAAAAAAACCCTTGGGCCCAGCGCCGTGGCTCACGCCTGTAATCCCAGCACTGTGGGAGGCCGAGGTGGGCAGATCACAAGGTCAGGAGATCGAGACCATCCTGGCTAAAACGGTGAAACCCCGTCTCTACTAAAAATACAAAAAAAAAAAAAAAATTAGCCAGGCATGGTAGCAGGCGCCTGTAGTCCCAGCTACTCGGGAGGCTGAGGCAGGAGAATGGCGTGAACCCGGAAGCGGAGGTTGCAGTGAGCCAAAATCCTTCCACTGCACTCCAGCATGGGGGACACAGCGAGACTCCGTCTCAAAAAAAAAAAAAAAACCCTGTATTTGTGAGCGCACACACACACACACACACACACACACCTGTGCTTGGTCCTAGTGAATAAGCAAGTAAATCAAATGTCTAAATATAATTATAGAAAGGAGATGTCACTTTTTGGCTGTACCTCCACTATTTCATTCTGCAGAATTGCAGAATTTCTTTTTTTTTTTCCTTTCTTTCTTTTCTTTTTTTTTTTGACACAGAGTCTCGCTCTGTCACCCAGGCTGGAGTGCAATGGCGCCCTCCGCCTCCTGGGTTCAAGTGATTCTCCTGCCTCAGCCTCCCGAGTAGCTGAGATTACAGGTGCCCACCACCACACCCAGCTAATTTTTGTATTTTTAGTAGAGACAGGGTTTCACCAGGTTGTCAAGGTTGGTCTCAAACTCCTGACCTCAGGTGATCCACTCGCCTCAGCCTCCCAAAGTGCTGGGATTACAGGCATGAGCCATGGTGCCCGGCCTCAGAATTTCATTTTCAACATGTTTTGCATGATGGGTGATTTTGGAGAATATTTTTTGCTCTATCGCAGGATGATTAAGATGTGGACAAGGTGAAGCCGATGGAGGGGGAGCTTTGAAAGTTACTTGCTATTTAATTGAGGAACTAAACTGCTTTGAGAGCCTGGGGGTCAGATCCTCTGCCTTTTCCTCCTCCCCACCTGCAGTGCAAACATCAGACAATTGATCACTATTGTATCTTGGAGGTGGGAGTGACCATTGCAGTGCTGGGACCAGAAGATGGCATTGTATGTGGAACAACAAAGCACTATTTCTAGAGACTGCCTGCAGGGATATGGAAATAGCTTTATGTGTCTCAGAATGTTCTTCATACAGCTGTTTTTATTGGGGAAATTCTACTTGCCGAAAAGTTTGATAGTGAGACCCTCTCCAGTTTGCAGATTTTTCTCCTTCCTGCTCAACAACTTCCTAGCTCAGTAACTGCCTCTCCCAACAAACTCCCTCAGTTTCACCACACCAAAAAAGGAAGACAAGCCGGTTGCGGTGGCTCACACCTATAATCCCAAAACTTTGGGAGGCCGAGGCGGGTGGATCACCTGAGGTCGGGAGTTCGAGACTAGCCTGACCAACATGGAGAAACCCTGTCTCTACTAAAAACACAAAATTAGCCTGGCGTGGTGGCGCATTCCTGTAATCCCAGCTGGGAGGCTGAGGCAGGAGAATCGCTTGAACCCCGGAGGCGGAGGTTGCAGTGAGCCAAGATCGTGCCATTACACTCCAGTCTGGGCAAGAAAAGTGGAACTCCATCTCAAAAAAAAAAAAAAAAAAAAAACAAGGAAGACAAAAAGAAAAGCAGCTAAAGACTTTGCCTCAGGGGAGAAAGTTCTCTTTTGGGTTGCTATCCACATTCCAACCTCCTGTTCCCACCTCTTCGTCTGCATGCCTAAGAAACTGTTTTACAAGTAAATAAGGGACGCTTTGTCTAGGCTTTGGAGCCAGGAAGTTGAGACAAATTTAGGAATGAGATGAAGTAATGGTATTATTGCAAGTCTCAGGTGTAACTACCTCTGCTCTTTCTCTGAAGAGTTTCTAATTTCTCTTGTTTACTTATTTTTTTCTTGTCATTTTTGTGATTTTATTACTAGTTGTCTCTAATCCTTTCTTTAAATTCTTCATTATGAAACATAAAAACAAATGCCAGGCGCGGCAGCTCACGCCTGTAATCCCAGCACTTTGGGAGGCCGAAGCGGGCAGATCACCCGAGGTCAGGAGTTCGAGACCAGCCTGATCAACATGGAGAAACCCCGTCTCTACTAAAAAATACAAAATTAGCTAGGCGTGGTGGCACATGCCAGTAATCCCAGCTACTTGAGAGACTGAGGCAGGAGAATCGCTTGAACCGGGAGGCAGAGGTTGCGGTGAGCCAAGATCGCGCCATTGCACTCCAGCCTGGGCAACAAGAGCAAAACTCTGTCTCAAAAAAAAAAAACCACATACAAACCAGAGATAATATTATAATGAGCCTCCAAGTGCCTACCACCTTGCTGCAGCACTTGTCAATCCAGGGACCACCCACCTCACCGGCTCCCCACTCATTACCACCCTCCCCTACTCAATTACTGAGGTAAATCCTAGGCAGCATGATCATTTCTTTTTTTTCTTTTTATTTATTTTGAGACAGGATCTGTCTCTGTCACCCAGGCTGGAGTGTAGTGGCATATCTCTGCTCACTGCAGCCTCTGCCTCCCGGGCAGAAGCCATCCTCCCACCTCAGCCTACATAGTAGCTGGGACCACAGGCACACACCACCACACACTGCTAATGTTTTGTATTTTTTGTAGAGACTGGGTTTTACCATGTTGATCAGGCTGGTCTCAAACTCCTAGGCTCAAGCAATCCTCCCACCTCGGCCTCCCAAAGTGCTAGAATTACAGGCGCGAGCCACTGCACCCAGCGAAGAACACTTTTTAAAAAATAAATAGGCCGGGCGCGGTGGCTCACACCTGTAATCCCAGTACTTTGGGAGCCCAAGGAGGGCGAATCATGAGGTCAAGAGATTGAGACCATCCTAGCTAACATGGTGAAACCCCATTTCTACTACAAATACAAAAACAAAATTAGCCTGGCGTGGTGGCAGGCGCCTGTAGTCCCAGCTACTTGGGAGCTGAGGCAGGAGAATGGAGTGAACCCGGGAGGCGGAGCTTGCAGTGAGCTGAGATCATGCCACTGCACTCCAGCCTGGGGCAACAGAGTGAGACTCAAAAAAAAAAAAAAAAAAGCCCCCCCTCCCCACACACAATAATATAAATAAATAAATAACCACAATACTATTATCACATCTTACAAACTCAACAAAAATTTCTTAATATCATCAAATACCCAGTTTGTGTTCAAATTTTCCTGATTGTTTCATAAATATACTCTTACAGTTGGTTTCTTTTAGCGAGATTCAAATGAGACCCACCTGTTGACCTTTGCCCTTAGGGTTTCCCAGGGTCTGAATTTTGTTGACGACATTCCCATGTTGCTATGTAATACGGTCCTCCATGCCCTGTGTTTTTCTGTAAACTGATAGATGTGGAGGTGCAATGACATTTGTGTTTGATTTACTTTGGCAAATATAGTTCATCAGTGATACTCTATACTTCTTGTTGCTTTACATCCGGAGGCTGATAATGTCTGCTTTTCTCTCTTTTCTAATTATTTGTGAAAGGAAAAATGTGGGGGGTTGGGAGAAAAAAACCCTTAAGTACATACTCGCTAAATCACATTGCTACAGGTAACTTCCATTAAGAACTTGAAAGTAAAGGTAGCTGCATTTTCCCCTAGGGAACACAATGATAGACAGGAGCCTTAGTCTACAGCTTGAAGGATTGTAATTATACCTAAGCAACCCTCCTGGACCAGTTTAATGTTATTAGCTGTGATGTATCCCTACCTTTGATGTCATTATCCTTACTCAGCTCCCTTAAAGCAGAGATCAAGATGAAAAGGGCTTCAGCTGCAGCATGGCACATGGAGATTAGAGTGGGGCTTTTGGATGCTGAGGAGCAGACCTAGAATGGGAAATAGATGGGAGCCACAGAAGTGAAGGTCCCCCTCCCTCATTGCTCAACCTACTCCACATCTCCAGGTCTGCACATCTGTTCAGTTACTGAATCCTGTGTAAGCTACCTTCTTTTTCTTTTTTCTTTTATTTATTTATTTATTTTTTTTTTGAGATGGAGTTTTGCTCTTGTTACCCAGGCTGGAGTGCAATGGTGCAATCTCGGCTCACTGCACCCTCCAACTCCCAGGTTCATGCAATTCTCCTCCCTCAGCCTTCCAAGTAGCTGGGATTACAGGCTGCACCACCATGTCTGGCTAATTTTTGTATTATCAGTAGAGAGAGGGTTTCACCATGTTGGCCAAGCCGGTCTCGAACTCCTGACCTCAAGTGATCCACCCACCTTGGCCTCCCAAAATGCTGGGATTACAGGTGTGAGCCACCATGCCCGCTGTAAACTACCTTCTTAAAAGCTCTAGAAGAGGGCTCTTAACCTTTTGTTGTGTGTCATGCACCTTCCGCAAGCTGATGAAGTTGATAGACCCATCTCAGAATTTTTTTTTTTTTTTTGAGACAGTGTCTCACTCTGTCACCCAGGATTGGTTGCAGTGGCACGATCATGGCTCATTGCAGCCTCCACCTCCCAGGCTCAAGTGATCCTCCTGACTCAGCCTCTTGAATAGCTGAGACCACAGGCTTGTGTCACCATGCCCAGGTAATTTTTAATTTTTTTTCGTAGAGGCAGGGTCTCACATTATGTTGCCCAGTCTGGCCTCGAGAACTCCTGGGCTCAAGCAATCTTCCTGCCTTGGCCTCCCAAAGTGGTGGGATTACAGGGGAGAGCCACCACACCTAGCCAGAAGAATGTTTTAAATACACCAAATAAAACATTTATACCAAAATACAGTTATCAAAATATTAAATTAACAAGAGTTAGGGTGACCCTATTAATTAGTGTAATTTCAAAATAGTAATGAACATAAGTGATAGTTTGAGATTTCTGTGACTTTTCTAATGTGACGTGAAAATATTTGTGATTTTTCTTTTTCTTTTTTTTTTTTGAGATGGAGTTTCGCTCTTGTTGCCCAGGCTGGAGTGCAATGGCAAGATCTCGGCTCACCTCAACCTCCGCCTCCTGGGTTCAAGCGATTCTCCTGCCTCAGCCTCTTGAGTAGCTGGGATTACAGGACTGTGCCACCACGTCCAGCTAATTTTGTATTTTTAGTAGAAACAGGGTTTCTCCATGTTGGTCAGGCTGGTCTTGAACTCCCAACCTCAGGCGATCCGCCCGCCTCGGCCTCCCAAAGTGCTGGGATTACAGGTGTGAGCCACCGCACCTGGCCAATATTTGTGATTTTTATTGACGACAAAGTCAAAGGTTCTCTTCATATTATTGTGGTGTATCGCCTACAAGCATAATTAAAATAAACACTAAATTTCAGTTTAAAGTTTACTGAAAATAAATATGTATTTTTTATTCCCTATTTAAGCTTTGAATCCCCTGACTTCCTATACCATTACCACTGTCCTAGTTCAGGTTCATGTTGTTTTTTACTTTAATTGTTATCACAGTCTCTTAACATTTCTCCCTATGTTCTCCAGTCCTGTAGGTGCTAAATCTGACGTGGTCACTTCTCAGCTTGGAATCCTTCAGTGCACCACCACAGCCTTGAACTACATATTTGAAATACATATTTATTTTCAGTAAACTTTAAACTGAAATTTAGTGTTTATTTTAATTATGCTTGTAGGCGATACACCACAATAATATGAAGAGAACCTTTGACTTTGTCGTCAATAAAAAGTCCCTTGAGGGACTTCAGATGTAAGTCCCTTAGCTGCTCGTTAAAACTCCCCCAGCCTGACCCAATACACAATCTTGACTTTAAACCACTTGTCATTCTAAATCACTAGCATTTCCTGGAAAAAAAAGCCATTTTTCCTTCAGGGCTAAGCTCAGGGACCAATTCTGTGTCACCTTCTTTGAATCCTGATGATATTCACTTCTTTATTTGACCTGATTTATTGGGCCCCAGACACCATGCTGAGTGTTGGGGATTCAGCTCTGGACAATGTCAAATGTCAGTCCTGCCTTTCAGATCCTTTCTACTGGGTGAGCCCTGGAGTGCTGGTTCTCCTCGCGGTGCTGCCTGTGCTCCTCCTGCAGATCACTGTTGGCCTCATCTTCCTCTGCCTGCAGTACAGACTGAGAGGTACAGGGCAGAGGGTGGGTGGATCAGGATCCTTTCTTTAAATGAGCTGGCTTCTTGGAGCTACACCACTTAACATGTATTTGTGAGTGACTTCTGGGTTCAGAAGTTCTTCTCACTATTGAGTGATAAAGAAAAAAAATAACTCCATGATGAAAGAGTTTTACATCTTACGGAATGCTTTCATATGAATAATCGGACCTAGCATTTCCCTATGAGCTAACTATGCCATATAGTAACCCCATTTTACAGAGGATACAACTGAGGCCAGGAGTAGTTCAGTGACTTACTCAAACCGATATAACTTATAAGTGGTAGAGCTGAGGCCTCTGTATCATACCTAGCAGCTCCATGCAACTTGGGAGAGTGTGAGCTTCGAAGTCAGACAGGTCTAGGCTATTAGGAGTTTTGAATAAAGATACTGAAGTGAAAGTCTCTACCACACAGTAGGCGTTCGAAAATTGTTTCCTCTTTCTCCATTCAACACTGAGGACTCAGGTTCAGCTGCTGATGAAGCTCCTCTTTTTTGCCTAGAGCTTTCATTCTGAGCCTTCTCCTCCTACCAAGTGTCTCCCCAATGCCAGAGCAGGAAGAGTCTTCACTCCTCCCCATGCCCCACCTCCCATTTGTTACTAAGAGGAGAGGAGAAAGTAGCAAGGAGGGTATGGGGAATGTTCTGGGGGAATGGGTGTTGGTGCGATCAACAACAAAGTCCTTTCTCTCACCTTGAATTCATCCCAGATGCCTGCTTGTTTACTTCTTCCACACAAAAAAAGGCCTTCAGCCCTCATGGCTGAGCAGAAAGAATCTGAATGTTAGAGTCAGGCAGCCTGGGTTTGAATTCCATCTCAGGTACTGAACTCTATAGCAAAATTCTTAGATTCTCCAAGCTTCAGTTGCCTTGTCTGTCAAATAGAGAAAACATCCTTCGTCCTAAATTGTAGGGAGGATTAAAGTCATGCAAAGTGCCTACTACAAATCCAGTCACAAAGTAGCTAGCTACTCACTAAATGTTCAGCTCCTCCCTCCTCATTCAGATGGGAAGTGGCTTTAGATAAACAAAGTGGCAACGCAGTGGGCTGGAGCAGCTCTGTGAACTGAGAATCCAAGAAAAGGGGCGAAGAGCAGCTGGGATGTATTGGATGCTTGTGCTGGCTTGGAGCATTGCTCACATTCTTTATTCGCTATTGTATCTAGACTATAGCTAGAGAAAGAGCCGCAACCATTGGCTTTAAATCCAGTGCTCTTCCTACTCTCCTGAGGTTGTTTCCAGGCTGCAGAGAAATAGCCTGCACAAGGGGCCCAGGCGCTGGGTGTGGGAGGGTCCCCACCGAGAGCCAGAACATGCAGGAACTAAAATGTTGCCTTTTTCTATTTTAGGAAAACTTCGAGCAGAGATAGGTGAGTTCCAGTCATCGTTTCTCCCAATTCTTGCCTTTTGGTTTTTTGGCATAACGGAAATGGTCCCGTTCTTGGACCGTCTCTCCCTCTCAATACCCTGTTTTCCCCTCAGTTTCCCTTTCTCTACAGTGGGTGTGTCGTGCCTAGAACAAGTTTTAAGTAATTAAATAACAAAGACTCAGGATAAAAGATCCTTTTTGAGTGCCCTACTAAATCCATTTCCATTTGTTTCTCTTTCAGAGAATCTCCACCGGACTTTTGGTAAGTTCCGGCATGTCTAGGCCCTCCCAGGTCAACTTGGTATTTCACTCTAGTTCCAGTCACCTGGGGGAACAAGGACCCCTGGCTCCTGGTTGAGTCCCTTCCTCTCTTCTCTTTTCTTTCTTTAAATAAGAAGTCATTTGCATTTAGGATTGGTAAAATCATAATAAAAATACTCATGTACTGTTTTTATGTGCCAGGCACTATTCTAACTACTTTACAAAAATGTTATCTTATTCTGTTTAACTCCTTATGCACATGATCTCTCTTTTCAGGAATGGCAAAACAGAGGTAAATAGATCGTTTACACGTAAACCTGATGTCTGGTTGGGGAGGTGAAACAAACAGAAACAAGACACAACTGTATCACCTGTACTTATATTTCTGCTTTACAAACTCAGGATGTTTCCATGAGTACAGAACATGACTAATCAGAGAAGACCTCATAGAGGAATAGAAAAGCCACCAAGCCCCACTAGGAATTGACCCCTCAAGGACATGGTTTCTAGCCTTTTTGTTCACTGCAGATTGCCCAATGCCTAAAGATAATGGCAACAGAAGAGCACCCAAATATTTGTTAGATAAATGTTGCAGACACTAGAAGGTGTCATTAGGGCACAGATGGTACCTTCTCTGAGCAAACTTCCTTCACAGCTCCTCCTCCCGAGGCTGTAGGTGACTCTACTCTTGTCACCTGGCACACAGAGTTCTATCGTACGATTTAGGAAATTAGACCAGTGTGTGGACCACACACACACACATCTTTACACACCCAAAGAGGAGGAATAGTATCTTTGTTTTGGAGGACTTGACTATGAAAGGTCTTAACTCCTTTTTGTACCATGAATCTCTCTGGCACTCCAGTGAAGTCTAAAGGACCCCTTTGCAGAATGTTTTTAAATATACACATAAAATAGAACACATAGGATTGCAAAAACAATCATTGTACTAAAATACAGTTATCAACCGATAATCACATTTGTGATATAGTAACATAAATGTTTCTTTTTTTTTTTTTTTGAGGCAGAGTTTTGCTCTTGTCACCCAGGCTGGAGTGCAATGGCGCGATCTAGGCTCACTGAAACCTCTGCCTCCCGGGTTCAAGCGATTCTCAGCCTCCTGAGTAGCTGGGATTACAGGTGCCCGCCACCACACCCAGCTAATTTTTGTATTTTTAGTAGAGACTAGGTTTCACCAGGTTGGCCAGGCTGGCCTCGAACTCCTGACCTCAGGTGATCCACCTGCCTTGGCCTCCCAAAGTGCTGGGATTACGGGCATGAGCCACCGTGCCCGGCCATAAATATTTCTTTAGCCAAAGTAATACATTAAGTAATGTAGCAGCAAGTCTAATAACCTGTAATTTCTTTCTTTCTTTCTTTCTTTCTTTTTTTTTGAGATGAAGTTTTTTTGAGATGGAGTGCAATGGCACAATCTCGGCTCACTGCAACCTCCACCTCCTGGGTTCAAGCGATTCTCCTGCCTCAGCCTCCCAAGTTGCTGGAACTACAGGCGCATGCCACCATGCCCAGCTAATTTTTGTATTTTTAGTAGAGACGGGGTTTCACCATGTTGGCCAGGCTGGTCTTGAACCCCTGACCTCAGGTGATCTGCCTGCCTTGGCCTTCCAAAGTGCTGGGATTACAGGCATGAGCCACCAGGCCCAGCCCAATAACCTTTAATTTCAACATACTAATAAACATAAACAGTATTTCAAGATTTCTGCAATAACTCTAATGGGAATGAAAACATCTGTGGCTTCCATTGGTAATTAAGTCACAGGTACTGCTCATATTGTGGTTAGTTGTAAAATGTTTTGGTTTGTTTTGTTTTTTCCAAGACTTGGGGGAATGGGTGTTGGTGGGATCAACAAGAGTCTTGCTCTGTGGCCCAGGCTGGAGTGCAGGGGCAGGATCTTGGCTCACTGCAACCTCCGCCTCCCAGGTTCAAGCGATTCTCCTGCCTCAGCCTCCTGAGTAGCTGGCATTACAGGCATGTGCCACCACGCCCACCTAATTTTTACATTTTTAGTAGAGATGGGGTTTCACCATGTTGGCCTGGCTGGTCTTGAACTCTTGGCCTCATGATCCACCCGTCTCGGACTCCCAGAGTGTTGGGATTACAGGCATGAGCCACCACACCTGGCAGTTGTTACATTTTTAATGAAAGAAAATGTTAAATCCAGTTATTGAAAATAAGGAGGCAGTACTTTTCTCATCCAAGTTCATGGACTTTCTGAATTTTGTCCCCAGAGTCCTTTGGTGTTCTAGGACCCCAGGTTAAGGAACCAAAAAAGACAGGTGGGTGGGGCATGAGGGGGAACACATGTTAACCCTGTTTGTTCTGGTGAACAATTCAGATCCCCACTTTCTGAGGGTGCCCTGCTGGAAGATAACCCTGTTTGTAATTGTGCCGGTTCTTGGACCCTTGGTTGCCTTGATCATCTGCTACAACTGGCTACATCGAAGACTAGCAGGTGCAGTGGCTGGGCAGCAGGCAAGACCACCAAATAGTGGGGGACCAAGTCAGCTCTGAATGGGAAGCCAAAAGAGAATAGAACCAGGACTCAAGATTAGGGGAGCTGGGATTTCCTTATTCCTCTGTCCCCATGCCCAACCCCAGGCTCTTCTGAGAAACTGTGAAGAGAACCACTTACTGGATCTGTGGGATCCCCCAGTGGAAAGGGCAGTGTGGGTCACTCCAAATGTCCATAGGGAGGATGTGGGGAAGGTGCTATTCATCTTCCACTAATCACATATTTGTTTCTTTTTGTTTTCAGGGCAATTCCTTGAAGAGCTACGTAAGTTCTCTTCTCTCTGTTATAAGCAGAGAATAAAAAGCCAGGAAAGGGAGACAGAAGCAACAAGAGGAAGAGGCGGGCTATTGAGGGATCACATTCCCAGAGGAAAGGAGGAGCTGGAGAGCCTGGGTGGAGGGAAGACTCCTCCTGGGAGGTAGAGGGCAAAGAAGCCAGCTGTTAGAGACACATTTACAGGTGGCAGAGAAGCTGGAGGCACTCCTATCTGCCACCTGATCCATTCCTCCTTCACTGCCCCTAAGCAGGAATCCAACCCTAGCTGGTCTCATTGCCCATTCCACAGCAACTGCCCAGTGCCTCACCTCTCAGATCAACCATTGAGGCAGGAATGGAGACAAGATGACCCCAAGGGCTTTTCTTCTCCCTAGTTCAATGGTTTTATGATACAAACTACTGACATACGTTTTTCAAGTTATTTTCTCCTTCTTCTAGGAAATCCCTTCTGAGTGATGTCACATCTTGGCAGGGGTGGAGGAGAGCCTGGTTGCCCAGGGATTTGTCCTTGGGGACATCTCATCCATCAAGTTGCACACTCACTGGCATCTTTGCTATGGGGACATTCCAATTTGCACTTTCAGGAACACTCTGAATTCCAAGTAGAATTGATTTCCCTTCTTCTGTCATCTACCTTTTCTCTTCATTTTCCCATTTTTATTACCCTTCTTTCCATTTCTCTCTCCAGTCTTCCACCTGGAAGCCCTCTCTGGCTAAGGACAGGCAGGTGCCCCTCTCTCCATCAGAGGACACCTGTACTGGAGAGCAACACAGGATGGTCTCTGCCATGAACTGGAGGCCAGGAATCTCCTCACTGAAAATTACAGTATGGTAACTTTGCAAATGGTGGTTGTTTCTTCCAAGACTCCAGCCCTGATTGCGCAAAACTGAAAGGCATGTGAAGGGAAGGAAGAGGAAGAGTGCAAAACATTGAAGAGAGAGCTGAGTGAGCTGAAGAGTGAGGATATGAGTAGCCCCAACCCAAACCTGGAGATGGGGAGAAACCTACAGAATACTAGCCAGAGCTCCTCCTTGTCTTGGCAGCCTACTAGGGACCTGGGGAAGCAAAAACGAAAGCTGGGCAACATGCCTGCTTTAGAATGTTTTCCTTCTACTTACACATCTTCCACAGGTCTCAGAATCTTTCCTTCCTCTCATCCTTTTCTCCTATCTTCATATCTATCAGAGTATCCACTGTTTATTCAACAACTACTACTTGATGGTCAGACACAAACAAACAAGCTAGGTGCTAATTAATAAAGATACGAGTTTTGGCCGGGTGCGGTGGCTCACGCCTGTAATCCCAGCACTTTGGGAGGCCGAGGCGGGCGAATCACGAGGTCAGGAGTTCAAGACCAGCCTGGCCAACATGGTGAAACCCCATCTCTACTAAAAATACAAACAATTAACTGAGCATAGTGGTGGGCACCTATAATACCAGCTACTCCGGAGGCTGAGGCAGGAGAATCGCTTGAACCCAGGAGGCAGAGGTTGCAGTGAGCTGAGATCGTGCCACTGCACTCTAGCCGGAGTGACAGAGTAAGACTCTGTCTCAAAAATAAATAAATAAATAAATAAATAAATAAATAAATAAATAAATAAAAAATAATAATACAAGTTTTCATAAGCACACTTCTAACCCCTTGTCTTTTATGTATTTCCTTCCTTATCCACGCACCTGTCTCCCTCTACTCCAGCCTCATTACCCCAGAGGTCAGTCCTCAGGAAAACTAAACACAAAGAAAGAGCTCAGTCAGAAAGGCCATTTATTTATGTTTCAAGATGCTCACTGCCTCCTTTGTTTTGTCTCCTTTGCAGGCCTTCTCTCTTAGGCCTCTTCTCCTGGGGGTATGGATCCTGGGGGGAGATTGATCACCTCCATGCTTCCATTCCTCCCCAGCCATAGTGGGGACATCATGAGAGAAGCCAAGCCACTGGCCCAGGATCACCCGGCATTTATGGTGGCTGCTCTGGCACAGGTCCTTGCCTTTATAGCCCCTCCAGTGATCCATAAGGCCCTCTTTCTCCCCAAAGGAGAGGTCACAGATAGGGCAAAGGTAGCTCTTCTGCTTCCAGTGGGTCTGCTGGTGTCTGACCAGCCTGGAAAATGAGCTGAAAGACTTGCTGCAATGGAAGCAGTAGTTGGGCGGCTCTGTGAGGTGGGCCTTCTGGTGTCTGGAGAGATAGGATTTCTTGCTAAAAGTCAAAGAACAATGGGGGCAACAGAAGACATTGAGTCTTGAGGGCTTCACTGGATGAGAGTTGGATCTGGCATCCTGACAGAGGGTTCCAGTGATGGGTGCCTGGGTCCTGGTCACAGGTGCTTGGTTCTTAAGTACAGATGCCTGGTTCTGGGCCATAGGACCCTCAGTTCTAAATATGGGTTCCTGGGACCTGGCCACTGGTGCATGGTTCACATCCAAAAGCCCCTGGATGGACCTCTGGCTTCTGGCGATGGGTGTCTGGAATTCAGCCTGGGTGCCTGGAATCCTCAAAGTACACTCCTGGTTTCCATCCACTGGCTCCTGGTTTTGGTGTATCTTCTGGTGGCGTTTGAGCTCAGACTGGTCCCGGAAGCTCTTCCCACACACAGAGCATGAATGGGGCCGGTAACCCAGATGGACGCGGCGGTGACGACTTAGTCCAGAAGCATCACAGTAGGTCTTGTCACAGAGCGTGCAACAGAAGGGCCTCTCCCCAAGATGCATGCGTCTGTGATAGCTGAGGGACTTGGGGCTCCGAAACAACTTCCCACACTGACTGCAGCTGTTAGTCAGCTTGGGATTGTGAACAAACTGGTGGCTATAGAGGTAGGAGCGCCTGCTGAAACATTTGCCACAGGTGTAGCAAAAAAAGGGTGGCCCAGCCTGGGATGCTTGAAGCACCCGGGTCCTGTCCATAGTCCCAGCTGGGGCAGATAGGGGGCACTGGCCGGCCCCTCTGCATGCAAGGAAGACCTTGTCATCACTAGTCCCCTCATCTCTCAGACTGGGATGTTGTTCTCGAAGCTCTTTCTTCTTGCCTTCTACAGTGAATGAGGAAGAATAACACAAAATTCACTGTAAGAACTCCAACAGAGGCTTGGCATGGTGGCTCACACCTGTAATCCCAGCACTTTGGGAGGCCGAGGCCAGCGGATCACCTGAGGTTAGGAGTTCGAAACCAGCCTGACCAACATGGTGAAACCCTGTCTCTACTACAAATACAAAAATTAGCTGGGCGTCATGGCATCTGCCTGTAATCTCAGCTACTAGGGAGACTGAGGCAGGACAATCACTCGAACCCGGGAGGCGGAGGTTGCAGTGAGCCAAGATGGTGCCACTGCACTCCTGCCTGGGCAACTAGAGTGAAACTCTGTCTCAAAAAAAAAAAAAGAAAGAAAGAAAAAGAAGAAGAAGAAGGAGAAGGAGAAGAAGGAGAAGGAGAAGAGAAGGAGAAGAAGAAGAAGAAGGAAGAAGAAGAAGAAGAAAAGAAAAGAAGAAGAAGAAGAAGACGAAGACGAAGAAGAAGAAGAAGAGGAAGAAGAAGAACTCCAACACAGCACTCCATTCAGCCTAACACACTTCTTGTCTCTGCCCTTGCTCTCCCACCCAA
This sequence comes from Homo sapiens, assembly GCF_000001405.40. NCBI lineage: Eukaryota > Metazoa > Chordata > Mammalia > Primates > Hominidae > Homo > Homo sapiens. The sequence goes on from NC_000006.12 coordinate 29,674,328, forward strand.
CACATTCATCCTTACCCTTGGGCCTCATAGGCTAGAAATAAGAAGAAAAAAAGAAAAAATTGGCTTTTCAAATTAGAAGCAAATAAAAAGTTAACTGGAATCTTTCAACACTGTCAGAAATGTAAATTTTAACTTACAACAACACTTCTTGAAATCTATCTTATCTCATTCTCAATATTGCTCAAACTCCCATAGACAATCCACAGACACCCACATAATAATGCATCATGAACACTGGGCCACTTGAGGGTGAAAAGAGGTGTTATTAATAATCAAGCTGGGATGAGAAGTATAAACCAGGACTGTCCTGGAAAACCAAAAAGTGTATCAGCCTGGCTTGATATCTCTCTCAACTATTTACTACCAGGGACAAGCCTCCCTTACTCCAACCCAGCATGAAACCTATCTCCTTTGCTTCTCTTTTCTCTTGGAAAGAACATTTTAATCAGAGCACTATCATGGACATAAGCAACTTTCATGTCATCTCTCAATCTCTAGAAACTGAAGACATCTACTTCTCCTGAAAGACTTAGATCTTCAGCCAGCCAGGCACGGTGGCTCATGCCTGTAATCCCAGCACTTTGGGAGGCCGAGGTGGATGGATAACCTGAGGTCAAGACATCAAGACCATCCTGGCCAACATGGTGAAACCCTGTCTCTACTAAAAATACAAAAATTATCTGGACACGGTGGCACATGCCTGTAGTCCCAGCTACTCGAGAGGCTGAGGCAGGAGAATCGCTTGAACCCGGGAAGTGGAGGTTGCAGTAAGCCAAGATTGTGCCACTGCACTCCAGCCTGGCAACAGAGCGAGACTGTGTCTCAAAAAAAAAAAAAAAAAAAAAAAGAGAGAGAGAGAGAGACTTGGATCTTCAACTTGAAGTCAAGGGACTTGAGCCTATGATATTAAGCTCTCTTTCAACTCCAAGTCTGACCAGGCTGGACAGAGGTACACTAGGAGAGCATCTATAGAGCATTCATCCTCTTCATCAGCTCTCCATCCTTTCAGGGGTTATCCTGGGCCCTTTTCCCCTTCCTCCCTGCTTGGCAATTCTTACCTGAAAGGCCTTCTGTGTTTGGGAGATGGACAAACTCTCTCCACTGTTCCTCTTCTTGCTCAAGCTTGGTGATTAGCTCTGGCTTATGCAGAAAGATTCTGGCTGATGTGTGGGAATGAGAAAGAGTTGAGTTGGTCCCAGGTATGGCCCCTTCACATCTGATGGGGACAACAGGCTACCTCCTGTAGCCTTTGTTTAAGAACCATAACCTGGGACATGTAGATGCGGAAAGGAGACATTAAAAGGCCAGCTGCTAGCAAAGTACCTGGTTCTCAGGAGTGACTTAGTAAATATTTGTTTGATGAATGGAAAAATTTGCATATTTTGAGAACACTGTCATCATGTTACAAGTGTTATCTTTGCCTTCATGCAGGCTATCATTTCTTCTCTTTACCACTGAGCTTAGTGACTCAGATCTTTCACACCTGGAAAGCATAGAACCAGGGGTCAGTGAAACTAATTGTAAGCTGATCTACCTGTCCAGGGAAACCAGATGTTCCAGGGCCCTTAGGACAGGGGGCTTGCTGAGGGAAGCCCAGCCTCTTACCCACAGATGTTAGATTCTTAAAGGTTTCCGACATAACATCCTGGTAAAGGACCCTCTGGCTGGCATCTAGACAGTCCCACTCTTCCTGGGTGAAATTCACTGCCACATCCTCAAAGGTGACTGGCTTCTGGAAGAACAGGAGAGACTCAAGAAGTTTATATAAATATATATGTGTGTGTGTGTGTGTGTGTGTACAAGATTAACATCCAGTCTCAAGATTCAGAGAATTAAAACCTAAGAGAAAGATAAAACCATGGAAGGAAGAGAGAAATATTAAAAGACAGACACAAGGCCAGCAACTGTGAAGTATAGAAAGGAAAGGAGGCCGGACGCGGTGGCTCACGCCTGTAATCCCAGCACTTTGGGAGGCTGAGGCAGGCAGATCACGAGGTCGGGAGTTCGAGACCAGCCTGACCAATATGGTGAAACCTGGTCTCTGCTAAAAACACAAAAATTAGCTGGGCATGGTGGCGCATGCCTGTAATCCCAGCTACTCAGGAGGCTGAGGCAGGAGAATTGCTTGAGCCCGGGAGGCAGAGGTAGCAGTGAGCCAAGATCGCGCCACCGCACTCCAGCCTGGGTGACAGAGCGAGACTCCGTCTCAAAAAAAAAAAAAAGAAAAAAAAAAAAAGGAAAGGAAAGATGAAGAGAAAGGGAGAAAGATAAGATGTGGGGGAGAGGAAAGAGGATATGCAGATATGCAGAATATAAACAGGAAAGCAAAGCGAAGGAAAAAATGCTGCCACTCTAACAAATTTCAGGAAGTACTCCATGAAGGATGCCAGGATGGTGCGGGAGATGGAGAAAGGTCTTGCAGCTCCTTTTTCTGGATGTCGTTCAGTCTGGAACAATCTGAGATTTCATTTGACCTGCAGGCAGGAGTATGTATGAAAGAGCTCCTGGAGTCCAGGACCTGGACCCCACCTCTCTCTAGCTTAGTCTCCTCACCTTCTTCACCCGTGCCTCCCTCCAGCAATCTCTCTTCATGGCTTCCTGCAGGGTGGCAGCTACCTCGCCCACCCATGGGAGCGTCTTCTGTACAGGTTCGATTGGCTTCAGCTGTTCAAACATCTTCTCTTCTGTGGTGTCTCTTTCTAGCTTTATCCACTCCTGGCCTGGTGCCCAGGCCTGACTGGATTCCTTCCTGGGGCTATCTACCTCCCAGTAACTGGGCAGATGGAGAGGCCCAGCAAAGGCCCCAGGGTTTGATGTGGCTTCCTGTGACAAATGTATCTGCTCCAAGAGGCTGTCTTCCTTTTTTGTTCTGCTGTCCAAATTCTCCTCTTCCACAATTGAGAACAATTTTGCTTCCCTCAAAGCTGGGCCACCGAGTTCAGGGCCCTGGTCACCCTTGGCTCACCAGCTGCCATTGTTTAGTAACAACACCAGCCTGGGCTAGGTGTCTGCCGTCTGTTCTACCCTGCTTCTAGAAACCTGAGGTCAGAGAAAAACAAAACATATCAGCAAGAGGGAGGGTAAGAAACAGCTTCCTTATTTGGTCAGGGAATGCCAGCAGTTACTAAACCCCTACAGTGTGCCACTGGATGCTCTCAGCAATGAGGTAACAATTACTGGCCCTGTCTTAAGGACCTAATGCAGAGATGCTAAATAATTTTCCAAGGACAAGTGGACATTCTTGATCTACAAAAGTTAATGTTTAAACCTAATGTTAATGTTAGACTCAGTACCATTGGAAATCATGTAGCTGGGGTAACCAGGCTAGGATCTGTCACAGATCACCTCGAGTGAGTCTCTTTATTCTTTCTGACTTGGTTTCATCAGAAATGTGAGAATAAAGGAGACACTCTCTAAGATCTCTTCCATGACCAAAATTATACACACACACACACACACACACACACACAATTCTGTGATCTGGATTTTCAATACATGTAGTAGTTCCCCTTTATCATGGTTTTGCTTTCCAATGCTTCAGTTACCCATGGTCAACCATGGTTCAAAAATATTAAATGAAAAATTCCGGAGGACAGGCACAGTGGCTCACACCTGTAATCCCAGCATTTTGGGAGGCTGAGGTAGGCAGATCATCTGAGGTCAGGAGTTCGAGATCAGCCTGGTCAACATGGTGAAACCCTGTCTCTACTAAAAATACAAAAAGAAAATAGCTGGGCATAGTGGCACACATCTGTAATCCCAGCAACTCAGGAGGCTGAGGCAGGAGAATCACTTGAACCCTGGAGGTGGACGTTGCCATGAGCCAAGACTGCGCCACTGCACTCCAGCCTGGGACATAGAGCGAGACTCCGTCTCAAAAAAAAATCCAGAGATAAACAATTCCTAAGTTTTAAATTGCTTGACATTCTGAGTAGTGTGATGAAATCTTGTACCTTTTCTCTCTGGCCTGCCCAGGATGTGAATCATCCCTTTGACTAGCATATCCACACTGCAGACAATACCTGCCCATTAGTTCCTTAGTAGCTAGCCATCTCAGTTACCAGGTTGACTACTGTAGTATAGCAGTTGCCTGTGCTCAAGAATGCCTTATTTTACTTAATAATGACCCAAAAGCACAAGAGTAGAGACGCTGGAAATTCAGATATGCAAAGAGAAGCCATAAAATAAAAAGGTAAAAATTCTTGTCTTAAGGAAAGAAAAAATAATCATATGCTGAGGTTGCTAAGATTTACAATATAAATTATTTTGAGAGAGATACCACATTCATACAACTTTTATTACAATATATTGCTGTAATTGTTCTATCTTATTACTAGTTATTGTTGTCAATCTCTTACCATGCCTAATTTGTAAATTAAACTTTATCATTATTATGTATGTATAGAAAAAGAAAACCATAGTGTATACAGGGTTTGGTACTATTCATGGTTTCAAAGTATCCACTGGGGTGGGGCGCGGTGGATCACTTCAGGGCAGGAATTTGAGACCAGCCTGGCCAACATGGTGAAACCCCGTCTCTACTGAAAATACAAAAATTAGCTGGGCGTGGTGGCACGCTGTAGTCCCAGCTGCTCAGGATGCTGAGGCAGAATTACTTGAACCCGTGAGGTGAAGGTTGCAGTGAGCCAAGACTGTGCCACTGTACTCCAGCCTGGGTGACAGAGCGAGATTCTGCCTCAAACAACAACAAAAACAAAGTATCCACTAGAGCTCTTGGAACATATCACCTGTGGATAAGGGGAACCACTGTATATACAGATCTTTGTGAAGAATACTGCTAACAACCCAAGAGCAATCACTTATTCAGGGCTCACAATGAGCCCAGCACTGGAGTTCCCTGCTCATCCTTGGAAATTTCCTGCTCAGATGCAAACATAGCTGAACTCTCACCTTTTCCTGCTGACAGCCACTCACCCACATCTCCCTTACTAGAGATAGAAAGAAAAGAATAAAGACCAAAAAACCCTGTTGACTATTTTTTCCTTTCACTTTTTGAGAAGTGTTAATAGAACTGAAAATACCAGCAAGGAAAAACGCCCTCGAGGAATAGAGTTAATTGGATCTCCAAAATGTTGTCATGAAAGGTGCATTCCTGGGATATGAATTTGATTTCCTTCCTTTCTTCCTCTCTCTTTCTTTCCTCTCTCTCCCTTTCCTTTCCTGTCTTTCAAAACCATTCGCACTCCTTTTATGAGGCATGCAGATCTTGGATTATTCTTCCACTTTCCAGCCAACTGCACTTCAAAACAGCCTTAATAAGGCTGGGCACGGTGGCTCAGCCTGTAATCCCAACACTTGGGGAGGCCGAGGCGGGCGGATCACCTGAGGTCAGGAGTTTGAGACCAGCCTGACCAACATGGACCTCGTCTCTACTAAAAATACAAAATTATCCCGGCGTGGTGGCGCATGCCTGTAATCGTAGCTACTAGGGAGGCTGAGGCAGGAGAATCGCTTGAACCCGGGAGGCAGAGGTTGCGGTGAGCGGAGATCGCGCCATTGCACTCCAGCCAGGGAAATGAGAGTGAAACTCCGTCTCAAAAACAAACAAACAAACAAACAAACAAAAAAAAACGCCTTAGTAACAGTGCCCTCAAGAACCTGGCCTTCCAGTTCTCTGGCAGAGAAGACCTACTGCTGCCGCTAGTCCTCAAGATGGCATTTGCTGGAGGCGGTAGGCAGAGGCCCTAAGTGTGGATTCTAACCCCCGTGGGGACTGAATCTCTGCGGCTGTTGCTTGCCCAGGCACGTTTGCCTCCCATGAACTTCCTTCATCCACAGGGCCCCAAACCTCATGCCGGCGGGAGGAGGAAGGAGACTGGGCATAACTCATCAGACTTTCGACTGTAAGAGCTGGAGGCCGCCTGCGGGCTTATCTGTACCCGGGCCTGTCCCCACCCTTCCAGAATGTAAATCCTCTGAGGGAATGTGTCGTCGCCATCTTTCAGTCCTTTGAGTGCACCCAGTCTCTCTCCAACCCAAAACCCTTTATCCACAGCAATTCTGAGAATGATGAGAATCCCCCTCACCCCTCACACCGCAAACAGTTGCAATGCTTAGTGGGATTCACCCTTGTCGTCACCAACCCTGCTACTCCAGCCACGTGAGTTTTCCGCCTGTCAGCCAAGCAAAATGGCCTTCCTGCAGTCGCACGGCCCTTTGGTCTCTGCTCAGGGCTTCGGGGACCCTTTCCAGCCATTGCCCTGCACCTACCCACCAGATCGCCGCCCTGGTGGGCGCTCCTGGCCCTGTCCTCCGCGCTTAGTTTGTCATTGGGCGCCCAGATCCGGAACCCCAGCCTCGAAGCTTCCGGTGGCCGGGAACAAAGCCGGTTTTGCTCACTGTCGCCTGGCAAAGCAGGCGCTTGTTAGCACCCACTGAATGCGCTTATGTGCTCAGAAACGGTCCCATTGGTTGGGACTACCTTCCCCGATGCCCATCCGCCCAGAATCTTCCTTCTGGGATGCCGACTTTTTCAACACGTGCCAGGAGCCCTTCCTCGGCCCGGAATCCCCAGAGTGCCCACAGTGGACAGGGCACCTGGATACACCCCAGACTAACCCACGTTTCCCCGGAGGACCCCAGAGGTTGGAAGCCCCTCCAAGATTAGGGGCGCAGTGCTCCCCTGGCCTGCGGAAGAGTCAGAGGAGTGGGGACAACATCCAACATCAGCCTCTACTACCGCTAGCGCGACTCCCCGCCGCCGCTCTACTCACCTGACGCGCGCAGTGGACCGCGATTTAGGGGCACAGGGTCTCCCGGGGACCAGCGGCTGGAGCGCTCCGGCCGAGCACCCGCAGTCCCGGCGCCGCGGCCCCACCCCGGCCCCGCCCTCTTCCGCTCCCTCCCAGTCATCAGGCCACCGAGAATGTGCCCCTTGACCCAGATGAGAGGGTGAGCCCGCCAAGGTCAAGCTTCCCATCCTAAGAATCACAGACAGCCCGGCCATGCACCACCACTTCGAGCCTCCGACCAACTGATAGCTGCTGGTCCCAAGTAGCGCTAGGATTTTCGCTTTCCCAGTCTTAATTGACTCTAAAAGAAGAAGAAAAAAAAGCCTGGGCGCGATTGCTCACACCTGTAATTCCGGCACTTTGGGAGGTCGAGGCTGGTGAATTACCTGAAGTCAGGAGTTCAAGACCACCCTGGCCAACATGGCGAAACCTCGTCTCTACTAAAAGTACAAAAATTAGCCAGGCGTGGTGGCGGGCGCCTGTAACCCCAGCTACTCAGGAGGCTGAGGCAGGAGAATCGCTTGAATCCGGGAGGTGGAGGTTGCAGTGAGCCCAGATCACGCCACTGCACTCCAGCCTGGGCAAAAAGAGTGAAACTCCATCTCAAAAAAAAAAAAAAAAAAAAAAAAGAGGAAAGTATTTACGAAAAAAAAAAAAAAAGACCAAAGTATTATGATTAAAACACGCGGCTGAGAGCGGTGGCTCACACCTGTAATCCCAGCACTTTGGGAGGCTGAGGGGGCGGATCACCTGAGGTCAGAAGTTCGACCTCAGCGTGGCCAATATGGCGAAACCTTGTCCCTATTAAAAATACAAAAGTTAGCCGGTGGTGGTGACGCACACCTGTAATCCCAGCTACTTGGGAGACATTGCCGTTACTGGGCAAGTGTTCTTTCAAGAGCATCTTATCTGAATTACTATAGTACTAAAGAATGTCTAGGCTGGGCCCCCGTGGCTCACTCCTGGAATGCTAACACTTTGGGAAGCTGAGGAGGGAGGATTGCTGGAGGCCAGGAGTTCAAGACCAACCTGGGCAACATAGCAAGACCCTTTCTCTAGAAAAAATGAAAACAACTTGGCCAGGTGTTGTGGTACATGCCTTTAGTCCTAGGTGCTTAGGAGGTTGAGGTGGGAGGATTGCTTGAGCTCAGGAGTTTGAGGTTACAGTGAGCTATGATTGCACCACTGCATTCCAGCCTTGGCAATGGAGTGAGGCCCTATTTCTAAACAGAACAAAAAAAAAGAATGCCTGCTGATAAACCTTGTGACAGGACATTCATGAAGGATGAAGAAAAGATTTCTTTTATTTTTTTATTTTTATTTTTTTGAGACAGAGTCTCGCTCTGTTGCCCCGGCTGGAGTGCAGTGGCGCCATCTCAGCTCACTGCAACCTCCAACTCCTGAGTAGCTGGGATTACAGGTGCGTGCCACCATACCCGGTTAATTTTTTTTTTTTTTTTTTTTTTTTTAGTACACACAGGGTTTCACCATGTTGGTCAGGCTGGTCTCAAACTCCTGACCTCATGATCTGCCTGCCTCAGCCTCCCAAAGTGCTGGGATTACAGGCGTGAGCCACCGCGCCCGGCTAGAAAAGATTTCTTTCTTTTTTCTTTTTTTTTTTTAATTATACTGTAAGTTTTAGGGTACATATGCACAACATGCCGGTTAGTTACATATGTATACATGTGCCATGTTGGTGTGCTGCACCCATAACTCATCATTTAACATTAGATATATCTCCTAATGCTATCCCTCCCCACTCCCTAGAAAAGATTTCTTGTGGAGTTTTTAAAAAGTCCTTTGAAACAATTCTTTTCTTTTCCTTTTTTTTTTTTTTCGATACAGAGTTTTGCTCTTGTTGCCCAGGCTAGAGTGCAATGGCATGATCTCGGCTCACCGCAACCTCCGCCTCCCGGGTTCAAGCGATTCTCCTGCCTCAGCCTCCCTAGTAGCTGGGATTACAGGCATGCACCACCATGCTTGGCTAATTTTGTATTTTTAGTAGAGATGGGGTTTCTCCATGTTGGTCAGGCTGTTCTCGAACTCCCAACCTCAGGTGATCCACCCACCTCGGCCTCCCAAAGTGCTGGGATTACAGGCATGAGCTACCACGCCCAACTTAACAATTCTTACTTCAAACATGTAAGCATGACGTTCCTCTCCTTCATGCCTTCCTGGCCTTTTTTTTTTTTTTTTTTTTTTTTGAGACAGAGTCTCGCTTCTTCACCTAGGCTAGCGTGCAATGGTGTGATCTTGGCTCACTGCAACCTCCACCTCCCAGGTTCAAGCAATTCTCGTGCCTCAGCCTCCCCAGTAGCTGGGATTACAACCACATGCCAGCACGTCCGACTAATTTTTGTACTTTTAGTAGAGATGGGGGTTTCACTATGTAGGCCAGGCTGGTCTCGAACTCCTGACCTCAGGTGATCCGCTCGCCTCGGCCTCCCAAAGTGCTGGGATTACAAGCGTAAGCCACCGTGCCTGGCCTGGCCCTATTTTATCTGGGTCTGACAAAAGTTATTTCATCCTAGTATCTGCAATTTTTCCGCAGAAAATTACAGAGACGCACAGTGAATGTGAAAGGAGGGAAATTAACAATAGCTATTGGCAGAGCCAAACAAATCATTACACTTTAGCTGGATCATCTGGGAGTTGAGACCTTGAGGGTATAAGGAGGTAGCATGTCAATGCTTGTTAAGAAAGAATGGCAACAACTGTGCTGCCTTACAGATCAGCACCTTCTGCAGTCTGCGAGCCCAACCTTAGATCCATTTGTAGGCAACAGTAAAAGGTCTCATATTTTCATCGCAGTGAGCCCTGACTGCCATCAGGAAGATTTGGTCCTCTAGGTAAGATTTCCCTGAGACAAAGTACTATGGGAAATCAAGTGCATATTCAGCCTCTTAGTACTCTGGGTTGGTGTTACCGTACTGACGAAGGCGATCCATTGATGAAAAACAAACTGACCTAAAGAAATGTAAATAAATGCTTGCAGTCAGCCCTGTTCCTCTGAAAAATTCCCCTAGCCCTTATGTTGAAACCTGATGAGAACTTTAAAAATGTTAACTTGGTAATGGATGGAATCCTCCTCATTCAAGGTTACCCCTGTGCAAGTCAAGCTCAAGTCAGCCTGAAGGTGCAAACCCCATGGACTCAGCCAGAGCCTATGGCTGTGGGTGCTAGATCCAAGGCCAAAACTGATGGCATCAGCCATCAGGATGTTTCTGCCCAATATAAAGTATTGGGTGGGCTGAGAACACTGAAAGCTTGCCATGCAGAAAGAAACTGAAAGTAAATGCGTGACTTTAATGGAACAGAACTTGTTTCTCCCTCCATGCTCCCAATCCCTTTAGATCCCTTTATCTCACCTCAGCCACTTTAAGACAAAAGGTGATTAGAGGTGTAGAGAAGTTCTAATGGGATACATTCATTTGCAGTAGTCCCCCAAGGTACTGTGATAGGCAGAATTCTAAAGATGCTTTCCCCCTCAAGATTGCTTCCCCTGGTTATTCAGTCAAATACTAATCAAAGTACAGATGCTCTTCAATTTAAAATGGGGTTATGTTTCAATAAAACCATTGTAACTGAAAAATATTTTCAAGTGGAAAATGTATTTAATGCACCTAACCTACTGAATATATTAGCTCAGCCTAGCCTACCTTAAATGTGCTCAGAACACATTTGCCTACAGTTGGGCAAAATCACTTAACACAAATCCCCTTGTATGATAAAGTGTTGACTATCTCATGTAACTGGTTGCATACAGTACAGTATAGAGTACAGTATCAGTTGTTACCATCATAATTGTGTGGCTGATGGGAGCTGCAGCTCACTACTGCTGTCCAGCACCGTCACAGAGTATCATACTCTCTAACCCAGGAAAATATCAAAATTCAAAGTACAGTTTATACTGAATGTGTGTTGCTTTCACATCATCATAAAGTTGAAAAACTGTAAGTTGAGCCATCGTAAATCAGGGACCATCTGCACCACTATGTAGGGATTATGCTGTTGTAATTGAAGTCCCAAGACAATTGACCATAAAACAGGTTATCTGGTTGGGCCTGATCTAACCACATGAACTCCTTAAGGGGCAGAAAAAACAAAGATCAAAGAGAAGTTGGGAAGATTCAAAGCAAAAGAAGTATTCAGTGTACCATGGCTGTGTTTCAAGATGGAGGTGGCCATGAGCAAAAGAATGCAGGTAACTTCCAGAAGCTGAGAGCAACCCTTGGTTGACAGCTAGCAAGGAAACAGGAACCTAATTCCTATAATCACTTCTTCTCCCCTTGTCTTCTTCCCTTTCTTCGTGTGTAAGCGCATTATACTATCTCTGTAAGCACAAAAATTGCCTAAAATTTAAGTGTAGTTTTCTGATCGCTTGTAAAACTGACACAGCTATAATTATCATCCATGTTAAAAACACCATCCCAGTTAGAAACCTGTGAGCCTCTCCCCAAGCAGAACCCATTTATCCTACACAGGTGTCATCAGAGCTGATTCCTTTCTATGCCCCTTTATCTCTAATGTCCCTATTCTGCTCCTGTTTTCACTTCACCAGCAGCTTCTCCAACTCCCTAGGCCAATGCCCTGAGAATTTCCCTTCCTCTCCCCCATCCTAGGGATGGAGAGTAGGGGTTGGTCCCCAGGATAAGCCACATTTATCCCTGGAAGCAGCAGCAGAAGTGACAGTATGTTTGTGGGGTCCACTTGTAACCTGGGAACCACTTGTTTTGGCCTGGAAACCTCGCTCTGTCCCGAGGTCAGAATCCACGGTCACTAGGTGGAGAGGAAACATCTATGTCAGCGTGGATTTGGGAAACACTTCAGATTCCGAGCCTAACACGGGACTGGGGCGCCCCCTTGGGTACGTTGTCCTGTCCAGTTGCTGAAAGCCAAAGGTGACAATGGGGAGGTCTCAACCTGAGGAGGAGGCCAAAAGAGTCCGGTCTTCTGTTCTCAGCCCGCTGACCACACACAAGTGCCGATGTTCTGCTCTCTTGGATTCTGATTGAGCAGCCTGGGAGAGGACTGGGCTGCAGTCTAAACTGGACAGATATGGCTGGTGTGGAGGCTGGCTGTCAATGAGGGAGTGAAGGTAAGCCGCCCGAAAAGTAGATAATTTTTACTTCCACTTTCTTTTTCTTTCCTGAGCACTAGTTATAAAAATATCCTTTTAAAATCTAAAATATTGGCCAGGCACGGTGGCTCACACTTGTAATCCCAGCACTTTGGGAGGCCGAGGCAGATGGATTACCTGAGGTGGGGGGTTTGAGACCAGCCTGACCAATATGGAGAAATCCTCTCTCTACTAAAAATACAAAATTAGCCGGGCATGGTGGTGCATTCCTGTAATCCCAGCTACTCAGGAGGCTGAGGCAGGAGAATCTCTTGAGCCTGGGAGGTGGAGGTTGCGGTGAGCCAAGATCGCGCCATTGCACTCCAGCCTGGGCAACAAGAGCAAAACTCCGTCTCAAAAATCAAATCAAATCAAATCAAATCAAATCTACAATATTTTTGGATTTACAGAAAAGTTGCAAAGATAGTACATAGTTCTCCTATGTTCCACATTCAGTTTCCTCTATTATTAATGTCTTATTTTATTATACATTTGTGACAGGTTATGAAACAATATTGATACATTGTTACTAACTCCTATTTTATTTGGATTTTATTCTTTTCCCTAACATCACTTTTATGTTCCAGGATCCCATCCAGGATACATTACATTTAGTCCCCTTTATATCTCCTTAGCCTCCTCTGGTCTGTGACAATTTCTCAGACCTCGTTTTTGATAATTTGGTATTTCTTGAGGAGTACTAGTGAGGCATATTGTAAAATGTCCCTTAATTTGAGTGTGGTTGACAGGGCTATAGGTTTGGGGGAAGAAGAGCACAGAGATGAAATGCAATACTCTCAATACAACATACCAAGAGTGTATATTACCCAGTTGATGTATCAAATGATTATGTTAACCTCCATCACTTGGCTAGGGCAGTGTTTCCCAGTCTATAATATATAATTTTTAATAGCATCCCAAAAAGACTAAAACACTTGCCCTTGCATGAAGAACCCTGTCTGACTTCTGGGAGCCCAAGGAGACGCAGGGGAGGTCCACAGCGAGAAGAAAAGGGGGCTCAGGTCGTCTGTCCTCAGGTCTATGGCCACTTGGGGGTGGCACCTCTCTGGTGTCTCAGACACAAATTGAGCAATCAGAAAAGGCTGGGATGTCTGTGGTCTGAGTTGGGCAGAGGTGGCTGACCCTGGAACCTGACATCAATAGGGGGATGAAGACAATTTCTGAGCAGCCCCAGTAGTCAGAGGACAAGAGAACTCTGGAGCCCCGCACTGTCTCTGAGGTTCCAATCTTTTCTCCCTCTTCCCAGCCCCTTGATAGGAAACCCTGGGAAAACTAAAAAGTATACTGTTTTTTCTTTAACTCCCTATTCCTTTCCTCTTCTGAGGGTTGTTGTTGTTGTTTTTTTTTAATAAACTTATTAATTTTAGAATACTTTTAGATTACACAAAAGTTGAAAAGATAATACATAGTTCTCACATATGTCACACTCAGCTCCCCATTGTTAACATATTTTTTTTTTTTTTGAGGGAGTCTCACTCTGTCGCCCAGGCTGAAGTGCAGTGGCACGATTTCGGCTCACTGCAACCTCTGCCTCCGGGTTTCAAGCCATTCTCCTGCCTCAGCCTCCTGAGTAGCTAGGATTACAGGTGCGCGCCACCATGCCCAGCTAGTTTTTGTAGTTTTAGTAAAGACAGGGTTCCACCACATTGGCCAGGCTGGTCTCGAACTCCTGACCTCAGGTGATCTACCCGCTCAGCTTCCCAAAGTGCTGGCATTACAGGTGTGTGCCACTGCCCCCAGCCCCATTGTTAACATCTTATATCACTATTATACATTTTTCACAACCAGTGAGACAATATTAATATAGTATCACTAAACTTTATTTCGATTTCATTAGCTCTTTCTGTTTTGAAACAAAGTCTTGCTCTGTCACCCAGGCCGGAGTGCAATGGCATGATGTCCACTCACTGCAACCTCCACCTCCCGAGTTCAAATGATTTTCATGCCTCAGCCTCCTGAATAGCTGTGACTACAGACACATGCCACCGTGCCTGGCTGATTTCTGTATTTTTAGTAGAGACAGGATTTCACCATGTTGGTCAGGCTGGTCTCTTACTCCTGACCTAAAGTGATCCACCCGCCTTGGCCTCCCAAAGTGCTAGGATTACAGGTGTGAGCCACCATGCCCAGCCAGGTTTCATTAGTTCTTTTAACTTCCTTTTTCTGTCACAGGATTTCATCGAGGATATCACATTGTATTTAGTCCTAATCATGTCTCCTTAAGGCTCCTCCAGGTTGACTTTGTTTTCAATGACTGTCTTAGTATGTTGAGTATTACTATAACAGAATAACTTGAAACTGGGTAGTTTATAAAGAGAAGATGTTTATTTAGCTCATGATTTTGCAGGCTGGGAAGTTCAACAGGATAGTGCTGGATCTGGCAAACTTCTGGTGAAGGCCAAATGTTAGGTCAAAACATTTTGGAGAAGGGGAAAAGTGAGTGGCATGTGCAAAAACATCACATGGGGAGACAGGGAAGCAAGAGAGAGTCTAGGAAACCAAACTTGCTTTTATAACAACCTGCTTTTTGGTAACTAACCTAGCCCCAACAGAGTAATAAATTACTCGCTCATGTGGGAGGACATTAATCTATTCATGAAGGATCTGCTCCTGATGACCCAAACGCCTCCCACTAAGCCCCACCTCCAACACCACCACCACATTGAGAACTTTTTTTTTTTTGCCTGAGGTTGGGAGTTTGAGACCAGCCTCACCAACATGGATAAACCCTGTCTCTACTAAAAATAGAAAATTAGCCAGGTGTGATGGCACATGCCTGTAATCCCAGTTATTCAGGAGGCTGAGGCAGGAGAATTGCTTGAACCCGGGAGGTGGAAGTTGCAGTGAGCCAAGATCATGCCATTGCACTCCAGCCTGGGCAACAAGAGTGAAACTCTGTCTCAAAGAAAAAAAAAAAAGAGTAAACAAAATTTAATTTTCCTAATGGAAAAAATTATGGTGCATTCTATAACAATAGAGGACTCACAGAAAACTTTGCAGGTAGATATATCAATAGAGCAATGAAAACAAAGGTATGTAAGTAGTAAATAGAAACTTCAGAGTAAATAGGTAAGAATTCCACAAAACTCAATGTACTGAAGGTTCATTTTACTCTCTAAAGGAGGAAGAACAGTCGTCTTGATGGGTGTGTTTAAGGGGCAATGATTGTGATGGAGTCTCAAATATTTCCTGACAGATTTTCTGATGTGTAACAATTTTCCTGAAAATGCAAATGATTCAGATCTTTTCTTTATCTTTCATTGTTTATTAATATCATATAAACACCAGCCTGACAAAAATGGTGAAACCCCATCTCTACTAAAAATACAAAAATTGGCCGGGCGTGGTGGCACGTGCCTGTAATCCCAGCTACTCAGGAGGCTGAGGCAGGAGAATCCCGTGAACCAGGGAGGCAGAAGTTTGCAGTGAGCCGAGATCGCGCCATTACACTCCAGCCTGGGCGACAGAGTGAGACTCTGTCCGCCCCGCGCCCCCCTCCCCCCACAAAAAATAAACAGCAGAACACCTTAACTATGAAGAGAATACAATATCATTCATTTGCTCTCTTTTTTTCTAGTATCATTTATCACACACACACACCCTCACACCTTTTGCTCAATAGGTAAACATCTCTTTCACTTCTGTATCACTTTCTTTCTTTCTTTCTTTCTTTCTTTTTTGAGACGGAGTCTCGCCCTTTAAGTGCAGTTGCGCTGTCTCTGCTCACTGCAAGCTCCGCCTCCCGGGTTCACGCCATTCTCCTGCCTCAGCCTCCCGAGTAGCTGGGACTACAGGCGCCCGCCACCGTGCCGGGCTAATTCTTTGTATTTTTAGTAGAGACTGAGTTTCACCTGTTAGCCAGGATGGTCTCGATCTCCTGACCTCGTGATCCGCCCTCCTCGGCTTCCCAAAGTGCTAGGATTACAGGCGTGAGCCACCGCGCCCGGCCTCTGTACCATTTTCTCCACTTTGAGGCAGAGTCTCTCTCTGTCGCCCAGGCTGGAGTGCAGTGGCGGGATCTCGGCTCACTGCAAGCTCCACCTCCCGGGTTCACGCCATTCGTCTGCCTCAGCCTCCAGAGTAGCTGGGACTACAGGTGCCCGCCACCACGCCCGGCTAATTTTTTTGTATTTTTAGTAGAGACGAGGTTTCACCTCGTTAGCCAGGATGGTCTCGATCTCCTGACCTAGTGATCCGCCCACCTCGGCCTCCCAAAGTGCTGGGATGATAGGCGTGAGCCACCGCGCCCGGCCTTTTTAAGACAGAGTTTCGCTCTTGTTGCCCAGGCTGGAGTGCAATGGCCCGATCTTGGCCCACCACAACCTCTGCCTCCTGGGTTCAAGTCAAGCGATTCTCCTGCCTCAGCCTTCCGAGTAGCTGGGATTACAGGCATGCACCACCACGCCTGCCTAATTTGTATTTTCAGTAGAGAGGGGGTTTCTCCATGTTGGTCAGGCTGGTCTCAAACTCCCAACCTCAGGTGATCCGCCGGCCTTGGCCTCCCAATTTCCTGGGATTACAGGCGTGAGCCACCGCACCCAGCCTGGTTTAATACTTTTTATTTAGTGGCACAATGCCCAGGAATGAATTAAAGTCATTAAATGAGGACTAGGTTGCTATGCACTTGGCTGTTTCTGGACTTCCTGTGCTGTTCCATTGGTTGGTCTATTCATTCACCAGTGCCACACTGTTCTAGTGACAGGGAATTTGTAAAATATTTAACTATTAGGCATAACTAGACACCCAATTCTCAATTTGTTTTTTTCCCCCAAGGGATTTTCTAATTATTCTTATTTATTTTCTCATGTGAACTTTATAATCTACTTGTCTAGCTTGAGAAAAAAAGTAGTTGTTGGCATTTTGATTAGGAGGTATTACATTTGAAAATTTACTCTGCAAATGTGCTGTATAGTCTTCCTATTTGAGAATGTTCTTCTGTACTACACAGCCATAAAAAGGAATGAATTAACAGCATTTTCAGTGACCTGGATGAGATTGGAGACTGTTATTCTAAGTGAAATAACTCAGGAATGGGAAACCAAACATTGTATGTTCTCACTGATATGTAGAAGCTGAGTTATGAAGACACAAAGGCATATGAATGATGCAATGGACTTTGGGGACTTGAGAGGAAGAATAGGAGGGGGCAAGGGACAGAAGACTACAAGGTGCAGTGTATACTGCTCGGGTGATAAGTGCATCGAAATCTCACAAATCACCACTAAAGAACTTACTCGTGTAACCGAATACCACCTGTACCCCAAGAACTTACGGAAAAGAAAAAAAAAAGTTCTTCATTTTTTTTTTTTTTTTTTTTTTGAAATGGACTCTCATTCTGTCACCCAGGCTGGAGTGCAGTGGTGTGACCTCGGCTCACCACAACCTCCACTTCCCAGGTTCAAGCCATTCTCCTGCCTCAGCCTCCCAGGTAGTTGGGATTATAGGCTCACACCACCACACCCGGCTAATTTTTGTATTTTTAGTAGAAGCAGGGTTTCACCACTTGGCCAGGCTGGTCTCAAACTCCTGATCTCAGGTGATCCTCCAACCTCAGCCTGCCAAAGTGCTGAGATTACAGGCGTGAGACACCGCACCCGGCCCGATTTGTTCATATCTAATTTTTAAATTTCAGATGTGTTTTAATGTTTTCATTTAAAGTTTGCACACTTCTTAGTAATTTTTTCATTAAAAACCTTTTTGTTTCTATTATATATGAGGTTATCGCCTCACAAAAATTTTAACTTTTTATTGTTTATATGAACAAAGGCAATTGTTTAATGTTTGGGAATTTATATGCTACTATATGCTATTTCTTTTCTTTTCTTTTCCTTTACTTTTTTGTTTTTTTTGAGAGGGAATTTCACTCTTGTCGCCCAGGCTGGAGTGCAATGGCGCGATCTGGGCTCACTGCAACCTCTGCCTCCTGGGTTCAAGCGATTCTCCTGCCTCAGCCTCCCAAGTAGCTGGGATTTATAGGCACGCACCACCATACCCGGCTAATTTTGTATTTTTAATAGAGGCAGGTTTTCACCACGTTGGCCAGGCTGGTCTTGAATTCCTGATCTCAGGTGATCTGCCTGTCTCAGCCTCCCAAAGCGCTGGGATTAGTCGTGAGCCACCTCGCCCGGCCTAGTCCCTTCTTTCAAATTTCATCACCACTCTTTGCTTGTTTTTCTTTTTTTCTTTTCTTTTCTTTTTTTTTTTTTGAGACAGAATCTCGCTCTGTCAGCCAGGCTGGAGTGCAGTGGCACGATCTCGGCTCACTGCAAGCTCCGCCTCCCAGGTTGAAGCGATTCTCCTGCCTCAGCCTCCTGAGCAGCTGGGACTACAGGTGCGTGCCACCATGCCCAGCTAATTTTTGTATTTTTAATAGAGGTGGAGTTTCTCCATACTGGCCAGGCTGGTCTCTAACTCCTGATCTCGTGATCCGCCCACCTCAGCCTCCCAAAGAGCTAGGATTACAGGTGTGAGTCACCGCGCCCGGCCGCAATTTTTTTTTTTTTTTTTTTTTTTTTTTTTTTTTTTTTTTTTTTTGAGAAGGAGTCTGGCTCTTGTTGCCCAGGCTAGAGTGCAATGGCGCCATATTGTAGCAGGACGAGCCGCAGACAAAACTCCTCAGACACCGAGTTAAAGAAGGAATGGGTTTATTCGGCCGGGGGCATCGGCAAGACTCCTGTGTCAGGAGCCGAGCTCCCCCAGTGAGCAATTTCTGTCCCTTTTAAGGGATCACAACTCTAAGGGGGTGCGCTTGAGAGGGCCGTGATCGATTGAGCAAGCAGGGGTTATGTGACTAGGGGCTGCATGTCCCAGTAATTAGATCGGAACAAACAGGATAGGGATTTTCACAGTGCTTTTTTTTTTTTTTTTTTTTTTTTGAGACGGAGTCTCGCTCCGTTGTCCAGGCTGGCGTGCAGTGGCGCGATCTCGGCTCACTGCAAGCTCCACCTCCCGGGTTCTCGCCATTCTCCTTCCTGCCTCAGCTTCGGGAGTAGCTGGGACTACAGGCGCCTGCAACCACGCCCGGCTAATTTTTTGTATTTTTAGTAGAGACGGGGTTTCACTGTGTTACCCAGGACAGTATCGATCTCCTGACCTCGTGATCCACCCACCTTAGCCTCCCAAAGTACTGGGATTACAGGCGTGACCCACCGTGCCCGGCCTGAAAAATCCACTGTTAGACTGATGGAATTTCCTATATAGGTTTTTAGGACACTTTTTCTCTTCTCTTGCTCATTTTAAGATTTTTTTTCCTTTACATTGAGTTTAGATTGTCTGATGACTATTTGTCTTGGTGAAGTCCATCTTGCAATGTATTTTCCAGGAGTTCTCTAAGTATCTTCTATCTGGATTTTAAATCTGTAGCCAGGGTTAGGGAAGTTTTCCTCAATTATTTCCTCAAGTAGATTTTCCACACTTTTTACCCTTCATTCTCCCTTAGGAATACCTATGATTCATGGGTACAGATGTTTTACATAACCCCATACTTCCTGAAGGCTTTGTTCATATTTTAATTCTCTTTTCTTTCTTTTTGTCTGACTGGGTTAATTTGAAAGACCTGTCTTCAAGCTCTGAAATTCTTTCTTCTGCTTGGTCTAGTCTATTGTTAAAGCTTTCAGCTGCATTTGGAACTACTTTGATGAATTTTTTATTTCCAGGTGGTTTAATTTTTTTTTTTTTTTTCTTTTGAGAAGGAGTCTCGCTCTGTCGCCCAGGCTGGAGTGCAGTGGCGCAATCTCGGCTCACTGCAAGCTCTGCCTCCCGGGTTCAGACCATTCTCCTGCCTCAGCCTCCTGAGTAGCTGGGACTACAGGCGCCTGCAACCAGGCCCGGCTAATTTTTTGTATTTTGAGTAGAGACGAGGTTTCACTGTGTTAGCCAGGATGGTCTAGATCTCCTGACCTCGTGATCTGCCCGCCTCAGCCTCCCAAAATGCTGGGATTACAGGCATGAGCCACCGCGCCCAGCCCAGGTGGTTTACTTTTTTAAAAATATTTATCTCTTGGTAAATTTTTTATTCATATGCTGAATTGATTTTTTACATTTCTTTGTGTTGTTTTCAACTTTCTCTTGGATTTCATTGAGCTTCTTTATAATCATTATTTTGAATTATTTATTTGGTATTTCAAAGATTTTATTTTTGTTAGGATCTATTGCTAGAAAGTTAGTGTAATGTTTTGGGGATGTCATAACACTCTTTTTTCAGAGTATGTTTTCAAAACATTCTACTGTTTTCAACAGAGAAACAAAGGACTTACTTAAAAAATAGAAAACATAGAGAGTTCCAGAATCATTTCTTTGGTTCCTTCTCATCTGTAGAAACTTTCTCTTCTTATTTTTGAATTTATTTCATTTGGGCAGGATTTTTTTTTCCCTTTACTATGTGACTATAATGTATGTTGTTTAAGGTCCTTTGCATTTGGTTGTGAATGCTTTCAGTGGCAAAGACGCTGTAGTTGTCCCCTGGTTATAGATAGCCTTTGTATGGTGGCTTTCTCAAATGCCAGTTGTGGTGGTGATGTACTGGGAGTGTGAACAGGCTCACAGCCTCCTGCAGGGCCAGGATGGCAGAGGTTTAAGAAGTTTATCTCATTTCCTCTTTTGGAAGAGATGAGAAGTTTATTTCCACTCATGTGCCCTTTTGTCAACTGATTTGTATTGAGGTGCGTGGTTCAGCCTCCAGAACAGTAGGTGGGCTTATGCCTAAAAGCCTATGTGGCAGAAGCACGTGAGTATATGCTTCATCATTGTATACCTAGAAAAGTTCTCTGTTGCCTCAGGAAATGTGCTGGTAAGTGGAATGTACAGCAGCCTGGGCTCCCTGCTCAGCACCAGAGAGGGGGACATAGCTGAGTAGAGCTGGATCCCCAAGCCTGCCCCACAATGGTGAGCACAGGCAGCAGCTTTCAGGCAGGAGTGATGGCATGGGAAACTTCTGGTGAAACGTGCCTAGGTCTCCACAGATGAGGAGAGGGCTGCCCCAGCTTCATGACCTGGCCAGGCAGGAATGCCATCCATTTCCCTGTCATTCCCTAGTCCTGGCATCGGGGAAACTCAAATTGACCAGACACTACTCTCTATCTCCAACTGCAATGTAGTTGAGACTCATTAAAGATGTCTTCTCCTCAGCTCACCATTTAAATGTCTTTGGTGCAGAGCATCCTCCCTCAACCCCAAACACATAGCTTTTCTTTTTCTTTTTTTTTTTGAGATGGAGTTTTGCTCTTGTTGCCCAGGCTGGAGTGCAATGGCGTGATCTCAGCTCACCGCAACCTCCACCTCCCAGGTTCAAGCAATTCTCCTGCCTCAGCCTCTCGAGTACCTGGGATTACAGGCATGCGCCACCACGCCTGGCTAATTGTTTTTGTAGTTTTAGTAGAGACAGGGTTTCTCCATGTTGGTCAGGCTGGTCTCGAACTCCTGACCTCAGATGATCCGCCCACCTCGGCCTCCCAAAGTGCTGGGATTACAGGCGTGAGCCACCGCGCCTGGCCTGCACATAGCTTTTCAGCTTTCCTGCTCTCCACTGCAGGAATGCTAGCACTCCCTGTAGAGAGGGGAAAGGGCCCTGTCTTTCACACAAGCCTGGCCCAAATGGCCACACTGCCAGTGGAAACACAGTCACCCCTGATAGCCCTAGAAAGGCTCTTCTCTGGCACACGTGCCAATTTCCCATGGGAGTGGCCATGCTGTGTTTGAAGCAGTGGTGGATGGGGGAAGGGCAGGAGAATTTCCCCTTTCCATGCCTGATTCTAAGCACTGGGGCTGCTTGGCTGCTGGGATGGAACTACACTCCTTCAGCGCAGAGCTGAACACAGTGTCCACGACTCTGCTGGAAGTGGTGCAGTCACTCAGCCCACAAACAAGGAGCTCTTGGACACAGATGAGTACATGGTCTGGCCTCCTTTGTCCCAACTGGTACTTTTTTTGTGTACTGCAGTCTCCCTTTCCTTAGGAGCAGCAATCCCTGATGGCTAGACCACTGGGAACCCTGCAGCTCCACTGGGTCCAGCCAGCCCTGTGTGGCTGCCACAATCCAAGTGGGCACTGGGGGCATGGCTGCAGGAGCTTCTGTGATGTGAATATACAAAGGTTGGGGTTCCCTGGGAAGGACACAGTCCCCTGATGGCTACACTCCTAATATGGCACCCTGCCAACACTGCCCGAGTCTGGAGGAGGGACAAGTGACCCAGCGCAAGTTGGTTGTCTGGTGTGATGCCCTCCAGAAGTTCCCAAATCGCCATGCACATCAGTGTTTGGCTTTGTGAGGGCAGAGGAGCTCTCCGACAGTTCAGATACTGGTGGTCTTCCTTAGGGACGACGGGAGTCAAAACACTCCTATCTTACCTTTCAATGAAATACCAAGTCTCTCAAGGTTCCTAGCTGATTTCTGCCAGCTTCTTACTTTCTTCTTTTTTTCTGTCTCAGCTTTTCCCCATGAGTTCTGAAACATTCTGATGTGATTCTGACAGCTATTTCCACACTCAGGCTGGGCCCTGGAGGAGTGCCCTCTGCTGGTTCTCTGAGACCTGTGGCTGGGATCATCTCTGATAAGGTTTGGGTGTTTGTCCCCTCCAAATCTCATGTTGAAAGATCCCCAGTGTTGGAGCTGGGGCCTAGTGGGAGGCGTTTGGGTCATGGGACCGGTTCTCTCTTGAGTGGCTTAGTACCCTGCCCATGGTAATGAGTGAGCTTTCACTCTATTCGTTCACACGAGAGCTGATTATTTAAAAGAGCCTAGCAGCTCTCTTGCTCTTTCTCTCTCCATGTGACACACCTGCTCTTCCTTTGCCTTCTGCCACAAGTAAAAGCTTCCTGAGACTTCACCAGAATCCTAGTGGAGCTGGCCCCATGATTGTACAGCCTGCAGAACTGTGAGCCAAATAAATCTCTTTTCTTTATAAATTACTTAAACCCAGGTATTCCTTTACAACAACGCAAATGGACTAATACAGTCTCCCTCTGCTGCCTCCAAGGTCACTCCTTGATCTTCACTGCTTTAGGCAGCCTTTTACCCTACTTTGTAGTTGGAGCTTCAGGGGCTTAACATCTTAAAAGTTTTATTTTATTTTTTAATTTATGCTTTTTAAAAAAATTTTTTTGAGATGGAGTTTTGCTCTTGTTGCCCAGGCTGGAGTGCAATGGTGTGATCTCGGCTCACCGCAACCTCTGCCTCCTGGGTTCAAGCGATTCTCCTGCCTCAGCCTCCCAAGTAGGTGGGATTACAGGCGCGCAACACCATGCTCGGCTAATTTTTGTTGTTTTAGTAGAAACAGTGTTTCACCATGTTGGTCAGGCTGGTCTCGAACTCCCGACCTCATGATCCGCCCGCCTTGGCCTCCCAAAATGCTGGGATTACAGGCATGAACCACCGCACCCAGCCAAATGATTTTTAAAAAATAATTACTATGTATAAAATAACAAATAGGTAATTTGGGTAATTTCATTTTGAACTCTTTGGCTAAATATTTTATGTACATATTGTCTCAGCAATCAGGAATTAAAATTTATAAACACTATTAACAAGCAATACTCTCTGATTTGAAGGAGAATCTAATTTGGAAGTCAGTCACATGATGATTGTGTTTTTAAGTTTTTTTTTCCATGCATTTGTTATTTTATGAATTGGTCTGAATGATGAGGCCAGGCAAGTGTATACATCTTTTCACTGGTAGAAAAATCTGTAGCAAAGCCTGTGCCCTTTTTACAACAATGACTTTTTTTTTTTTTTTTTTTTGAGATGAAGTCTCACTCTTGTGGCCCAGGCTGGAGTGCAATGGTGCTATCTGGGCTCACTGCAACCTCCATCTCCTGCCTCAACCTCCCGAGTAGCTGGGATTACAGGCGTCCATCAACAGTCCCGGCTAATTTTTGTATTTTTGGTAGAGGCGGGGTTTCACCATGTTGGCCAGGCTGGTCTTGAACCCCTGACCTCAGGTGATCCACCCGCCTCGGCCTCCCAAAGTGCTGGGATTACAGGCATGAGCAACCACACCCAGCCTGGATTTTGAAAAATGTATAGAATCATATATCCACTACCCTAGTACCATCTACAACAGTTCCTTCATCCTAAAAATTTCCCTTTGAATGTTCTTTATCCCTTCTCCCTCCAACCTTTGATAACCATTAACCTGTTTTCTGTCCCCATAGATCTGCTTTTTCCAGAATGGTATATGAATTGAGTCAGATAAAATGAAGCCTTTTGTGTCTGACATTTTTTTCACCTGGTAAAACGCATTTAAGATTAATTGATGTATGGATTAATAGCTTATTTACATATATATATATATATATTTTTTTTTTTTTTTTTTGAGACAGAGTTTTGCCCTTGTTGCCCAGGCTGGAGTGCAATGGCGCGATATTAGCTCGCTGCAACCTCTGCCTCCCAGGTTCAAATGATTCTTCTGCTTCAGCTTCCTGAGTAGCTGGGATTACAGGCATGCGCCACCACTCCCGGCTAATTTTGTATTTTTAGTAGAGACGGGGTTTCTTCATGTTGGCCAGGCTTGTCTCGAACTCCTGACCTCAGGTGATCCACATGCCTCGGCCTCCCAGAGTGCTGGGATTACAGGTGTGAGCCACTGCGCCTGGCCAATTTGTTTTTTTTTTTAAATAAACATAGACAGCATCTCGGTATGTTGCCCAGACTGGTCTTGAACCCTGGCCACAATCGATCCTTCCACCTTGGCCTCCCAAAATGAGCCACTGCACCAGGGCAACAGCTTTTTTTTTTTTTTTAGACAGATCCTTGCTCTGTTGCCCAGACTAGAGTGCAATGATGCAGTCTTGGCTCACTCCAACCTCTGCCTCCCAGGTTCAAGTGATTCTCCTGCCTCAGCCTCCCGAGGAGCTGGGACTACAGTTGCTCGCCACCACGCCTAGCTAATTTTTTCTTTTTGTATTTTTACTAGAGACGGAGTTTTGCCATGTTGCCCAGGCTGGTCTCAAACTCCTGACCTCAGGTGATCCACCTGCCTCAGCCTCCCAAAGTGCTGGGATTACAGGTGTAAGCCACCTCATCTGGCCTGACAATAGCTCATTTCTTATGATCCATATGGTTATACCACAGTTTGCTTAGTCTTGCATGGCTGAAAGATATCTTGGTTGTTTACAGTTTTTAGTGAACATATGTAAAGCTGCTATAAATATTCATGTACAGGTTTTTGTGTGGATATCAACCTTGAATTAACTTGGGTAAATACCTAAGAGCATGATTGATGGTAAGTCTCTCCTTAACTTTATAAGAAACTTCTAAACTGTCTTTCAAAGTGGCTTTACCGTTTTCCATTCCCATTAGCAGTGAGTGGGAATTCTTGTTGCTCTGTATATTTTCAGCATTTTTTATTGTAAGTTTAAAAAATTTTAGCTACTCTAATAGTGTAGCAGTACTTTGTTTTGGTGTTCTGTTTTGTTTTGTTTTTTGAGACAGAGTCTCACTCTGTTGCCCAGGCTGGAGTAAAGTGGTGCGATCACAGCTCACTTCAGCCTCCACCTCCCAGGTTCAAGCAATCCTCCCGTCTCACTCTCCCAAGTGGCTGGAATCACTGGCGCATGCCACCACACCTGGTTAATGTTTGTTTGTTTGTTTGTTTGTTTGTTGAGACATTGTCTCGCCATGTTACCCAGGCTGGTCTTGAGCTCCTGGGCTCAAGTGATCCTTCTGCCTTAGCCTACCAAAGTGTTGGCATTGAAGGCATGAGCCACTGCACCCTGTTGGCATTTCCCTAATGACAGATGATCTTAAGCATATTTTCAAGTATTATTTACCACCCATATATCTTCTTTGGTGGTGTCTGTTGAGATCTTTCACCCACTTCTAAAATCAAGATTTTTTTCCCCAATTATTGTGTTTTAATTTTGTTCACATATTATCTTTACAAGTCCTTTGTCACATCTATAACTTCCAGTTTTTTGACAAGTATTTTCTTCCAGTCTGTGCCTTGTCTTCTTTTCATTCACTTACCAGTGTTTTTGTAAAGCAAAAACTATTAATTATGATAAAGTCTAATTGATTTGTTTTCTCTTTCATGGATTGTATTTTTGGTGTTTTATCTAAAAACTCAAACTCAAGGTTAAGATTTTCTCCTTTATATTCTTCCAGAAGTTTTATGGCTGTGCATATTATTTTTAAGTCTATGATACATTTTGAGTTACTTTTTTATAGGTGTGAAGTATTGTCAAGTTTTTTTTTTTTTTTTTTTTTTTTTTTTTTGTGATTGAGTCTTACCCTGTGGCCCAGGCTGGAGTGCAATGGCGTGATCTCTGCTCACTGCAACCTCTGCCTCCCAGGTTCAAGTGATTCTTCTACCTCAGCCTCCCGAGTAGCTGGGATTACAGGCATGAGCCACCACACCAGCTAATTTTTGTAACTTTAGTAGAGGCAGGGTTTCACCATGTTGGCCAAGCCAGTCTCAAACTCCTGACCTCAAGTGATCCACCTGCCCCAGCCTCCCAAAGTAGATGGATGCCAATTGTTTCAGCATCATTATTGAAAGGAGATTCCCTTCTTCATTGGATGACCTTTGTACTTGTATTCAAAATCAAGTGACTCTATTTTTGTCCTTCCATTTCTGGCCTCTCCATTCTGTTCTGTTGATCTATGTGTCTGTCCTTTTGCCAATACCACACTCTCTTGATCACTGTCCTTTGCAGAAAGACTGGAAATAGTATCTAATAATTTTGAAAGGTATGTTTTCATCATCATTCAGTTGAAAATATTATCTAACTTCCCTTATGTTTTCTTCTTTGATCCGTAGGTTATTTAGAAGGAAGATTTAAAATTTTCAATACTTTTTTGCCCCTAGACAACTTATTATTGATTTCCAATAAAATCTATTTTGGTCAGAGTACATATTCTGTATGATTTCAGTCCTTTGAAATATGTTGTTACTTGTTTTATGTCTCAACATATGACCTGTGTTAGTGAATGT
The DNA here is from genome assembly GCF_000001405.40 of Homo sapiens. Taxonomy (NCBI): domain Eukaryota; kingdom Metazoa; phylum Chordata; class Mammalia; order Primates; family Hominidae; genus Homo; species Homo sapiens. Next base: position 29,701,147 of record NC_000006.12, read on the forward strand.
ACCATATTCACTTTACAAAATATATATTCTGGAGCTGTTGAACACAGTGACTGTAAATGTCAGATCAAGACGGTTGATAGTGTTGTTCATTTGTATTTTTAAAAAACTAAGAAAAAGCTGGGCGCGGTGGCTCACGCCTGTAATCCCAGCACTTTGGGAGGCCAAGACGTGTGGATCACCTCAGGTCGGGAGTTCGAGACCAGCCTAACCAACGTGGAGAAACCACGTCTCTACTAAAAATACAAAATTAGCTGGGCGTGGTGGTGCATGCCTGTAATCCCAGCTACTCGGGAGGCTGAGGCAGGATAATCGCTTGAACCCAGGAGGCAGAGGTTGCAGTGAGCGGAGATTGTGCCATTGCACTCCAGCCTGGGCAACAAGAACGAAACTCCATCTCAAAAAAAAATTAATAAAAAAAAAACTAAGAAAAAATAGAGCATCTTTAACTTCCCACCATATATTTGGCATTTCCAGTGTTGGTCACTCCTATCTGAAGACTCAAGTTACCATCTGGTATGACTTCTTTCAACCTGGGAAACTCCTTCAGTATTTTTCTTGCAGTAGAGTTATGTTTGCAACAAATTATCCTAGTTTTATTTTATCTGGAGACACCTTTTCATTTTTCTTCCCTGAAAATATTTTTACTGGATGTGCAATTCTGAGTTAGGTTGTTTTCTTACAGCACTCAAAAAAATGCCATTTCATTGTCTTCTGACCACCATAGTTTCTGATGACAAATTATGAACACATGGACTGGTCATTCTCATAATTGTTCTCATGTATGTAACGTGTCATTTTTCTCTGATTATTCTCACGATTTTCTGTGACCATAGGCTGCTCAGGGCTGGACTTGGATATGGCCATAAAGTGGTACTGTAGGAAGTGCAGTATCCTGGAATTAATTCCGGACCTTGGAATTAACAGGGCTGGGCCCCTTAGCACCTGCCCTTAGCTCTCCTTTCCCCAGGTCCCTAGAAACCCCCTCCTGATCTACACACACACACACACATGCACACACAACTTCTAACAGGGCCCTTCTCGTTTTTCTCTCCCCCCTGGTTCCTTCCACTCTCCCCCTTCTCTTATGATCCATTTCATCTCCCTTCTGCTCTCTGGACCAAGGCCCCAGGCCCGGACTCCAGGCTTGGAGCTCACAGGCTGATTCCTGGGATGAGCAGCCTCCACCTGCAGGAGCAGCAGCAGGAACAAGGGAGGGGACAGGAGGGCAAGGCCCCATTTTGGAGGCTGAGGGACTAGGTCATGTGGTAGCAATGGTTTGGGGGTGGATGAGCCCCAGATATGATCCCACTGTTTTGGCCTGGAGGTATCTCTTCCCTAAAGCCAAAATCCAGAGTCACTCAGTGGTGGGAGGAAACGTCAGTGTCAACATGGATTTTGGGAAGCTGGATGGACTCAGAGCCTGACTTGAGATCGGGAACCCCCTTGTATGCAGAGCCCTGTCCAGGTGCTGGGAACAGGAGAGCCTGGGAGGTCCTGGCTAGGGAGAAAGGGGAGCGGGGTCTCTGTCCTCGGCCCTGTGGCCACACGGGGGCGCCGCTGCGCTGCTCTCGGATTCTGAGTGCTCTCCGGGACGGGGCTGCGGGCTGAATGGGCAGACGGGGCTGAACCTGAGGTCAACCACGCTGAGACGGAGGTTCCTCCTGAGCACCTCTGGAATCCACAGGACTCAGGTTAGATTTGTTTGTCTTGCAACGTGAGGCAATTGTGGTGTAGCAAGATCTGGCTCTAGAATTCTTATGGCAAAATAGCTGTCATAGAATCCAACTAGAATGAGAGTCCAGGGCCTGGGTTGACTGCCCTGGGCACACCTGACTCTTGATGGGGTTGCCAAAATGTAGCTTGGCATTTACAAAAATTCTTTCCAAAGATTGCATCAAAGTCCAAAAGAATTATGTACAATTTCATTTCTGATGTCTCTGGCTGTGCTTTCGAAAGGGCAGGAAGAGCCATGGAAAGAGGCTGAAAGGCCCCTCTGGGAATTCTCAAATCTCTTTTCATAGCAGTAACTTGGACCTAGACAGCAAAGCCTGAAAGACACAGGTAGAAGGATCGCGAGGCGCAGCCCTCCCTTCTGATCAGCACAGGTATGGCTGTCTGGGCGCTTTTGCCCCTCTGTGTTCAGCAGGATGGACTCTGCAGTGAGGCGCAGCCCCTGTCTCCCCACTGCCCCAGATCAGAAGCATGTTTCCTTATCTTGTTTTCCACACACTCCTTTTCTTTTTCTGTCTTGTGACCACGAATAGAATAGACAGGCAAGGTCCTGTAAGACCAGGTAAAAGATGTTACTGATGCACTTTGGAAGGCTGAGGTGGGCGAATCACAAGGTCAGGAGTTTGAGACCAGCCTGGCCAACATGGTGAAACCCCATCTCTACAAAAAAAATCAAAATAAAAATACAAAATTTAGCCGGGCGTGGTGGCATGTGCCTATAATCCCAGCTACTCAGGAGGCTGAGGCAGGATAATCGCTTGAACCCGGGAGGTGGAGGCTACAGTGAGCAGAGATTGTGACATTGCACTCCAGCCTGGGCGACAGAGTGAGACTCTGTCTCAAAGAAAAAAAAAAAAAGTTAGTGAAATCATGATTGTGAAGGAACAATGGCAAATGGAGAGAAAGAGCAGAGAGACAGACAGAGATAGATACACACGTACACACACACATAGAGAAAATGAATATCCATCCATCCATCCATCCATCTATCCATCCATCCATCCATCCATCTACCCATCCACCCATCCACCCATCCACCTTTCTATCTCCTTGCAAGGTAGGTTCATCAACACTTTTACATTTATGCCCCAGCAAAAATCTTTTTTTGGCTCACACCTGCCCTCCTTCATCCAGCCAACTGACATATTTGCTGAGGTCTTGCCACGTGCCGCACTGGGTGCTGAGCATTGGAGTCTAAACAGGAACAGACCCCTGGGATGCACTCCCGTCCTGGGATGCCCTTCACTGTCCCGTCCCTGGCTGTGAGACATCCTCATCTCCCTGAGGCTCTTGTTTCTGGTCACTGGGAAAAGTCCCTGGCCCACCTCTCTATTGACACCTGGGAGACTCTATCGCTACTTTGAATAAAGCACTGATTTTCAGCATTTATTCTGTATCCACACTTACTAATGCCCTTTCAATTTAGAAGTTGTTACAAACGGGAGGGGTTATAACCTTAGGCACGTTGTTTAAGAGAATTGTAAAAATAAGGAAACATGATGGCAATGGGGTTTTCTGCTTTCTCCCAGAACACTTCATATTCATTTTCTCACCTGTGTTTGGTTGGTTGCAAGGTGGCTTCCACACCCCCAAGTTTATTTCAAGTAGCAGAAACACTTGCTTAGAAAACAAGTACTTTGGGAAATGCAGGGTCTCAGCCTCTGTCCTCAGGACTCCACACATCAGAAAGACATGTGCGTCTCCTCCCACAATCCTGGAGGTGCCCGTGGACTGCAGGTTCGCTCCTCACTGACTTTACTCATGTCCTACTGGAAAAGGATGGATTTCTAGAAATGTCCCAATGGCTTGGAACACTCAATTTCTCTGTGTGCACTGCAAGCAAACTGACAGTTTGACTTTTCAATTCTATTCAATACCTGAAAATAAACTGAATTTTCAGTATATTTCCTTCCAGAGAGTAAACTGAAAAGGGAACCTTTCTAAATTCAGTTATGATTTCCTGAAACATCGAAGAAGGCAAATGTGGGTGCCCTTAAAGACAAGAGAATTCTCTGACCTCAAATTTCATGTAGCAGCTGTAAGGTGGAGCTGGCAGCATCTGTCCCCACCTCTGGGTACACAGCAGAACGTGCCAGCTTTAGGGACCCCGGAGGACACAGCTGCACAGTGTCCGGGGGCATCCAGCAAACCCTCAGGAAGGACTCGGTCCACGCAGGAGCCTCCTTAAGCAACTTCTCCCTGAAAAACCCTGAAGTCTTAGAAATCCATAAAGAAAAAAGATATTCATGTCTCTGATAAAGAAAAGAAATGCCAGCAATCCAGCACTGAGAAGGGAAGCTACGAGACCACATTTTCTGCATGTGGAGAAGACACGTCTAATGGAGAGGTGGGAACTTGTCTCAAAAGTGTTGGGCCGCAGTGAGAGGGTGTGGTCGTCACTGCCACCACCCGCTGCTCACTCAGTGACCCCTCCCCATTGTAACTAACGGGCCAGTGAAGAGAAACACTTTTCGTCTGCTTGTACTGAAATAAGGCTATTACAATAAATCATCTCTGTGGTTGATTTTTCACTTAAGGATGGGATAACTGGGGAAATTGGTGCCTGTAGTGCAGGTTTTAAAGAAGCTCCCAGAAGCCCTTCTGAGGCCATCTCCAGGAGGCTGCCCCAGCGGGTATGAGGCCTTGCGCTTCTGCCATCCTGTGTGTCCCTGTGATGGAATTTTGGCCCAGCTAGGGATGGCAAGAGGCCAGGTCATCGCAGGTGGTCTGCAGGCCTGGTGAGGAAGGACAATGACAGACGGGGAGGCAGAAAGGCACACATATGACCAGACCTCCCCCTGGGTCCTGCTCCCATTCCTCTGTCCATCGCTCTTGCTCTGTCTGCCCTAGGGGAAATTTCCTGAAGGAAACAGGAAAAGGAACCTCTATTCCTCGCTGCATATCTTTTATGTAGGCCTTTCCTGTTATTCAAGCATATCCCCAGCAGATGGCAGAGAAGACATTTCAATTTCGTGCCTCTGCTTTTCCTCCCCCTCCTCCAACCGGAAAGTCAGGACCAAGGGAATGGATGAAGGCATTAAAGGTATAAATGAGAATGGGTGATAATTTCCCTTTCTCTGAGCTGGGGAGTCCCATTGCAAGGGTGGGAATAGAAATGTCCAGTGTAACCATTCAGAGATGACAGATACTGCCCTGAAAACAGTCACAAAATCAAACCATGATGTGCCTCCCTGGGCTCCTTGGCTCTGGGCTGCTGCTTTCTTTTATTGAGAATCTAAGAGGTGCTGAGCATTCAGTTAAAACGGGACTCAAGGGTTCCTGCATTGTCCTCTGCCTTAATTGCATTTGAAAATATATTTTGTCAGTTCAATCCTTCTCCTGCCCGTCTCTGTTTCTCTTTTTAAAGAAGCTGAACATTGGCACCTTCAAAAGAAAATTGCTAACATGTGAAATAATATATTGTCTAGGATTTAGTTGAAAATAACCTGGTGTTGGGCTATGGTTGAGGATGTAGATAAATCAAGAGTGGGTGTTACTGAGTGAAGGGTACAGTGAAGGTCACTTTACTCTTCTGTCTACTTCTGTGTTTGCTTAAAATATTTGTACAAGTTTAAAAAAATAAGAACCAGGGTTACCAGGGGGCATGGCATATGCTGAATAATCATGAGATACCGGTTATAATTTCAAACAAATCTCCAATAAAAATAGATAATAATTTGAAGTCAAACCACAGGGACAAAATGTTTTTAGATGTCTCCAAATTCCTCACTTCCCTCCTCTAAATTCAGGTGGGTCACTTCATACTTTCTCCCAACCGCAGGTTCCCAATAGGCAGGTCCTAGAGCCCAACCTTGGTGGGGCAGGGAGTAGGGATTTAAAAACTGCATGATGATCAACAGCAGGAAAGAGGATTGGGGCTGAGAGGGGAGGAGAGGCAGGCAGGAGACCCCTGGGGAGTTGCTGCCCCAAGGAACTCCTTCTTCACCCTCTGAGAGAAAGTGTCACAGGACCACAGACCCTTGGTCTTCATAGATCCCATAACCTCCCCCGAATTGTATGTAAAATTGTGTGGGAATGCAGGTGAGTGCATTTCAGCTGGGGCTGGCTTTGACAAGGCTGTGGCCTGCAGTAGATATCAAAGTAGTCATCTAGGTCTCGTGTAGATGATGGAAAACTCGATGGGAGGGAGACACGGTGCCTTGACCCAGAGTCAATGCCAATAAACTTGGCTAGGACATAGTACCCAGTCATTTAATCAAAACCTAATCTAGATGTTGCTGTGAAGATATTTAGTACATGTGGTTAACATTTACAATCAGTTGACTTTATGAAAAGGAAATTACCCTCAATAATGTAGATGGACCTCATCCAATCAGTAGAAGGCTTTAAGAGCAGAAACTACAGTTTCCCAGAAAAGAAGAAATTCTGTCTTAAGACTACCATATCAACTTCTGTCTGCATTTTCAGCCTGCTGGCGTATCCTACAGATTTCACACTTGCCACCGTAATAATTGCATGAGTCAGTTTCATAACACGAATAAAACACACACATACACACACACACACACACACACACACACACACACACCCCTTATTGGTTCTGTTTCTCTGTTGAATCCAGAATAATACAGATTTTGGTACTTAGAGTGATTCTAGAGGAAGAGAATCCTTTTAAAACGTTTATAGCCAACAATAAAAAACTTTATTAAAAATGTTGAAAAGCATAAAACGGTAATTATAAATTAGCAAACACCCAACAAGAAAAGCACTTATTTTCTTTTCCTTATACAGTACAAGAAAGAGTAATTGGGATCTCATTCACTTTCAGCCACCATTTGCCCTAGATGTCCTTCACTCAAAACAAGTTTTTAGCTTGTGTTTTTGGAGTGGAAACTCACATGGCTACTAAGAAACAACTCTAAAAATGTAACTTAGACACTCAAAATTCCATGTGCCATGTTAACATGTAATGATGGTTCATATTACAGCATCTCACAATAGGTAAGCATTATTTCCAAAGTAAAATTAAGTCACATTTGTGGTTGCTAGTGAATGCGGCACAAATGGACCCTGAAGATTCAGGCATTGTTCTGCTCTGGAGTAGGACATCTGTGGCTCCAGCAAACTGTACAAAGGCTTTTTTTTTTTTTTAATGTATCTTCCGTGATACTTCAATTATTTCACCTTATTAATCATTTTCTTGCAAACAAAACTGAAAATATCAGTTCATAATGTGTTTCCATACACCTTGCCCTTATTCAAATGGTTATGAACAAGTGGTCTTCCATTTTCTATTGCCGCTGTAATTATTTGTTCCTGATCTGGCAACACCTTCTTCAGCTCCTTTCTCTGGCCACCGAGATTAACAGTCCAACAAGCGGTCTTTTGATTCACTAAGTGGCTTAATAGGACAACGTTGATTTGAGCCAATACTTCTGGCATGTTCATTTCAATTTGTAACTTTTTTCTGAATTCATCCCCACAAGGTGAGCTGGAAAACTGCAACCATAACCAAAGCTAGAAAATACTGGAAGTAGCCAATATTTCTCTTCATCACCAAAGACTGGTCTCTAATTTTTACTATTGTTCTATTTTTTCCAGCCAGCCAACAGTAGTAGCTGAAAAGCGAGAGCACACTGATGAAGAACACTGCGGGCACAAAGAAAAGGAAAAGTATGTGGAGCTTTGCTGTGTATCTCTTAGTTCATTCTACTCACTAGAACGTGGCGTTCTCAGGAATTGACGTCCTCCAGGCCCCCAGATGAGGGTAGTGAGCACCCTGAGAGCCAGCTGGACTCCCCTCTTGGTGTGTTACTGCACAGCCACAGCCTCTGGGTAGGGAGTTGTCCTGCACTTCTGGAATCATCTTTTTGGTCATGGTGGCTACTGCTGTACTGTCCTTCTGAGGTCAGTGAGATAGGGTGTTCACAGCCTCACTTGAAAGGAAACAAGAGACTTGTCAGGTTGATGGAGAGAACAAGCTGTTCGACAGTGCGCAAACCATATCCTGGGCTTGTGGTTAGAACATCCTGCAGCAAAGAGGTAGAAGAGCCAAGGGAGGCATCCCCACATCTGAGGAAGCCCAGAAACCCATGAATAGCGTCCTTGGGCTGACCTATGCTCATTACAATAGTAGCAAACACAACTCTGAGAGGGAAGTTAAGATGCTAATGAGACGTAAGATGTGTGTGCTGATATGTACAACCACAGTGCATGCACGTTCAAGAGACCACAGAACATGCTTAAAACAATACCCCTTCCCACCTATTCATGAATAATCATGTAAGACTCCCGTGAGGGGAGGGTACTGTCTCTCTTTTGAGCAGCTGCTCTGATCAGCTGTCAGAGTGTACTTTCACTTTGCAATAAATTCTCTTGCTGACTTTTACTTTGGACTTGCTCTCAAATTCTTTTGTGTGGCAAAGTCAAGAACCTGAACCGGCCCATTGGCTACATTTCCTTCCTTTTTTCTTTCTTTCTGTATCTTGTTGCTAGGGATAACTTTGCCCCTGCTGGCAGCATGCCCCTGAGGATGGCACCCTGTGGCTGGCGTCTTCCTTGGCTTGGCCTCGGGTCACTAAGCATAGCCCATGGTAGGAGGTTCTGAGAATGAGTGGCACTGCCTTGTGCAACGGTCCCCATGGGAGTGGCCCACAGGTGCTTGCATCTGTGGCATTTTCACAACTGTTTAAAAAGACTCAAGAATGTACTGTGGGAGGAGAGCAGGTCTGGAGACTCACCTGTGTCCCCCACCTGCTCATCTGCATGGCCGTGTGCCTGACATGGTCAGAAATGAGAAATGCTGCTGCCCCTTTGCAAAGCACTACTTAGTTTTTCTCTTCTTGAAGGTGGTGGCACGATGCCCAGGTTGAGATGGACGCAGGAGTCAGCATCCTAAAGTAAAAGGAGAGACTTTAACAGAAATACCTGAGCTTTTCAATGAGAATGAACAGGGCCTTTTACCCTCTGGCAACTGTGTATTTCCCATTGACATGTTTCTTGTCCTCAGAATGGTTTTTCCTTTTTGCAGGTGGTTTATTGAAAAAGGAAAGGACAGAAAAGAAAAAGCAGGAGAAGGTGTATGGGAAGCTGGGACCCTGGCCCTGTGCAGGGGAGATACAAGGTGCTTCTGGGGAGGCTGCCGCCATCTGGGGCACTGGCACATGGGGCACGGCAGGGCTCGCCTTCCTGATGATGCCGCCTATCCCAGTTGCCCACCAGAAGTTGCAGTGCCCAGATTAGTTTTGTATTGATGGAAATTAAAAAAAAATTATATTACATAATTTTATGCTTTTTGAAAATAGCTAATAAACTTTTATGGCTAAGTTGTTAGTAATGGTAATCTCTCTAATCTGCTTAAAGACGGTCAAATCTGCAGGGTTCCCATCTCCACTGGACACCTGTGCTTCCTGTGGGGTCTATTTTCCAGTGGCTTTCCCTGTTGGTTGCCCCTGTGACTGCTGACATCCTGCCTTCTGGTGGAAACCACACTCTTCCTTGCCCAGTGAGGGTTGGAAAATTGGATGACTAAACTCGACGAAGATAGCAAATAACATTTGTTCTGCGTGGGTGCCATCATCACCTGCACTTGAAAGCAAGGCTGAGGTGCAGAAGACACAAAATGTGGCCATGTCCCTTGGCTGGCAAGTGGCCTAGGGGCAATGTGAGCCTGAGTGTATGACACTGTGACACAGGACAGGGTGCGTCACAGTGTTGCCCATTGTGACTGCAGGGCCAAAAGGAACCAGGGCTGAGAGGAACCTGGAGACATGCTGGGGTGGGGCCAAACGAGGGCTTGGAGAGAGCCTCCACCCACCCTCACAGGGCCTGGTGGAGACAGACCGAGGAGGGGCATCTGCCCCTCTCCCCTTGCAGAGTGGAATGATAGCTGATGACATCATTTTAAAAGTCACAGTACTACAGAGATGTTTGGACACTCATCAGAGGCAGACCTGCTGTGGGAAAGTCAAGGCCTTGGTGCGGAAACCTAAGATTCTGCAAACTGGAACAGGGTTATCCTATGGGTGCCCTTTAGAACTCTCTGGGCATGCAGAGGAGGCTCGCCCTTCTCTAGTAATGGTTCCCACTTCCTACACTGGAAGATGCTGCAGAAACCTCACCCCTATGATGCAGTGGGAATTCCACTCAGGAGCTTTGCAGTAACAGCCGTTATGTCCCCGTAGGAGCCTGAGGAGCAGTTCTGGGATTGGAATTTAAGGGTGTTTGATCAAAGGGCCAGAATCAAGCTGGATAAATTAAAAAAAAACACCTTTGGCTTGGGAGCACTTTCTCAGGGTATGGGTTTATCAAGGACCTCAGGGCATGGGGCAAACCCACTGCTGGGGTGGACCCATGTAGACTGGAAAAAATGATGTCCAACTCTCAGTAAGTTAGACATGACTTAGTTGTCCTGGAACATGTAGAGGATGGACAATGAGGCTGAGGGAAGTGGGTGTGTGGGATGGAGACATCATGTGAACCAGAATGCCCACTAGGGCCATGCTCCACAGAGGACCCATAGGGCACAACTTCCACCAGAGCCTCAGGAATGTGCCGGTGAGAGGGACTTGCATGGCTAAGAAGCGTCGGGGTGGTGTCCTCTGCAGGCTGGGTGTGATGGCAGGAAGGAGGTCCTATAGTTGGGCTCATTGATATTCCTGAGGAAAGTGTGGCCTTGAAAAGGCAGAGAACTAAATGGTGACAGTGGCCTGCAAAAGCCAGAGGGCACGGTTAACTTGACAATCTCAGAGGAGCAGCTGAGGCAGCTTGATCTGCAGGGAGTTGTGGGGAAGGTTAATAGACGGTGGTGTCAGAACAGGCAGCAGCCAACAAGGGCACTGCTTGACATCTGTGATGAGAAAGCAAGAATTGATGAGCAGGGGGCTGAGGGTGTTTAACTCAATACAAAGTCATGATCCCATTCTCAATTCCTAAACGTCAACCAAGTTTCAGATTCAGATCCCAGTTACAGAGAAGGAGTCCCTATTCCAGGAGGAAGGACCCTGAAACCTCATGGCAAGTATATGCTGGAACAATTCCCTCTGTCTTTCTGCAAAGGAGCCTACAGTCATTTACTCAGGGGACTGTACACTAGGAAAGGGAAACAGGCAGAATTTGGGGGAGTGTTGACATTGGGTGTGAGCTGATATTGATGCCTACAGGCCTACAGCACCATTATGTCCCTACCACAGTGGGGCTTACAGAAGCTGGGAATAAATCTGGACACATCACAAAGGGACTACTGGGTCCACAGACCCAGCCCTGTTTATCTCCCCATTCTCCAAGTGTGTAATTGGCATTGATGCCCTGGCAGCTGGAGTAACCCCCACATTGGGTCCCAAGTCTCTGGAATAAGGGCTGTCATTGTCTGAAAGCCAAAGGGAAACCTCTGCAACTGACTTCATCCTGGCCAAATAAAAAATGATATTGAGTCCCAGGGTGAGTCTTATGAAAGGTACTGTAGGTATTTTAGGTGTAGCACCACCATTAGAGAGCTGAAGGATGAGGGGTGCTGTTGGAGTTGCCTGTTATCTTCACGTAATCCAGCAATCTGTCCCCAAGGAAGCCTGATGGGGCCTAAAGAATGAATGAGATTACTTCAGACTTGAAAAAGTAGGAGTCATAATTGCAGCTGCCATGCTGGCTGGATATCACTGGTAGAGCAGATTGATAAGGCCTCAGGCACAAAGTGTGCAGCTGTGGATTTGGTGAGTGCATTCCTTTCCATTCCAATGAGAAAAACTATACATGAAGTGATTCATGTGGGATCCACAACACATTTATTGATAATTGGCCTCAGGGTTATTGTAACTGACCTGCCCTCTATAGTATAGTCTTAAGAGATCTGAAGAACCTGGCATCCTATAGAATGGTAAATCAGCTTATTTCATCAACAACATCATGTTGACTAGGATGGATGAGTAGGAGATGGGAAGTATGCTGAAGGCCTTGGCAAAACACGTGCTCTCCAGCAGATGGAAGATAAACCACACAGAGATTCAGGAGTGGCCACTGTGGTGAAGTTTTATTCATCCAGTGGTTGAGGACATCCAGGAGTTTCTCCTCCACAGTAAAAGACAAAGTGTTGCATCTTGCATCCTCACTACAAGGAAGGAAGCACACTGCCTGGTGAGCCTCTTTGAATTCTGACAACACCACATCCCACATCTATTGCTTTGACCTACACTCTAGGAGAAATAGGAGGGGACTTGCTTCAATTAGGCCTGCTGAGGAAAGGACACTGGCAGATTCAGGCCATGAGGCAGCGCCATCCCTCAGACCCACCTAGAGGTGTCAGTCGTGGGGAAAGATGCAGGATGGAGCTGAAACAAGCACCAGTGGGGGAGTCACACGGAGGGCCTGGGATTCTGGAGTAAGGCCATGTCATCCACAGCAGAGACATATGCCCCTGTTAGAAGCAACTTTTGGTATGTTACTGGCCTTGATAAGATAGAATCCTTGCCATGGGACATCAAACAACCATGTGATTTCAAATGCCCATATGAATTGGCTTCTGTAACTCAGAAAGTCATAGATCGGACAGACCCCAAAGCATCCATCATGAGATAGAAATGGTCCATCTGGATTGAGCATGAATCCTATGTTGACACCTCCAGAAAACATCCAAACCTGAAGTGGCACTAAACAACCAAGCAGACAAATTGAAGTTAGCCAGCCCTCACCATCGGGCAGCCCAGGCCTGGCAGGATGAGTTCATGAATGGAGCAAGCACAGTGGCAGGAATGAGGCTAAATATGGGTCCAGAAGCACTGACTACCACCTACCAAGACAGATCCAGCTGCTGCCACCTCTGAATGTCCAACTCATTAGCATTTGAGGCCAATGATGTGCCTCAGTGGGGCTATATTTCTTTAGGTGACTAAAGCAACACTCGCTGCTAAGTGATTAGTTGAGCCACTTCCATTCTGGAAGGGCCAGAGGTTCATCTTTACAGGGTTAGGCACCATTCCATGAGTGGGTTTTCCTGTCCTGCTCTCAGACCCTCAGTCAGCACCACTCTCCAGGGACTGTTGACATTCCTGATTCACAGGCATGGCATTGCTCTTAGCACACTGTCTTCCTGGTGGAACCCACTTGACAGGGAAGCAGGTGCAGCATTTTCATGGCCATGGGATCCACTGGTTCTATCACCATCTGCACCACCCAGGGTCTGCCAGCCACTAAGAATGCTGGACAGGTCTTCTACAGGCACAACTCAGTGCCAGCCTGGAGGAAGCACTCTGAGGGGTGGGTGCTGTCTTTCGGGACATGGTGCATTTATTAAATCAGAGACATCTCTACAGTGCCGTGTTCTCAGTAGGAAGAACATGTGGGTCCAGAAACTAAGGAGTGAAAGTGGGTATGGCTCCATGTCTCATTCCTTAGATTCACCTGCTGTGGGATTTTGCACTTCTCATCTCCCAAACCTGTGCTCTGCAGGGTAGAAGGTCCTGGATTCTAAAGGAAGGTACTCTTAAATCAGGACAAATGAGAGCCTACTGAAGAACACATTACTATTGCCCCCAGAGAGATTTGGACAGTATGTGCCCAGAGACCAGCAAGTGAGGAGTCCCCTCCTCTCCAGGCACAGGTAATAGATCCTAATCTCCAGGAGGAGGTTGGGCTGCTGTCACAATGAGGGCAGGAGGAATGTGTGTGGAACCCAGTGATCCACTTGAGGGGTCTCCTGGTTCCCCTTGTCCCATTGTAAGTGTTAGTGGAATTGTCCAGCAACCAATCCTGAGGGAATTTGATTTCCAAGGGCCCAGAAACCTCAGGAAGGAAGATTTGAACCATGCTCCCAGATAATCTCCCAAGGCCCTGCTCCTGTGCTCTGACATCCTCAGCAGCATTGGTGCAGACACCCTGCTTCCCATGGGCTGTTCCCAACCAGTGATGGGTGACAAGAGGGACACTAAGGGAGGCCTATGTCTGGAAGACAAGGGCCAACTGTGGCTAGAGGACTCCTCTATGGCCTTGCTCAACTCTCCTTAGATTGCCTGTGGTCTAGGATGTGTCCAACAAACCTCCTCTCCTGTCCCTCACTTGGGGGTCACGCTTGCATCTCAGTCTGCTGTCTCTCCCAGGGTTTCCTGGATCTTTTCCCATATTTTCTGGCAGGTGAGTCCTCTAATAAAATACTGCAACTTTAATCTCATGTCATCTGCTTCTTGGAGAACATGGACCAACAAAATCATTTCCATTTACACACCAGTGACCTCTTACTTTTCCAGTTTGTAAAATCCTTTTTATTATCCAACTTCTTCCACCTGCTCCAGTTTTGCTGGTATTTGTGTTGTTTTCTTTGAGTAAATTGATGTTCACTGTTTTAAGTCACTAAGTCTTGGGGTAGTTTGTTACACAGCAACAGATAGCTAATAAACCTCTCTTATGTTTCGATTATTCCATAGTGGTTATCTACATCTGATTTATTTCCTTCTATTTTTATAATATTATCCATACATAATGTTTCCCGTTTCTCTCCACCTATTCTCTTCTTGATTTTTCTTTTCCTTCCCACCATTTTTTCCTACTTCTCATGAAATATTCCTAACATATAAAATAACCCTATGTGGTTATGATATAAGGAAGCATTTTCTGAATCTGTATGTTAAAAGTTTAATGCCACAGTGTATGGGATACAAGTAAAGAACAGGAAGTTATTAACAGAGTCTGAGTAAAAAGTGCCTGGTGTAATTCTGCGGCCAAGACAGTGACTTTGAACTCTTACAGGCTGATGCAAAAATAATTGCAGTTTTTGCCATTACAATAATTCTTACCAAGAACTATTCACATTGGACCAAAGCCAATTGTAATGATCCATGTGATGGAGAGAGCCAGAATGCTATGAAAGTGGCCTTGACCAGAAATAGGTCATTTGATCCTTGGCTCATTGACATCTCCATAGATTTTCGGTGTACAATGTTCGGTCTGATGTGCAAGGTAATTCCATCTTGCAAAGGATTCGATGTTACATTCTACCACACACACACCTGAATTAAACTTTTACAGAATTGGAAATGCACATTACTGATCAAAATAAATTAAACAGGAAAAAATTATATAGGAATAACCAGTGATAGAATAGCAAATAGGAATGGAAAACACAATAGGATTGCTTAAAAAATACTGTAGAAGTACAGAATAGCAGTGCTATTTAGAATCATAGTGATGTCCAAATCATGTCTACCACGTCTCATTAAAAACCAGAGCGAAAGATGTCAAGTTTATTATGGAATGCCCACCCAGTAGCCAGTTTTTGGAAAATCTTGTTCCTAAGTTGGAGCTAAGCATTTTGGGCTACTGTATCCAACCAAAGTTACTGACATCATGCTAAGCTAGATGTGTTGGCTGAGGTATGAGATTCACATTTTTTCTACCTTAAAAGCAATCTGATTTGGCAAATATTTTTAAAGATGATATTTGAATGAGAAAATTGGCATTTGGGACATTCTTAAACTAAATTTGAGACATCTTAGGCAAAACAAATACTTATTTTTAAGGCACTATTGTTATGGCACTGAAGTCTTGGAACTATTTGATCTAGTTACTGTAAGTTCTCAGCTGTGTTGCAACTCATTAAAGAGAACATTGTTATTAAAGGTATTTGCAAGAAAAACTTAGAGATACTATAGTATCTCCTTTCTCTGTCTCAAACTTTTTTCCCCTCAATACCCAAGGCTCTGTGATGTCTCAAATTTTAATCATTACTTTAAAAAGAGAAGTTTAAAGCATTAAAGAATTATAATCAGATGAAAGCAGCTTTGGATTTATAAAATTCTGAAACAATAATTTTAATTTTGCTTAATTTTGCTTTTAACATATATGCAAATTCTTTGATACTCTCCACTTTGCAGAGGTGCAGGTTCATTCCCTCCCTGTGAGTGTGGCCTGGACTTAATGATTCACTTCTATCTGATGGAGTGACTGTTGGTGTAGAACAAAAAACTTACCGTAGCTTCTACCTTTGCTCTCTCTGTCTCTGGGATCATGAACTCTGGGGGAAGCCAGCTGCTGTGTCATAAGCAGACCTGTGGAAAGGTCCATGTGGCTAGGACCGAGGCCTCCCGGGACCAGACAACAAGGAACTGAGGCCTTTTCCAATAGCCATGTGAGTGAGCCATTTTTCATGCAAATCCCCAGCCCAGTTGAGCCCTCAGATGATGCAGCCCTGGCTGACAACTGGACTGCAACCTTGTGAGAGGCCCTGAGCCAGAAACACTCAGGGAAACCTCTCCTGGATTCCTGAGCATTGGAAACTGTGGGAGATGATAAATATTTGTTGCTTTGAGCTGTTACATTTTCAGTAATTTGTAATGTAACAGTAAAAAAAAATACAGCTTCACAAGAGAGGATGAATAGTTGCACTTTAATTTTCATTTGCTCTAAATTTATTAGTGTTATTGTTATCATCATTATTATTGAGACAGGGTCTTGCTCTGTCACTCAGGCTGCAGTGCTGTGGCAGGAGGACAGCTCACTGCAGCCTCGACCTCCTAGGCTCATGTGATCTTCCCACCTCAGCTGTCTGAGTAGCTGGGAGTACAGACATGCACCACCATGCCTGGCTAAAATTTTTGTATTTTTGGTAGAGACAAGGGTTTTGCCATGCTGCCTAGGCTGATCTCGAACTCATGAAATCAAGCTCTCTGCCTGACTCCATCTCCAAAAGTGCTGGGATTACAGGCATGAGCCACCACCACACCCAACCTAAATTAATTATAAAATATTAAACATGTCATTTGGTTTTAAGAGGTAAGAGGAATTTCCATGGCTAAATAGGATGTATTTTATTATCATTCACAATTATTGCTTTATTTGAACTTCAATTTCCACCTGTGTCCCAATTAAACTCAAAAGAAAGACCCAAGCCTCCCTCTCCCGTCTCCCTCTCCCTCTCCCGTCTCCCTCTCCCTCTCCCGTCTCCCTCTCCCTCTCCCGTCTCCCTCTCCCTCTCCCGTCTCCCTCTCCCTCTCCCGTCTCCCTCTCCCTCTCCCGTCTCCCTCTCCCTCTCCCCTCTCCCTCTCCCGTCTCCCTCTCCCTCTCCCGTCTCCCTCTCCCTCTCCCGTCTCCCTCTCCCTCTCCCGTCTCCCTCTCCCTCTCATGCCGAGCCAAAGCTGGACGGTACTGCTGCCATCTCGGCTCACTGCAACCTCCCTGCCTGATTCTCCTGCCTCAGCCTGCCGAGTGCCTGCGATTGCAGGCGCGCGCCGCCACGCCTGACTGGTTTTCGTTTTTTTTTGGTGGAGATGGGGTTTCGCTGTGTTGGCCGGGCTGGTCTCCAGCTCCTAACCGCGAGTGATCCGCCAGCCTCGGCCTCCCGAGGTGCCGGGATTGCAGATGGAGTCTCGTTCACTCAGTGCTCAATGGTGCCCAGGCTGGAGTGCAGTGGCGTGATCTCGGCTCGCTACAACCACCTCCCAGCCGCCTGCCTTGGCCTCCCAAGGAGCCGAGATTGCAGCCTCTGCCCGGCCGCCACCCCGTCTGGGAAGTGAGGAGCGTCTCTGCTTGGCCACCCATCGTCTGGGATATGA
Organism: Homo sapiens; assembly: GCF_000001405.40. Taxonomy (NCBI): domain Eukaryota; kingdom Metazoa; phylum Chordata; class Mammalia; order Primates; family Hominidae; genus Homo; species Homo sapiens. Next base: position 29,718,372 of record NC_000006.12, read on the forward strand.
GGAGCCCCTCTGCCTGGCTGCCCAGTGTGGAAAGTGGGGAGCGTCTCTGCCCGGCCGCCATCCCATCTAGGAAGCGAGAAGCGCCTCTTCCCCGCCGCCATCCCATCTAGGAAGTGAGGAGCGTCTCTGCCCGGCCGCCCATCGTCTGAGATGTGGGGAGCACCTCTGCCCCACCGCCCTGTCTGGGATGTGAGGAGCGCCTCTGCTGGGCCGCGGCCCTGTCTGGGAGGTGAGGAGTGTCTCTGCCCGGCCGCTCCGTCTGAGAAGTGAGGAAACCCTCTGCCTGGCAACCGCCCCGTCTGAGAAGTGAGGAGCCCCTCCGTCTGGCAACCACCCCGTCTGGGAAGTGAGGAGCGTCTCCGCCCGGCAGCCACCCCGTCCGGGAGGGAGGTGGGGGGGGTCAGCCCCCCGCCCGGCCAGCCGCCCCGTCCGGGAGGTGAGGGGCTCCTCTGCCCGGCCGCCCCTACTGGGAAGTGAGGAGCCCCTCTGCCCGGCCAGCCGCCCCGTCCGGGAGGGAGGCGGGGGGGGGGGGGTCGGCCAGCCGCCCCGGCCGGGAGGTGAGGGGCTCCTCTGCCCGGCCGCCCCTACTGGGAAGTGAGGAGCCCCTCTGCCCGGCCAGTCGCCCCGTCCAGGAGGGAGGTGGGGGGGTCAACCCCCCGCCCGGCCAGCCGCCCAGTCCGGGAGGGAGGTGGGGGGTCAGCCCCCCGCCCGGCCAGCCGCCCCGTCCGGGAGGGGGGAGGGGGGGTCAGCCCCCTGCCCGGCCAGCCGCCCCGTCCGGGAGGGAGGTGGGGGGGGTCAGCCCCCCGCCCGGCCAGCCGCCCCGTCCGGGAGGGAGGTGGGGGGATCAGCCCCCTGCCTGGCCAGCCGCCCCGTCCGGGAGGTGAGGGGCGCCTCTGCCCGGCCGCCCCTACTGGGAAGTGAGGACCCCTCTGCCCGGCCAGCCGCCCCGTCCGGGAGGGAGGTGGGGGGGTCAGCCCCCCGCCCGGCCAGCCGCCCCGTCCGGGAGGGAGGTGGGGGGATCAGCCCCCTGCCTGGCCAGCCGCCCCGTCCGGGAGGTGAGGGGCGCCTCTGCCCGGCCGCCCCTACTGGGAAGTGAGGACCCCTCTGCCCGGCCAGCCGCCCCGTCCGGGAGGGAGGTGGGGGGAACAGTCCCCCGCCCGGCCAGCCGCCCTATCCAGGAGGTGAGGGGCGCCTCTGCCCGGCCGCCCCTACTGGGAAGTGAGGAGCCCCTCTGCCTGGCCAGCCGCCCCGTCCGGGAGGGCGGTGGGGGGGTCAGCCCCCCTCCCGGCCAGCCGCCCCATCTGGGAGGTGAGGGGCACTTCTGCCGGGCCGCCCCTACTGGGAAGTGAGGAGCCCCTCTGCCCGGCCACGACCCCGTCTGGGAGGTGTGCCCAGCGGCTCATTGGGGATGGGCCATGATGACAATGGCGGTTTTGTGGAATAGAAGGGCGGGAAGGGTGGGGAAAAAATTGAGAAATCGGATGGTTGCGGGGTCTGTGTGGATAGAAGTAGACATGGGAGACTTTTCATTTTGTTCTGTACTAAGAAAAATTCTTCTGCCTTGGGATCCTGTTGATCTGTGACCTTATCCCCAACCCTGTGCTCTCTGAAACATGTGCTGTGTCCACTCAGGGTTAGATGGATTGAGGGCGGTGCAAGATGTGCTTTGTTAAACAGATGCTTGAAGGCAGCATGCTCGTTAAGAGTCATCACCACTCCCTAATCTTAAGTACCCAGGGACACAAACACTGCGGAAGGCCGCAGGGTCCTCTGCCTAGGAAAACCAGAGACCTTTGTTCACTTGTTTATCTGCTGACCTTCCCTCCACTATTGTCCTATGACCCTGCCAAATCCCCCTCTGCGAGAAACACCCAAGAATGATCAATAAAAATAAAAAATAAAATAAAAAAAAAAAAAAAAAAAAAAAAAAAAAAAAGAAAGACCCAAGCCTTGCTAGGCTGATTCTATCATCCCCCCCATGATAGACGTGTAACCTTGGTCATTCACCTGACCCCAGTTATTCAACCAACAATAATGTAAGTCCTGCCTTGAAGGGATTTTTGCATATATAATTAAGGTCCTAAATCAATTGACTTTAAGACAGGGATTATCCCTGGTCGGGCTGTCCTCATCTGGCGAGCCCCTGAAAGGACTGGGTTCTTCCTGATCAGAGAGATTCACAGTGTGAGAGGGATTCAGTGTGAGGGGGTTCCTCCAATGTGGATTCTAAAAATGAAGGGGCTGTGTGGCAAAGAATGCTGGTGGGCACCAGGAATTGAGAGCAGCCTCTCTCTACCTTGACAGTAGGCAAGGAACAGGAACCTTAGTCCTACAACTGGCAGAAACTGAATTATGTCGCCTCTGTATAAGCCTGAAGGAGGCCCTCAAAATGAAAACACAGTTTTGGGAAACCCTAAACAGAGAACCCTCCAATCATGCTCAGATTTCTGACTAAGGAACTGTAAATAAATAAATAAGTGTTGTTTGGTCAACCATGGTAGCTCATGCCTGTAATCCTAAGGTTTGTGGGAATGACACAGGAGGATTACTTGCAGCCAGGAGTGAGACTAGCCTGGGCAATTTGAGGAGACCTTCCTCTCTACAAAAAGGAATTTTTTTTTTTTTTAATTTACCTGAGCACGGTGGTACTTGCCTGTAGTCCCAGGTACTCCAGACACTGAGGCAGGGGGACCTCTAGAGGCCAGGAGTTTGAGGTTGCAGGGAACCATGATCATGCCACTGCACTTCACCGTGGATAACAGAGGGAGACCATGTCTCTAAAAATAAATAAATAAATACAATAAATGGGTGTTGTTTAAAGCCAGTGTTTGTGGTAATTTGTTATGCAGTCATACAAAAGTCATACACAGACTCAACAGACACATGGAATGAATTTATAAATTGATAAGCACACTACATGAGTAAAATAAAATATTTCCTTTTTCCAGTATTTTTCATTTTATAATATTCCATGATGCGATTAAATTTTTATACAATCATATTTCATTCAACTAGACAACAAAAATTAATTTAGTGCCTATGCTGAACCAGGTATGCCCTCATATGCTCAAGTGCCTGACATTCTAGAAGCTTCACAAGACCGAAGTGGAGCCACTGGAGTGTTTTAGGTGAAGAAACGACACACTTTGACTCACAGTAGCAGGACCACTGTGGAGAGAACACTCAGGTGGCAGGTAATGGAACAGTGCTAGAGCCACTATTCAGGAGTGACAGAGTGGTGGGGACTAAGGGAAGAGGAGGGCCTGAGGGATGAGAGGGACGGAGGGAAGGGCTGGAGAAGCAGGAGGTGAGGAGAAGGAGCAGAGGGACAGAATTTGAAAGCAGCAGAATTCTTAGCTTTAAACACATTGTTTTATAAATTTTTAATACATCCATCTACAGAGCCTAGCAGGGTGTTCCTTGCATTTGGCCTTTAACACCTTATGTGGGACTGCCTAAAAATTAATTGCTTTTTCTGCTTTTTTTCAGGTTTAAAAAAATACTAAGTGTTCCAATAAAACATGCACACCACTTAGATGCGGATACTTCCTAAAAACAGGAAGTGCATGAGCACTGGTGAGGGGCATTGTGACTGCGTTGAACACTTGCAACTTTGAGGTGAATGAATGTATTGGCTCCTGGTTGCAATATACAATCACACGTTGTGCTACTTTGTATTGTCAGGAGATGTCCTGGACTCCCACAGAAACTCAGGGCTATGGAATGAAGGTAATTTTAGAATACAACAAGAGTCACAGATACATAGTCTGGGAAAGCAAAACTTAGGAGCTCTGAGAGTTGTACAACTGTAATGCATTTAGACACATTTATATATCAAGGGGCCAAAGTAACAGTTTTTACACATAAGATTCCTGATTGGTCGGGCGCGGTGGCTCATGCCTGTAATCGCAGCACTTTGGGAGGCCGAGGCGGGAGGATCACGAGGTCAGGAGATCGAGACCATCCTGGCTAACACGGTGAAACCCGTCTCTACAAAAAAATTAGCCGGGCGTGGTGGCGGGCATCTGTAGTCTCAGCTACTCGGGAGGCTGAAGCAGAAGAATGGCGTGAACCCGGGACGCAGAGCTTGCAGTGAGCCGAGATCGCGCCACTGCACTCCAGCCTGGGCGGCAGAGAGAGACTCCGTCTCAAAAAAAAAAAAAAAAAAAAAAAAAAAAAAAAAAAAAAAAAGGTTCCTGATAATTCAGGGGTTACCAAGATTCTACTACTCACTGCAGCTAATAAAAAAAAAAAAGAAAGAAAGAAACTGGTCTCTGTCCTATTTCATATGCTCAGGTACAACTTTTCCAGAGAAGAAGAGGAGGGGGGCGGGGAGGAGCAGGAGGAGGAGGAAAGAAGGAGGAGAAGGAGAAGGAGAAGGAGAAGGAGAGGAAGAGGAAGAGGAAGAGGAAGAGGAAGAAGAAGAAGAAGAAGAAGAAGAAGAAGAAGAAGAAGAAGAAGAAGAAGAAGAAGAAGAAGAAGAAGAAGAAGAAGAAGAAGAAGAAGAAGAAGAAGAAGAAAAGGAAGAAGAAGAAACTGTCTCTACACCTTCATTCTCAGGACAAGTTCATTGTCTGGCACCAAGCTCCTTGGGGTGAATTTTCTTCCAAAAGAGTCCGGGGAGTCCAGGTATGGAATGGGAGGCAGAAAGTTCAATCAAGGGACTGGGATTTCGGAATGAATAATGAAGGGAGATGGACTGGGTCCATGCCGAAGGTTTCTCCCTGGTTTCTCAGCCCCCGGGCGAAGACTCAGGGAGACATTGAGACACACCCTGCACAGGAGGGGGAGGGGGAGGGGGAGGGCAAAGTCCCAGGGCCCCAGGAGTGGCTCTCAAGGGCTCAGGCCCCGAGGCGGTGTCTGGGGTTGGGAGGCTCAGTATTGAGAATTCCCCATCTCCCCAGAGTTTCTCTTTCTCTCCCAACCCGTGTCAGGTCCTTCTTCCTGGATACTCATAACGCGGCCCCATTTCTCACTCCCATTGGGCGTCGCGTTTCTAGAGAAGCCAATCAGTGTCGCCGCAGTTCCCAGGTTCTAAAGTCCCACGCACCCCGCGGGACTCATATTTTTCCCAGACGCGGAGGTTGGGGTCATGGCGCCCCGAAGCCTCCTCCTGCTGCTCTCAGGGGCCCTGGCCCTGACCGATACTTGGGCGGGTGAGTGCGGGGTCCAGAGAGAAACGGCCTCTGTGGGGAGGAGTGAGGGGCCCGCCCGGTGGGGGCGCAGGACTCAGGGAGCCGCCTCCGGAGGAGGGTCTGGCGGGTCTCAGCCCCTCCTCGCCCCCAGGCTCCCACTCCTTGAGGTATTTCAGCACCGCTGTGTCGCGGCCCGGCCGCGGGGAGCCCCGCTACATCGCCGTGGAGTACGTAGACGACACGCAATTCCTGCGGTTCGACAGCGACGCCGCGATTCCGAGGATGGAGCCGCGGGAGCCGTGGGTGGAGCAAGAGGGGCCGCAGTATTGGGAGTGGACCACAGGGTACGCCAAGGCCAACGCACAGACTGACCGAGTGGCCCTGAGGAACCTGCTCCGCCGCTACAACCAGAGCGAGGCTGGTGAGTGAACCCGGCCGGGGGCGCAGGTCACGACCACCCCCCATCCGCCACGGACCGCCCGGGTCCCTCAGAGTCTCCGGATCCGAAATCTACCCCGAGGCAGCGGGACCCGCCCAGACCCTCCACCCGGGAGAGTCCCAGGCGCCTTTACCCAGGTTCATTTTCAGTTTAGGCCAAAATCCCCGCGGGTTGGGCGGGGAGGGGGCGGGGCTAGCTGGGCGGGGCTGACTGCGGGGACCGGCTAGGGTCTCACACCCTCCAGGGAATGAATGGCTGCGACATGGGGCCCGACGGACGCCTCCTCCGCGGGTATCACCAGCACGCGTACGACGGCAAGGATTACATCTCCCTGAACGAGGACCTGCGCTCCTGGACCGCGGCGGACACCGTGGCTCAGATCACCCAGCGCTTCTATGAGGCAGAGGAATATGCAGAGGAGTTCAGGACCTACCTGGAGGGCGAGTGCCTGGAGTTGCTCCGCAGATACTTGGAGAATGGGAAGGAGACGCTACAGCGCGCAGGTACCAGGGGCCATGGGCGCCTTCCCTATCTCCTGTAGATCTCTTGGGATGGCCTCGCACAAGGTTGGGAGGAAAGTGGACCCAATGCTAGGATATCGCCCTCCCTCTAGTCCTGAGTAGGAAGAATCTTCCTGGCTTTCGAGATCCGGTACCAGAGAGTGACTGTGAGAGTCCGCCCTGCTCTCTGGGACAATTAAGGGATGAAATTTCTGAGGGAATGGAGGGAAGACAGTCCCTGGAATACCGATCCGCGGTCCCCTTTGAGCCCTCCAACAGCCTTGGGCCCCGTGACTTTTCTCTCAAGTTTTGTTCTCTGCCTCACACTCAATGTGTTTGAGGCTCTGATTCCAGTCCCTCGGCCTCCACTTAGGTCAGGGCCAGAAGTCCCTGCTCCCCCCTCAGAGACTCTAACTTTCCAAGGAATAGGAGATTTTCCCAGGTGTCTGTGTCCAGGCTGGTGTCTGGGTTCTGTGCTCCCTTCCCCACCCCAGGTGTCCTGTCCATTCTCAGGTTGGTCACATGGGTGCTGCTGGGGTTTCCCATGAGGAGTGCAAAGTGCCTGAATTTTCTGACTCTTCTCAGATCCTCCAAAGGCACACGTTGCCCACCACCCCATCTCTGACCATGAGGCCACCCTGAGGTGCTGGGCCCTGGGCTTCTACCCTGCGGAGATCACGCTGACCTGGCAGCGGGATGGGGAGGAACAGACCCAGGACACAGAGCTTGTGGAGACCAGGCCTGCAGGGGATGGAACCTTCCAGAAGTGGGCCGCTGTGGTGGTGCCTCCTGGAGAGGAACAGAGATACACATGCCATGTGCAGCACGAGGGGCTGCCCCAGCCCCTCATCCTGAGATGGGGTAAGGAGGGAGATGGGTAAAGAGGGGAACGAGGGGTCATGTCTTTTCTCAGGGAAAGCAGGAGCCCTTCTGGAGCTCTTCAGCAGGGTCAGGGCTGAGGCCTGGAGATCAGGGCCCCTCACCTTCCCTTCCTTTCCCAGAGCAGTCTCCCCAGCCCACCATCCCCATCGTGGGCATCGTTGCTGGCCTTGTTGTCCTTGGAGCTGTGGTCACTGGAGCTGTGGTCGCTGCTGTGATGTGGAGGAAGAAGAGCTCAGGTAGGAAGGGGTGAGGAGTGGAGTCTGAGTTTTCTTGTCCCACTGGGGGTTGCAAGCCCCAAGTAGAAGTGTGCCCTGCCTCATTACTGGGAAGCACCATCCACACTCATGGGTCTACCCAGCCTGGGCCCTGTGTGCCAGCACCTACTCATTTGTAAAGCTCCTGTGAAAATGAAGGACAGATTCTTCACTTCGATGATTATGGTGGTGATGGGACCTGATCCCAGCAGTCACAAATCACAGGGGAAGGTCCCTGCTGATGACAGACCTCAGGAGGGCAGTTGGTCCAGGACCCACATCTGCTTTCTTCATATTTCTTGATCCTGCCCTGGATCTACAGTTACACTTTTCTGGAAACTTCTCTGGGATCAAAGACTAGGGGTTTGCTCTAGGACCTTATGGCCCTGCCTCCTTTCTGGCCTCTCACAGGACATTTTCTTCCCATAGATAGAAACAGAGGGAGCTACTCTCAGGCTGCAGGTAAGATGAAGGAGGCTGATCCCTGAGATTGTTGGGATATTGTGGTCAGGAGCCTATGAGGGAGCTCACCCACCCCACAGTTCCTCTAGCCACATCTGTGGGCTCTGACCAGGTCCTGTTTTTGTTCTACCCCAATCACTGACAGTGCCCAGGGCTCTGGGGTGTCTCTCACAGCTAATAAAGGTGACACTCCAGGGCAGGGGCCCTGATGTGAGTGGGGTGTTGGGGGGGAACAGAGGGGACTCAGCTGTGCTATTGGGTTTCTTTGACTTGGATGTCTTGAGCATGAAATGGGCTATTTAGAGTGTTACCTCTCACTGTGACTGATACGAATTTGTTCATGAATATTTTCTCTATAGTGTGAGACAGCTTCCTTGTGTGGGACTGAGAAGCAAGATATCAATGTAGCAGAATTGCACTTGTGCCTCACGAACATACATAAATTTTAAAAATAAAGAATAAAAATATATCTTTTTATAGATACAGGTAGATATGTTTTTATAGCATGCACGTAAATGTGTGTGTGTGTGTGTGTGTGTGAAGAGAAAGAGTGAATAGAGAGATTAAGATTCTTTTAATGGTGAAAAGATATACATATATTTGGAACTAGCCAGCTTGACTCAGTTTAGGTGATCCCAATTTTGGTGGCAACAACCAAAGCATCGTAGTCAGGAGCCAGTCGAACATATGCCTTCCTCTCTCCATCAGACTGAATCAGAGTGTTGACTTTGGCCACATCAATGTCACAAACTTCTTCACAGCCTGTTTGATCTGGTGCTTGTTGGCTTTAACATCCACAGTGAACACAAGTAGGCTGTTGTTTTCTATCTTCTTCACAGCCTACTCAGTGGTCAGCGGAAACTTGATGATAACATGGTGGTCAAGCTTATTTCTCCTGGGGGTGCTCTTCCAAGGATATTTGGGCTGCCTCCGGAGTCACAGTGTCTTGGGCCGCCGGAAGGTGGGTGACATGTGGATCTTGTTTTTTTTGTGGCTGTGGACATCTTTCAACACTGCCTTCTTGGCCTTGCAAAGCCTTCGCTTTGGCTTCGGCTTTAGGAGGGGCAGGAGCTTCCTTCTTCGTTCTTGGCACCATCTTATGAAAAGGGTCCAGATTAAGATTTTTGACTGAGTCATTCTAAAGTAAGTTGCAAGACCCATGATACTAGACCACTAAATACTTCATCACACACCTCCTAAGAATAAGAACCAACATTATCACACCAAAGAAAATAAATAATTCCATAATATTATTTAAAGTCCTTTTATGTTCAAATATCTCCACTTCTTTCAGTACATTTTTGTACCTATTTTTTATAGCTTGTTTTCTTAAAATGTCCACTCGTTGCCTTTGGTTATGTTTCTTTAATTACCTACAATCTATAACAATCAACCCATCTTTTTTCTTTTAGAATGGCATTACCTGTTTCAGAGATGAGGCCAAATACCTGTGGAATCTTCTCCACACTGAATTTATCATATTATTTCCCCTGATGCCTTTAACTTTTTTCCTCTAACTGCTATGCCTCCTAAGGACCTATGTAGCTCTGGGTTAAACATTTGGCAGCAATGTTTACAGGAGGAGCTGTGACCGCACATTCATCACATCAGGAGGCACACAAAGCCTAGGGTTACCAGGACTCTTTCTGACCCCATACAGCCAAATTTATCCTGACTTCCCAGAGATGCAGAACCATGGGCTGGGTGTTTAGTGGGTATGAGTGTGATATTCTGGCAATAGGAGGTTCTGCCACTCTCCCCATTCCTCACGAGCTTTAGTTCCCCATACCCTGAGGTTCTGAGCTCCAGACCTTCAACCATCAGGCCAGGCCCCTCCAGACCTAGACTCCCTTCCTGTCTTCTCCAGCCCCACTCTGCTTTGTATCTACTTCCGGATCACTTTCCCTCTACAGGCCCAGCTCCTGAGTGTCTCTACCTCTCAAACAAGTATTCTCATCCAGGAGCAATTTTCCCACCAGAGGACATTAGCTATGTCTGGAAAAATGTTTTGTTGCCATGACTGGAGTGAGGAGGAGGTGCTACCAGCATCTTGTGGGGAATGACCAGGGATGCTGAACATCCTGCAGTGCACAAGTCAGCCCAATCACCCACATAACAGATAATTATCCAGCCCCAATACCAAGATTGCCAAGGGTAAGGAGGCCTGCCAGGACTTTCTCTCCCTTGAGTACAAGCTTCCTTGAACTGAGGGACACCCTGAAGGAAAAGTGTGGTCCCACCCCAGTCATCTCTCCCTTCCCTGGAGCTCCATCTGTATGCCTGTAGTGCTTAGGCCTGTAACCTGGGGTCCAGGAACCCACCTTCCCATGAGACTGCATGCAGAAGTGATGATATGTGCACACATGACTTCATTACAGGGCATTGGATGTTGATATTCATCAGGTCAGCTGGGGCCCAAGACACTACTCTTCTGCCAACAGGCCGCAATCCTCTGCATTAGAGAGAGGGTAAAGATTGAGGGAGGCCCTAACTTCAAACCTTCTATCACTGCTAGTGAAGTGCCAAAAAGAAGTGCAAGGTCATCTGCCCTTGTAGGAACCACACAGGAAGGCAGAGTGTCCACCAATGTCAAATTCCATCAAAGAAATAATATTTTGACAAAAAATGCAAGTCACCTTTCTAAGTCCCAGACAGCAGCTCAAAATAAAAAGCATTAAACCCCTCAAATCTTAGACCAGGTGAAATTATTGAAGCTGCAGTAAGGTCTTGTGGGACCTGCAGTTAGAGAGAAGGGACAACTCAATTTGGGACTGCAGCAGAAACCCCTACATCATGGGGTTCCTGGAAGGGACCCTCTCCCTTCAGCGACGCATTGTGAGGCCATTTCTAGGTAAAAAGGTAGAATTTCCTTGGATTCCTGAGGTTTATTTTACACTTACTGCTTATTCTTTGACTTTATAGAAGCCAACTTCAGTTTGAACATCTTGCAATTAATTTTTTTTGGCTCTAAGTGGAGAATTTGAACTTGTTTCTGAAGAAAACCAGGGGCTCCTTATGTGAGCAAGCAACCCTCCCTGTGGCCCCCTTATGCAATAAACATAAGCCATTGTGAGCCAGCAAAATTTAAAGCAAGGAAAGCAGTAAACCCTCCATTTCAGCATGTTTCAGCCTGTCTAGTGATGTTCTAGTCTTGCCTCACTCTTAACATTTTAAAATTTATAATTTTATTTGATTTTGATTTAATAAGAATTCATATGTATTCATTTCTTTTGGGTTTGTCACCAAAAGCCTCCTCCAATCACCTGTGGAGTAAAGACAAGTAAATAAATGCATGGTGTTCCCATTTATCAGTGCTCACTGCATCTTACAAGTGTATCAGCCCCACTTCAGCTGATAGTACCAGGAAACCTTAATACCCACATACAAAATAATGATGTTGGACAAAATTCATAGCATCACCTTACACCATATTCAAAAATTAACTCAATTAACTCAGAATGGTTCAAGGAACTCAACTTAGGAGTTCAACCTATAAATCTTTTAGAAGAAAACATTGAAGAAAATCTTAGGAACATTGGATGTGGCAATGGCTTCTTGGCTGGTGAGCAAAAGCACAACCAATAAAAGAAAAACAATAAATTAGACTATCAAAATTTAAAAACCTTTTTTATATATCAAGGGACACTATTAAGAGAGTTAAAAGAAAATGCACAGAATGGGAGGAAATATTTGCCAATTATATACCTGATAAAGAATTAATATCCAGAATACATAAAGAACTATGACTTAACAACAGAAAAACAAACAATCTCATTCAAAAATGAGTGAACAACATGAATAGACAATTCTCCAAAGAAGATATACAAATGGGCAATAGGCACATGAAAATATGCTGAACTTCACTAGTCCAAGTGTTGGCGAAGATGTGGAGAAGTCACAACACTTGTACACTGCTGGTGAGAGTGTACAGTGGTACAGCGACCATGAAAAACAGTATGATGCTTCCTCAAGAAAGTAAAAACACAATTTCCATAGGAGCCAACAATTCCACTTTTGGGCATATACCCAAAAGAATTGAAAGCAGGAACTCACACAGATAATTGTACACTCATGCTCGTAGCAGCACTATTCCCAATGGCCAAAAGGTGGAAGCAACCGAGTGTCCATCGGAGGATGATTAGATAAACGACCCATGGTGCACATAGCATGGAATATTATTCAGCCTTAAAAGTGAATGAAATTCAGGTTGGATGAACCTTGAGAACACTATAAGTGAAATGAGCCAGAAACAAAAAGACAAATATAATATTTCACTTATGTGATGCAGCTAAAATAGGCAAATTCATAGAAACAGAGAGTAAAATAGAATTTACCAGAAATTGAGGGTAGGGAGAATGGGCAGCTTTGGTTTAATGGGTCCAGTTTCTGTTGGGATGATGAAAATGTTCTGGAAATGCATATTGGTGGTGGTTACACAACATTGTAAATGTGCTTTAGGCCACCGAATTGTACACTGAAAAAGTGGTTAGAAGGTAAATTACATGGTATGTATGTTTTACCACAATATTAACAAGTATATCAACACTAAATCCAATCACTTTTCACTCCTCTCCTGCCACCACCCGAGAGCCACCCTCTCAAGAACTGTAAACCAGAAGGGCTTTCCAGCTGGGCTGCCTGCTGCCTCTCATGCCCACTGTCCATTACTCACACAAAGGCAGAGTGAGCCTCTCAAACGAAAATTAGGACATATCCTATGAACACCTCAGCCCTTTTCTTTCCTAGGCACAATGAAACCTCAGTCTCTCACCGTTTCCTACAAGCCCCTCATCATAGGACCCCTGTGGCCTCATCCCGCCATTCTCAGCCCAGCTCACTCGTCTCCACTCACACCAGCCTTTTGTCACTGCTCCATCCTGTCTCTGCTACCTGCCCCTGCTGTGACTCCCACATGCACCTGCTCCCCGGGGGTCCACATGGCTCACTCCTCACACCATTCAAGTCTCTGTTCAAATGTCCCATGGTCAAGTTCTCAGAAATGTCATGCCCAGTTACCTTTTCTGAAATCTATTCCCTGCCATTCCCGCCACTCCCACCAATCTTCTAGCCTAGGTGTATTTTTTATCAGTGGCAATTATCACTGATACTGTGACAGATTCTATTTGTTTATTGTCTGTTGGTGTATCAGGGTTACCAAGACAGAAAGACCCAATAGAGTAGATGGATACATAGATAGATAGATAGATAGATAGATAGATAGATAGATAGATAGATAGACAAGAGGGGATTTATTAGTGGAAATGGCTCACATAGTTATGGAGGCTGATAAGATCCATGAGAGGCCACCTGCAAGCTGGAGAACCAAGGAAGACAGTAGCCTGGCTCAGTCCAAGGCCAAAGGCCTGAGGGGCCAGAGGAGGAGGTGGGAGGATAAAGGGTTGACTGGTGCAACACTCAAGAGTCCAAAGACCATACAACCTGGAGTTCTGATGTCCAAGGGCAGGAAAAGTGTCCCAGATTGAGAGAGAGAGAGAGAGAAAATTTGACTCCTTTCTGCTTTTTTGTTCTATCTGGGCCCCTAGGTGATTGGATTGTGGCTGCCCACAGCGAGAGAGGATTTTCCCCGCTCAGTCACTCACATGCCAATCCCTTCCAGAAACACCCTCGCAGGCACACCCAGAAATAATGTTATACCAGCTATCTAGGCATCCCTTAACCCAGTCAATATGACACCTAAAATTAACCATTACAGTCAGTATCACTGAAATGTATGTTCTTTGATAAAGGGATCTGGTCTGTTTCCTTACCATTGTTTCTCACCATCATAATCAGTAAATAGCTCTCAGTAAGTATTTGTTAAATGAATAAATATGTCAGTACAATCACAGTATGACAGTATAATAAGGCTTTAAAATGTTTAAAGCAGTCTCTGGTTTAATATTTATCACTTGAGTAGTCTATGAATTTATTTATTTTTGGAGACAAATTCTCACTCTGTAGCCCGGTCTGGAGGGCAGTGGCATGATCACAGCTCACTTCAGCCTCAACCTTCCAGGCTCGAACAATCTTCCCACCTCAAACACTGGGGTACCTAGGACTACAGGCTCATGCCACCATGCCCAGCTAATTTTTTTTTGTATTTTTTGTAGAGACAGGATTTTGCCATGTTGCCCAGGCTGGTCTTGAACTTCTGGGCTCAGACAATCCACCCTCCTTGGCCTTCCAATGTGTTGAGATTACAGGCTTGAGGCACCGCACCTGGCCTGAGTAGTCTATGAATTTTTAAAATCCCAACCACAGGAGAATCTTTATGTACAAACATGCTTGTCAAAATATTACCTACAAAAAGATAAGATGAAAGCAGATGGATCTAAAAGAACTCAGTTACATCACCTCCTTATCTGAGATGGGATGCAGCTTGTAAAAGTGTGTCAACTTTTTAAATTTAAAAATTTTTTTAGATGGAGTCTCATTCTGTCACCCAGGCTGGAGTACAGTGGCAGTGATCTCGGCTCACTGCAACATCTGCCTCCTGGGTTCAAGCAATTCTCCTGGCTCAGCATCCTGAGTAGCTGGGACTACAGGCACATGCCTAGACTCCTGGCTAATTTTTTGTATTTTTTAGTACAGATGGGGTTTCACCATGTTGGCCAGTCTGGTCTCGAATTCCTGACCTCAAGTGATCCACCCACCTCGGCCTCCCAAAGTGCTGGGATTATAGGCGTGAGCCACCATGCCGGCCAAAAAAGCATGTAAACTTTATACAGAGTTTACAACATGGAAAACTACTTGTAAAATAATACATTCAAAAAGCAACATTCAAGATAACCCATGACATATGAATGCAACCTTGTACAATAAAGATACCTATAAAAATATATACATAGAGAACAACAAAATGGGCCAGGCGCCTTGGCTCATTCCTGTAATCCCAGCACTTTGAGAAGCTGAGGCAGGTGGATCACTTGAGGTCGGGAGTTCGAGACCAGACTGGCCAATATGGCAAAACCCTGTCTCTACTAAAAATACAAAAAATTTGCTGGGCCTGGTGGCGCATGCGTGTAATCTCAGCTACTCAGGAGGCTGAGGCATGGAAATCACTTGAACCCGAGAGGCGGAGGTTGCAGTGAGCTGAGGTCGCACCACTGCACTCCAGCCTCAGTGACAAAGTGAAATTGTGTTTCAGAAACAAAAACGAAAACAAAAACAAACCACCACCAACAAAATGGAAATCAGCACCACGCAAAGGACAGCTCCAGGGACCAACAGTCACACTGAGTCCAGGAAGGTTCAACAATACAATAGCAGTGATATTTTTGAGGGGAGACCTAGGTGGTATTTCTTCTGTGTATTTTATTTTTTTTAATTCAAGTAGGCATTGATCTGTGTATTTTAAAGTCTTCTGTGATCAAATAGATTTTCACATTTCTAATATTCAAAATAAAGCATTTGAAGTAAAATAACAATGAAAAGTGGCTGAGTGCACACCTGTAGTCCCAGCTACTCAGGAGGCTGAGATGGGAGAATCACTTGAGCCCAGGATTTTGAGGCTGTCGTGTGCTATTATCACACCTGTGAATAGTCACTTCTCTCCAGCTTGGACAACATAGCAAGACCCCATCTAAAATAATAGTAATACAAAGAAGTTCAGATCTCCTTCCAACCTCAGCCTAAAGCAAATTTCTCATTTGAAATCCATAGGGCAGAAATGCCGATTATGGCACCTCCAGAGAGTAGAAAAATATTCTTCCTCCACTCCATGACTCATCCTTTGGTTACAGCGTTTAGCTGAGCAATGAAGTCAATGCTAAGAATACCATCAATTTATAAAATACTGATTATCTCATTTATAGACATAAAAATACTATAATTATATATATATTTATGTAAAATTACCATCACACCTAAGACAGCGAGATGGATTTTTCCCTTCCACAGATGAAAATATGAGTCCCTGAGAACATAAAATCTTCATTTGAGCTCACTGAAAATGTTGGCCTTGAGAATTAGGAGACACTCAGTCTCCTGCAGGCCCCCTGGGCATGAGCCACACCAGTGGAGGCCACACAACAGCAGGAAGAGCAACTGAGAACCCTGGAAGGTTCACACTTGTAGAGGGTGCACATCCAGTGAAATGCAGTTGATGGATGGGCCAAGGTAATAATCCAGCTCCTTCCTTCAGCTGGGGGAGGCAGATGGGTGAGTCAGCTACGCATGAGGTGTATGGTGTTCCTAGAGCTATTGTTAGTTCCTCTGCTGTGAACTCCACCCCGGGCATACAAAAATTATATACTCACTGGTAAGCAGGATCCTTTTTAGGAAAGCAAATGACTTTCCTAACATAAGGTCAAACATTTCCCTCCAAATGAATCATCCTAGTTGGATAATCTCTTCACTCCCACTGAAATTGCCCCAGAGTTGCACCTGAGCATTTGGATCCAAGACAGAAAGTCATTTTGGGGGTTGGGTCTGGCTGATCTGGGAGTGTTGTGAAGAAAGGCTTTCTACTTACAGAAGAACAAGGGTGAGCTCTGAGTAGGAGATGACATCCTGAGGGGGAAAGACAGATGGGCAGATGCTCAAGCAAACTCAGGAGTTTACCATATAAAAGATTTTGGAATCTATTCTTCAGCCTCTTTTTTACTGTGATACAATATACATGAACACAAAATTTACCACTGTACCCATTGTACAATAGGTGTACAATGCAGTGACAATTAGTAGGTTCGCAATGTTATGTAGCCATCATCACTCTCTAGTTCCAGAGTATTTCATCACCTCAGGGGAAACTCTGCACCATTAAGCAGTCACCCTCCATTTCCTCCTGCCACCAGACCCTGTCACCACAAGTCTGCTTTCTTTCTCTATAGATTGGTCTCTTCTGAAGATTTCACAAAAATGGGTTCATGAAATATGTATCCTTTTGTAGCTGATTTCCTTCACTTATCATGTTTTTGAGATTCAGCAATGTTGTAGCATGTATCAGTATTTCATTCCTTTTATGGCTAAATCATATTCCATTGTAGAAATACACTACATGTTGTTTATTCATTCATTAGTCAATGGGCATTTTCTTTTAAACCAAATAGGAAAAACAAAGGAAGAATTAAACACCAAAAATATACATGTTACTACTAGCTTTTATAGGACTACTATATATAGTACTATATATATATGCACACACACACACACACACACACACATATAAACACCAAAAATATACATATTACTACTAGCTTTTATAGTATGACTACTATATATAGTACTATATATATAATTTCATAGTAGTACTATATATAGTTATATATATGTAGTACTATGTATAGTCATATATATGTATATATATGTATATATATGTGTGTATATATATATATTTATATATATATAAAATCCATTATTTCTGAAGGAGAGTTTTTCCAGACACACAATTCCTGCATGACAGTCTTTTTTTTTCTGACCTCTAAATTTGTCAACATTCCAATGCCTTCTGAACTCTATGGTTTCTGAAGAAAACTGGGCTGCAATCTTATTGAGGATCCATTGAACCTGAAAAGTTCCTTCTCTGTTATTCATTTCAATATGCTCTGTTTGTCATTGGCTTTTGACAGGTTGATTATAATGTTCTCTTGGTGTGGACCTCTTTAAATTTAATTTTTTTTGCTGCTTAAAATTTGTCAAGTTTGTTGGATGAATAATGTTTTTCATCAAATTTGGAAGGTTTGGAGTTATTCTTTAAATAGTCATTCTTCTCCTTTCTCTCTCTCCTTTCTTTGAGGACTCCCAAAGTGCATGTGCTTGATGTTGTCTCACAGATCTTTAAAGTTCTGTTTATTTTTCTTCATAATTTTTTTTCTTTCTGCTACTGAACTAGAGAATTTCAATTGTCTTATCTTCAAGCTTGCTGATTCTCCATTCTGCATGGTGAAATTTGCTCTGGAGCCCCTCTAGTGAATTTTTCATTTCAGTTATTGCACTTTTCAGCTCCAAACTTTTTATCTGGTCTCTTTGTAAAATTTCTACCTTTTTATTGATGTTCTCTATTTGGGGAAACCTGCAACCACCATCTTCTGAAGCTCTGCCCATGTCAAGAGGTCTGTGCATACCTCTCTCTTCCATCCCCCAGTTTTCCAACTTTATTTTGCTCAAGTTCCTGACTGACCAAGCAACCCATGAGCCACTGCCCATGACTCATTCATTCATGCACTACTGGGGCATCATTTCACACCCTCCACCTTGCATGGGCCTTTTTGGGTTTTGATTCCTAGTTCCTGGCTCAACAGCCATTTCCAAAGCTGTTCTTGCGTTAGCTCCCAAGCCTACTGCTCTTGTTGTAGATTCTCCTCTTAATGTCTGAGTCACAGCATTTATTTCATAGATTTTTAATAATTGGACTAATTTTTTCCAATGCAGCATTTCTAAGGACTTTCAGTAATGGAGATTCTATATTAGCTTAGAGAGAATTGTTTCAAAACATCAGAAATGTATACTTGAATGAAGGACAACATGCATGGAGAAAGGTGGACAAACCATAAGTGGGCCGTGGATTTTCACAAAGTGAACACTCAGGTAAATAGCAGCCACATCAAGGAATAGCATTTCCAGCCTCCAGGAAACACCATTGGGTTCTACTTGGTCATAAATCACCCTCCCCAACCCTAGAGCAGACACTTTCTTGATTTCTAATATGATAGATTAGTTCTGTCAGTTCTGGACACAGTCACTGCCATGTCCCAGGTCTTGCTGTGTGTGGTCACTATCACTCCCGTGGCAGTCAGGTGCTCAGCTTTATAAATAGCTCACACTTCTTGTCTCTCCACTGTTGATAGACATTTGTGTTGTATTCAGAGTCTACAAATCGTGCTGCTATAAATAATATTTTCATATATTTTGGGACACAAATGCATGCATTTCTATTGGTATATAACAAAAAGTGGAATTGCTGGGTCATAGGTGATTAGAAACTTGGTTTAGTCTCTCAAAAAACAAGTTTCTACTGAATAGATAACTGGTGGAAGAGGGTAAATCTTTTATTTTAGAAATTATGCAGCTAGTATATGAAAAGAAATGAAAGACTGAGACTTTTGCAATTTGTAATGAATTAACAGATTTAGCCACTGAACAGCAATGGCAATTAACATCACAAAAAAGAAATAACTAGTATTGAATTCTTCCTCTTGATGAAAAACATGATATAGTACCATCAATCCTCATGGCAAAAAAAAAAAAAAAAAAAAAAACCCTGAATAGACGCAAACCTCTATAACAAACTACCAATTTACAGAAAATACAGGTCATAGAGATACATTAAACCACACCTTGGGGTGCAATCTGCAAAATGCAAAGGACAGGAAACTACCAGACAATATAAATTTCAAGCAGGAATCTATGGAATAAATGAGGATAAAAATATACTCTTAAAGGTAAAACTAAACTATAACTTTAGATGATAAAAATATAAAATTGTACAAAGAAGTGATGGCCATGTAAGCCAGGATGTGCTTTTATTTGAAGAAGAGAAGAGTTTATCATTGAGCTGGGGCAGTTGATGGGGCTTCTAGGTCAGCTGCCAAACTTCTCCCTCTCTCTGATGGTTAAAGGGTGTTTACTTTTGATTAAAGGGCACCATTTTTAGATCTTTTATCTTTTATGGTACCCGTGGGGTTTTTTATGACAAAAACACTAATAAAGAATAAAATAGTATGTGACATATGGTTCTTGTTCTGCATCAAGCCTCCTTCCCACCCTCCGCTCCAGACACTGAGCACCCAGAACTACTGGCAACCCCAGGATACTTGGCAGGGCTACCTTACATCTGGGTGTGTGTCCAGCTCACATTGCCAGAGGCAATGTCCAGGGTCTATTCTTTGAGGCCTAGATAAACCTGACAGGACACAGCTGAGGGAAAAGCCTGGCCCCACTCTGGAGGCTCTGGCCATCGGTGTAGAGGGGACAGGTCCTCACCTCTCCACAGGTGCAGTTACAGTCAGAGCTTCTTCTCTGCATGGGAGTGAGGCTTGGTCCTTCCCCCAAACACGGGGACAGTGATCTCTCCAGAAGTGGAGATGACACCATTCCTCCTCTAACATGGTCCAATCTCGTGCTTGTTCTGCTTTACAGGAAAGTTGACTCATACTGGTGTCCAGTGAAGAAACCCAGGCGCATAAGAGGGACAGTTGGATCTCAGGTTTGTGCTTGATCTGGAAAAGGAAGAGCAGAGACCACTAGGAGGCACCACTGCACTGCTCATGAGCCCAGGAGGTGGATGCCGGGGCTGAGCTCAGGGTGGAGAGATGTCATTGCTCATCCTCCAGGTTCCAGGTGAAAACCCACCTGCCCAGCCCATCTGGTTCTCCCTGGTTCTTCAATTCTAGGGAGGACTGTCTTCTTCTCACCTCCCCGGACGATGCTTCTTGACACAGGAAAGAGGATGTGCTGCTAGGGTCATCATGTCCTGGTTTATTGTGTTGTCAGTAGAATGAAATCAAAATACATACTTCATAAATAATAAAATAACCCATAATAAGTAAACATTTACAATTTACTCACACCATTGAGGTTTCCTCCAGGTGTGAGCACAGCTGCAGACACACCTTGTCGCTTCAGTCAGGACACAGGACAGAGTAAAATGGGAAGAAACCACAGTCACTGCAGAAAGGGCCCCCATGGAAGAGGCCTGGCAGGGAGGCCAGCTGCCCCAGGGCCACCATATTTAGAGATGACTTCCCCTTTCTAGGCAGGACTGGGATTTTAAAATTCTTTTTGTATTCATAGTTGTTCTGAAATTGCAGGATGATGAGACCCAGCACTGGTGAGTTATACTGTCTCTTTCTTCCCTATTAAATTCTGTGCCAAACAGCACCTTCATATATTTATCTCCTCTTCCTGGAGAGAATAAAAACAATGGAAAAATTGAACCATACAAACATACTTTAAATATGTGCTGTCAGAAGTAGCTACTAAAGGATTAATTCCACCAAAGTGAGGGAAGGTTTGAAAAGAAAAACATTGTATACCCATATTCAAAGCAGCATTATTCACGATAGCCAAGACAACACACACCAACACATGAATGAAGAAAATGTGGTATATATCGACAACGGAATATCATTCAGCCTTAAGAAGGAAACCTGGTCACAGGCTGCAACAGGGATAAACCTGAAGGACACTGCTAAGTAAAATAAGCCAATCACAAAGAAAACCCAATACTGCACATTTCCATTTATATGAGGTGTCTAAACTGAAAGTAGACTAATGGCTGCTAGGGGCTCGGTGAGGGGGATGGATGAATGTTTGTTCAATGGGCATAGAGTTTCAGTGTTGCAAGATGAAAAGTTCTAGAGATCTGTTGCACAACTATGTATTTACAGTTAATACTGTACTACTGTATACTTTAAAATAGTTAAGATACCAAATTTTACATAATGTAGTTTTTGGCCCAAGGAAAAGACTAATTAGCCCTGTTACTAATTTAGGGAAAAAGTACATGAATTCATTAAAAATATATTAGTATGCGCTTACCTTAGATACAGAAAACTATGAGACAAAAAGAGAGATCCCTGCTACCCCAGCTATCACCCATGAACCAGGAAAATCAGCACCTCCTGAAACTAGACAGAAAGGCTCACAGGCCCAGCCTTGACATGTTGAATCAGTCTGCATTTTGGCTGGAACCCAGGTGGCTCCACTGCATGTAAAGCACCTTCCCAGATAGTGATGGAGGGAGATCCTAGGACAGTGACTCTGCTCCACGGGGAGAAGCCTCCAGTCCAGATGGGAGCAGCCAGAAGGGCCCAGGAGGGACATTTCCAAGAAGATAAAATTAACAGAATGTCCAAAGTGTCCAACGTCTTGAAAGAATCATACAAACAAAAGAGATATCAAACTTAAATTAATGAGAGTTAATAAAATAAACAAAAACAAATGCAAGTATTAACTCCAAGAAGAACCAATGTTGTACAGGCAGTGAAAAGTAGTCCAGTTGACATATGAGAGGATTAGTCATGGTAAAAGAAACAAGAGATGGCTGAACTAAACATAATCACTATATAAATATACTGGGAAGAGTGAAAGAGAACAAGTACTCTTAACTGTTGCATCCACCATTGCGCTGTGCAACAATGGGTGCATCTGAAAAAAATCAAGCAATAATAATAAAGAAATGGTAGTTAGAGATACAGAAGTAAAGTCAAAAGAATCAGCTAAAAAACTTGAAAGTGGTTGGCCCCTAGAAAGGCAGAAATTGAGAAGAGGCAGAGAGGACTCTCATTTTTCTCAAGAGATTCTGCACAAATATTTGACTCTTTCAATTGTGCACAATTATAAATTTGATTAAAATAAAAACAAAAGCTTCAGTGAATATGCAAGTTTATGTCTAATGACAACCGCATTCAACAATGATATTTAAGGGTTAACTAAAATGTGAAAATACTTAAACATGAAATAGGCATGTATAAATGTGTTTTTGACACCAAACGTGAACACAAATGTGAAATAATACACCTGTAAACACATCTCTGGATAGATAGCCCACGATTGAATTCTCTACCCCACCTCCTTTACTGGTTGACCTGTGAACACAGGCAGGCAGTGGACCAGGACCCAACTAGGTTCCTTCATCCTCTTGCTTCTAGGCAGGCCTTGCATCCACTTTTGCTGCACAGAGGGCTCCCATCCCTGCCTTGGTCCGTTTCACAGGTGATCCCATAACTCTCCCTGCCACCACTGCCTTACCTGAGTGGAGCCGAGGCTACCCTGACCAAGAAGAGCACCACCCATCTGTGCCCCAAGGCCAGAAAGTTAAAAGGAACCTCACAACAGGGTCAGGAACTATCCCACCTCCCCATCTACCAATCAGTCTGAACTGATAATGGGAGATGCTGATACTTGCTTTACTCATCCTCATTCCCAGTTCATTTATTCTTCATTAATTCAGTCCAATCTCCCCAGGGGTCACTTAACCCCAGAAGCAGACTGATCTCTATTCTTCTTAATCAGGAAAGTCCAAAGCACTCCCTGTCCTCTCCCTCATATCAGACTTCAGCTCTGCATCTGCAAGATGCAGAGGTCCTCTGCAAGGCAGGTGTCTTCCCACAGGGTCAGCCCCTAAACACTGGCTGCAGATGTCCCCCTCCATCCCTTCCCAGCCCTTTCTGTGTTGCTGTGAATCTGTCCATCACCGAGAACTGGTGGGGAGATGTGGGGGAGGTGGGGAGATTTCTTTGTGCTGTGTCAAGGCATGAAGACAGACCTCTCCTTCTCTCTTGAACCTCATACTCTATCCCTTCCCAGACACTTGAAATAAAACACAGACCAGAAATGTCTACTTAAAGGGTAAATTTCTATAGTATAAAATTATGAAGACATAGTAGATATGAGGTAATGCATGAGAGTGTGACAGGGTGAGGGGACCTCAAGGTGCCAGGAAAGCTGGTCCTGGGCTCCCCAGAAGGAGCCGTAACCAGGACACTCACTCATAAATCTCATTTATAATAATAATACAATGACCGCATATGTAATATATTAAAATATAATCAAATGATAACAAAAATAATGTGGCACAGCTGCAAACCCCTCATATATACTAACGCTTTTCATCCACCCAACCACAAGAAATAAATGCTGTTAGTTTCCCCATTTCATAGATGAGGAAACTGAGGCACCAAGTGGGAAAGTGCTGGTGAGACCTGGGCAGGGAGTTGAATTCTGGCCATCTGGCTGCAGAGTGTAGCTGCCCTCAGTGGAGCCAGTAGACCCAGGAGTTGACACCAGAGACTGAAATCCCAGCTGTGCACTGCCCTGGTGGTCTCCTGTCCCAACCGGGCGTTGATCCGGGCCTTGCAGGCTCACGTGCTCTGCAGAAAATAGAGAAACCAATAAATGCTCCCCTGGGTGCAGAGTGCTGCTTTTTACTCCCTGAGGATTTCTCCCTCCTCAGTCACTCCAAAATCAGATTCACCCTTTCTCTGAGGGAAGATGATGCTCCCACATTTTTCTCCCTCCTATGGCACTTTTCCCAGCCCCTGCCAGTCCCCTCCCATGACTTCATGAAGATCAGCACTTGCCCTGTGCCCACTATGCACTCTGTAAGGACTGAAAGGGCCGCAGGACTAAATGACAAGACTCCAGAAGAAACTCAGTGCCCTCCCCTCCTCTCAAGCCTGGCCAGCTCGGACACAGTGGGAGGCCTCCCCAGAGAGAGGCCCTGGCTCCACGTACTTCCAGGCCTGGGCTGGGTCACACACAAGGCCTTTCTCTCCCTCTTTCCCCAGGCCCTCCTTTCCTGCAGAAGCACCTGCACACCAGGGCAGGCCCTGCCCACTGTGGGTTCCGCCCTCCACCTACAGCTCAGTGTTCCTCCCCTTCCAGTCCTGAGCAGGCAGCTCCTACCTGGAGAGCCCACCAGGAAGCCCAGCAGGCCTGTCAGGCCCAGGATGGAAACACGTGGCTGCCATGGGGTCTGCACCTGACCTGACCCTGGAGACCCCCTTGCTCAAGAAGGCTCTGCTTCCCTTGACACCCAGGTCCATGACCTGCACTTGGGATGCCCTGCTCCTGCCTGGTCCACTCATCCCTGGAAATCCAGCTCCACCCCAGGGCTGCTGCTTGGTGAGGCTGCAAGGCCTTCCTGTCTGGTTCCTAGCAGGGATTCCACCCAGGCCACTGCCCTCACACCCACAGAGGATCTTCTTCTTCTCCCTATGGAATAAGGGATTTCTTGAGACCCCTCAGCCTGAGGCTGCCTCCGCCCACTCTGCACCTGGGGATTGCCACAGCCACAGCCACCATCTCCCACATGGACCCTTCTAGAGAGAGAGTTTCAAATTTGAATTCCTGTTCCATTCAATATGCTTTACAGCATCGGTATTGGAGGAAATCCTATTAAGAATATCCAGCTGAAATTATGAACATCTTTATTGGACATCAACATTGAAAGCAGGAATTTTGAGAAATTAGCATGTGATTTTCACAACCTTTTTCTGGCCAATGCCCCAGTGACCTACAAGGAAACCTTTACTGCCCACAGGGAACCAGAACTGACAATTCCTCTACGGGAGATGCTGCAGGTGAGAGCAGGAGCAACCAGACCTGCACTGCCCCTGCTGTGGGTGCCCCAAAAAACATGGTCCTGGGGACTGTGTTCCTGGGGGCTAGACAAGGTAACACTTGGACATATGATGAAAATAGGGACCACAGCTGCCCTGACAAGGAGCTGGTTCCTGCTTCCCAAATGGCCCAGGGATGTCTGCTTATATACTCCTCCATAACATCTGCACAGAAACTCAGGGAGGCAGGGCCATGTGGTGGGAACCTCCAGTGATGCAGAGGACATGATACCCCCAAGACAGCTCCTGGAGGAGGCCCATGGGGAGCTGCAAAGTGGACAGAGATGGCTGTGTGCACTCAGGACCCTCCCTGTTACAAGGGGACCTCAAAGGGGCTGCACAGGCAGGCCTCCCAGTCTGGGCTTCGTGGGTCTTTTTCTTGGTGTCCTCCTGATGGCTGGAGAAACAGGAGAGAGGGATGCAGAGAGGAAGAGACTAGGGGCACCGCCTCTCCTCAGATTCCTCTCCAGTTTCTAGCCCCTCCCCAGATCACAGCCGCCTTTACTATTTACTCCCACTGAAGCCATGATCATCCAGGCCCTCAGCAATCAGCACGTGATTCTCAACTCACCCCACCTGGACGCACCGTGGTGAGCCCAAGAAACAAGAGAGACCAGGATGGGGACAGAGCAGGTGCCACAGCCCTCCCTGCTGCCCACTCCTCACCTGCAGCAGGAGGAGGCCACCGCTGGACATTTGAGGGCCGTGGCCCAGCCCTGGCTTGGGCAGGACTTAGGGGTGTAGATGGAGATGTGGCTCCCATTCCCCTCCCAAATACCCCAATGTCCATCCCCTGTTCCAGGACCTTGTTACCTACATGTCTATCTGTGCAGGAGCTATGAGGGGACCCTGCTGCCCAGAGAGGAGTCCTTCCATCTCCAGCCACTGCCCCGTTTTCTCACCTGGACTCTGCAGCTGATGTTGTCTTCTTCTTGCACCAAAGGACACAGAGAATACTACTACTACTACTAATACTAATAATAATGACAGTAGCAATAGCAGCATACAGAATGGCTGCCATTGACTCTGAAGCACCAGGGCCTTCTCTAAAAAAAGGGCCTTGTGACACACTGAGCACGCAAAGCCACAGCCGTCCCTGCTATCCCCACCCTGGCCTGACCTCCCTAGGTCGAAACCCTTGAGAGTTGCCCCAGGCTCACCAGAGGGCACAGGGTGAGTGCTGTGATTCCCTCTGTGTCCCATGTAGCAGGTGAACCTCTGCTCCTCTCCTCGGGGAATCCTGGTGGCCATGCAGGTCTGGTAGGTCCCATTCCCATTGGGCAGGACACCCCTAGACTGCTGGGCATCCTGGCTCAAAGATGCCTCATCCTGATGCCAGGTCAGAGAGATATTCCAGGGATAGAAGATGGAGGCCAGCACATCATGGTGACATTGCCTTCTAAGGCCCCACTGTGCATCTCATTCACTGTGGGGGTCATTGGAGACAAAAGGGCAGAGCCAGTGAGGCATGTGGCCAAGCCTTTCTCCCCTCTAAGGGAGATGCAGGGAACAGGACTGGTCCTCTCTATTGTTCTGACTCTCGCTGAAACCCACACTGACCCCAGACCTTCTGCAAATCGGTCCTTACCTGGGGTCCAATTCCCCTAGGCTTGCTGGAAGATGGGCCTCAGGACTGTGGCCTCACACTCTGGGACTCCGGCTTTGATGCTGAGGAGAGGGTTGTCAGGGGTGGGCTCCTGGGTCGTGGGGCTAGGAGGTAGCTCTCCAGGATGGGCAGGCTGGGAGGCAGATGAGGCAGCCCTGGCCTTGAGGCCTTCCTTTCCTGCCTAATGCCCACCCCAGGTTCAGGCTTCTATAGGAGGACCCACTACTTTCACAGTACCTGTTTTTCTGATACCTCCAGAATTTCAGATATCACCATAGCTTTTGCATGTAGTCTGCCTGCACAGGGCAATAGTGTGTCTTGGTCTGCATGGCATTTTCCTCCCAGAAATTTGTGACATTCATAGCCAAAGTCTGAGTTCTGGAGGACCGGGGCACTGTCCATTACTGAGTCTCCAGGTTGGGAGAGAGGAAGAGCTTCCCATATGTGTAGAAATGCCTAAAGCCCCTGGTGCTGCTGGCTTCCTGATCTCACAAACCCTAATCTCCTGGAGGGAATGCAAGGCTGCCTGCCCCTACCCAGCAGTGACTTCTCCATTCCAGTCCAAGTGAGGAACTCGGACCAGGAAGGACCCCTCCCTGGCCCTCTTCCATCCCTCCCTGTGTGGGCTGAGCCCCGCTGAGCACCATTCCTCACCCCTACTCACAGCCAAATCCAGTGGGAAGAGACAGGTCCTGCTCTCTGCCCCCAACTCTCCTGGAAAAGGCCTCTCCCATTACTCTTGCCCACTGCCCACTCTCACCTCCTTTCTGGCCCTTGATATGAGCCAGGGTCCTCCTGAGCTCCTGCCCATTCTCTGTCAAGTCTTCAGTCTCTGTGTCCCAGGTCTCAGCTCCCAGGACTGCTTCTGCCCACTGTCCCCGGGGCCCTGCCCTGCCTTTCTGCCTGTCACAGAGCAGGAAGAGCTGACCATCCAGATGTCCCTCAGCGAGAAACCCTGACTGCACAGATCCATCCTGGGACAGCACCGTGAGGTTGTAACAAAGACTGTGGGGCTCTGGGGAAGAGGAAATCACAGATGAAACTTCTTCCTGGAAGTAACTTCACATCAATGTTTAACACACAGGTCTGCTGTCCCGACCTTCCTGAGGAGGCAGGAAATGCACACGGGCAAAGGGACAAGAATGAGGATTTCAGACGCAAGGAAAACTGGGAAGGTGGGAGGATAGAGGAGGGGACTGAGGAACAGAAGAAGGGGGAATGGGGATGGCAAACTTGTAGGCCAGGTGCCAGGGCAGGGCAGCCACAGGCCCCCTCAGGATATAGGGAGGAGGCCAATGGAAGGGGCTGCCCTGCAGGTTCAAGGGAGGAGCATGAAGGCAGTGGTGGAAGGAAGGTCTTGCCAGAGGGGAGAGCAGAAACTGTAAGGGACCCAGGCTCAGAGGGACCCATGACCACCATGGCTGTGGTGCACAGGTGAGGGTGAGATGGAGGCAAGGTCCACTGCCTTTGAGGAAGGCTCAACATGGACAAGGTGGGGGCAAGGGAGACTTGGCTGTGAGGCAGGAGGGGCAGGTAGGCTGTGGTGCCAGAGACGTTTTCTACGAGGTCCGTATCCCAGGGAGAAGCAATGGTGTGGGCTTCAGAGTGGCATGGCAATGCCCCAAGTAGGGAGGTGGATGGACCAGTTGGTGTCCCCTGGGGTGGGCTGGTGGCAAGGGTCTTAAAGAGTCAGTGCATCTTTTCAACAAATGGTGCTAGGAAAACCAGATGTTCACATGCCAAAAAAAAAAAAAATGAAGTTGGATCCCTAACTTACACCACATATGAAAATTAACTAAGAAAAACATCAAAGACCTAAACTCAAGAACTAAAACTGAAAAACTCTTACAATAAAACATAGGGAATTATCTTCATGCCATAGAATTTGATAGCACTTTCTTGGATATAACACCAAAGATACAACAACAAAGAAAAAATTGATAAATTGGACTCATCAAAATAAAAAAGTTCATTAAAAACACAATAAACACAGTGAAAAAGCAACCCCCAGAATGAAAGAAAATATTTGCAAATCATATATATCTGATAAGAGATTAATATCCAGAATACATAAAGAACTCCTACAACTCAAACAGGAGACATTCAACTAATACAAAAGTAGGCAAAGGACTTGCATAGCCAATTCCCCAAACAAGATGTACAAATGGCCAACAGACACATGAAAAGACGCTCAGCATCAGCAGTCATTAGGGAAATGCAAATCAAAACCACAATGAACTATTACTTTACACCAATTAGTTTGGCTATTATCAAACACACACACACACACACACACACACACACACAGAAATATCAAGTTTGGCAAACAGGTTGCGAAACTGGAACCTTTGTGTAATGCATTTGGAAATACAAAATAGGGCACCTGTTATGGAAAACAGTGTGTTGATTCCTCCAAAAATTAAAAAATGAATTACCAGCTAGGTGTGGTGGCTCACGCCTGTAATCCCAGCACTTCGGGAGGCTTAGGCAGGCAGATCACGAGGTCAGGAGATTGAGACCATCCCGGTCAACATGGTGAAACCCAGTCTCTATTAAAATACAAAATATTAGCCGGGTGTGGTGGTGGGCACTTGTAATCCCAGCTACTTAGGAGGCTAAGGCAGGGGAATCACTTGAATCCGGGAGGCGGAGCTTGCAGTGAGCCGAGACCGCGCCACTGCACTCCAACTTTGGCGACAGAGGGAGGCGCCGTCTAAAAAAAAAAAAAAAAAAAAAAAAAAAAAGAAGCAGTTGGACACACGGCCTGTGTTGGGTCTGGGTAGAGGAGGACAGATGTGCAGGGCAAGGACTGGAGGATGGGGTGAGCATGGTGTGGGGGTGACCCTGGGGGAACTTTGGTTAGGGTGAGGACAGGAGGGGAGGGTGCTCTGAGTGAGGGTGGGGCTTGGGAAAGATGAGAACTTGCTGAGGGCCCAAGGCAGCTGGGCAAGAGGTAGGAGCAGCACAAGGTCCCAAGGCGGAGAGGGGCGGAGGGACCAGGGAGGGATGGTCCAGCACCCGTGGGCTGGAGTGGGGGGTCCTCAAGAGGGTGGGGCTGAGGATGAAGGAGTAGGGAAGGGGCCACCGTGAGGCAGGGCCCAGAGCAGGCACCTGCACTAGAGGGGAGGGGGCATCTGCCCTGCCCTGTGCCCTGCCTAAGGCCCAACCAACATTAGCACTAGGGCTCCCCTTGGGTGGTCTAGAGGGGAGTGGGACGGAGGGAAGACCCTGGGACAAAAGGCGGCACCAGAGAGTTAGGGTCAGGGAGAGTTGGGAGTGGGAGGCATAGGGGCAGCCCTGGGTTAAGGCTGCTTCTAGGAAAGGCCCATAAGGGAGGCAGGAGGGACCTGCGGTGGCGGGGGCAGGGGATGAGGCAGAGGACATCCTAGAAATGTATCAGAGAACTGCAGATAGGAAGGGGTAACAGGGAGCTGGGAGGGCAACAGGACCCAAGGTGCCCTGAGGGCAGGGGAGGAGGTGGGAGGGAATCTGGTGTCCTTAGATCACTGGAGTTAATAGTAGCAGGGAAGGATGCAAGACAAGAGAGGATCCCCGGCAGCGGGAGGCCAGGGGAGAATGAGCTGGGGATGAGAGAAGTCGCAGGAAGAATCCTCTGCCCGGAGCCTGCAGACTCCAACCCCTCAGCGTGAGGGTCAGGAGCCCCACAGTCCCCACAGCAGCAGGAAGCACTAGCTCCGGGTCCCGAGAAAGGAGGGCCCCAACTCCAGGAGATGCGGCCCAGGAGCTGAGAACACGTCGGCTCCGGGAGAGGACAGGGCTTCAGGGACCTTAGGGCCGCCCCCAGCACCGGGGGAGGTGGCTGCCTCAGCGGCCGCGCTGGAAGGGCCCTCGAATGCCATTCACAGGAGCAGCCCAGGAACCCAGGGGCCTCAGAAAGACTGGTTTGTCCGAAAAGTGAGAGGAGACGGAGGAGAGGAGAGGAGAGAAAGTGCAGGACAAGACCAGAAAATGCAGGGGGCGGGTGATGAGCGATCCCGAGGAGGACTGAAAAGAGACGTGGAAGCAGGGTTGAGGTGTGGCGGGAACGGGCCGCGTCCACTCCCCGCACCCCCGACAGCGCACCTGAGCCCCGCCTCGGCCGCACAGCGCTCGCCGCTACCCACCCGGACCCCCAGAAACGCCCCGCCGCTGCCGCTCCGCCGAGGACCGCCAGGAACCCCACTTACCAGCAGCAGCTCCCTGGGGTGCAAAAAGGGCAGTGCGGATCAGGAACAGCAGGACTAGGCTCATCTCCATGGCCCAGACTTTGCTTTCCTCGCAGTGGCTCAAGCGGCTGCCAACCCAGCGGAGCCGCGAAGGCCCACCAGAAATTTCCTGTCACCTGGCCCCACCCCAGCGACCGCTCACCCAATGAAAACTGGCGCCCGCAGCTTAGGGCCAATCACGAGCTGGGAGGGCGGGGCCACACTCAGAAGGGGAAGGTTCCAGCGGTCAGGAGACCTGGAGAACTTTGGCTGGCGGGACCTGGAGCCCAGAAAAGGGGGAGCGCGCGGAAGCGCCGCCAAATGCGGGGACTGGCTCCGAGCAGCTGAGAGTACAGCCCCAACCGCATGAGCACGACCTGGGCCCTGCCGCCCTCCCTGTATTGCGACCACCCCATCCCCGCACCCCCACCCCTAGGATAGCGTGCCTCACCAAGACCGTTTCGCCAGCCACCCCATCAAGCTGACTGTCATTCGCTTGTTCTTTCCAGGACACACTTACAGAAGAGACGAGGCCTGGTTATTCTTCCAACACACTCCCCTCAGCCGCGCACAGCGTTACTGGCTATGTGGCCAGTGACCAGATTTGCAGACCTGTTTCCAGACCTCAGCTACCTCTGTTTCTGTAGCACCTGCCCCAGCTGATCCGCTAAGACGACAAATCTCTTAGACGTTTCAGCTTTACAATCTCCTTCTCCTCCCTTTTACTCAAAGCTAGGTCCCCTTTCTTATGGTCACTTCCTGTAAGTGTGTGAGGTCTCCCGGGGCTGCCTCTCTATTCAGCCCCTGGGTGATCAAAAGGCCAAGGAGGCAGCTTGCCAGTGTCCACTCCAACACCAAGCTCTCCCCAGACTCCCTTTTCCAGCCTGCTTTAGGACATCTGTACCTCTGAGACCATAGTAGCTTCCAATGTGACAGGTCTACAAGGACACTCTACACGTCTCGCATGACATCATCCTCTCTTCCTCCCCTGTTTCTCTTTCCGTGGTGCCTTCTGATTTCCCCCTTTTCCTTCTCAAGTACTCAAAGCTCCTCCAACCCTATTTTGATCCCACAGCCACTACTTTAGTCTCGGCTTTCAGCCTAGATCACTGCACAAGATTCAGCCTAGATCACTGTACAGGCTTCCTAAACACTGTGACTGTCCCAGCTATAGTCAGAGTGCTCTAAGACCCCCACAGCACCCCATCTGCTGAATGTCACACGTGAGGTCTCTACCATGGAAGCCACAGCTGCCACAACCTCCTGTCTGTCACCACCCCCATTTTTCTGGTGACATCCCTCTTTCCAGTGTTGCAGTAAAAGTGGGCTCCCCAATCTCCTTGCCCTGTCCCACCGGGATGCCACTGCCTAAGCAGTCTCCTGCTTCCAGATTACTGTCGCTTCTGCCTCTGAGCCCATTAGACCGTGTCACATCCTTAAATCTTCCCAATTAGGCTGGTCAGAGTGTAGTGGTGTTTACAACTAATTGATCACAACCAATTACAGATTTCTTTTTTCCTTCTCCGCTCCCACTGCTTTACTTGACTAGCCTTTAAAAAAAGAAAATCTTCCCAATTAGATAATAGCAACTGTGGCACGATGTTGTGATTATGCTAAAAGCCACTGACCAGTACATTTTTTTTTTTTTAACCAGGAACACATGCACTTTATTGAATGCCATTGTAGAAGAGTGTGTGAGGATAAAGCGCTGATACAGAACTCAGCTCTGGGGCCAGGACGAGGAATGGAAGTTGGAGTATGTGGAATACAGGTCATGGGCAGAGCTCCTGGCCTGGATGATGCCTCCTGATCTATCGACAGACTTGGAAGATCAACACTAGGATGATGACGGTGAGCAGAATGGTCATGATGATGCACACAATCAGGGCTCAGATGTTCAGGTACTTGGCAGTGGAGGCATAGGCCTGGGCCCCAGTCAGGTCTCCAACCATCTTCCTGTCCCTAGACTTCAGGGAGTAGGTGAATGCTATGAATCCCAGGCAGTGGGGGTTCATGAAGAGGATGTTGGACAGGGACCAGACAACATAGTCAGACACGGAGGTCTCGCTGCAGATATGGATCATGGTGGACATTGGGGGAGCAGGGTTGTGGGGCGCCCCCAGCACAGCCACCTCATGCTCCTCCTTGAGCATCTCATAGCTGGGGTTGGGGGGCGGGGGAGGGCAGCCACTGTTGGCAGGAATGAAGAAGGTTTGGGCAGTGTGGTTCATGGTGTCCAGCAAAGACCAGCTGTGGTCAGGTTGCTGGGATGGTTCTGAGTGGGCCCTGGACTGTACATTTTTAAATGGTAAATTACGTGGCACATAAATTATATCTCGATAATAAAACACCATGCAAAAGCCTCTTTCTACTGAAAGAATCATCTCGTCCCCAACACACACGTCTCTTACTCTTTGGAACATCTAGCCAGTGGTCCTCAAACCTAGCCACTTCACAGAACCACCTGGAGAGTTTTTAATATCCACGGTCCCAGGTCACAGCCAAAACCAATTGAATCAGTAAGGCTAGGTTGGACCTAAGCTTCAATATCTTTTAAAGCTCTCTACGTGCTTCCAATGTGTAGGCAAGTTTTAGAACCACTGTTCTAGCCCATGGTTTGAACCTCCCTGATGGGTACCAACTTTGCCTGCATTCTTGAACTCCATCTACTATTTATTTATTTATTTATTTTTAAGAGGGGGAGATCTCACTCTGCCGCCAGTTGGAGGGCATCAGTGTGATCACAGCTCACTGCAGCTTCAGATGCCTGGGCCCAAGCAATCCAGCCACTTCAGCCTCCTGAGTACCTGGGACTGTAGGTGAGTGCCACCATGCCCAGCTGTCATCTACCATCTTGTACCATCCCTCACTACACGATGAACAGTCCATGATCTGGAACTGTGTTCATTCTATCTTTGTCACTCTTACAAACATTTTTTAAAACTGAACTATACCTATAATTACTAACCATTCCTCTTAAAACTCCTAGCCTACACATTTCTGTGAGTGAAAATTTAAGCATCACAGGGTTTTAACAATTACTTAGATTTCCCATCCACATTCACTGATTATTTATTTTGATCATCATAATCTATTGCGCACAGCAGGGACTGGGGTCCTGTCCCCACCTTAGGGGGATTATTTACACTCCTAAAGATTACAAGAGTAGTGAGGGGCAGAGAGGTGGTCTCAGCTCTCCTGACACAGGTCTCCCTTCCCTCCACAGTGTCTACCCTCCCTCCAGGACGACCTTCCTCCCTGTGCCAGCTCTAGCAAAGGGTCTCATTCAGCTCACCTCAAAAAATACTTTTAATACTTAAATAACGACAATAATAATAATATACAAGGTTAGTTCCAAGGCATGTAGAGGTGATGGCCAGCAGAGGTGAAGCCAATCCACCCTTTCTGGGCTAGGGGAAGCCCAGATGGTCTTCCGCTCGCTCGGGGTGAGGCACTCCCCAGGGTCCCGGCCTGGCTGCCCATCCCCCACCAAGTCTCCCAGGCCTTCTGTCCAATGCCCTCTCCCTCCACCCCACCTCCAGCCCCTTCTGCTCTGCCCCATCAACTACGTTTTCTTCCTCAGGACTCGCCTTAGACCTCTGAACTCCGGGGCACAGAGGCGACTTTCTCCTCACAGACTTTAGGCGCCACTGCTGGGTCCGGAAAAGAAAGAGAAAGGACCCAGTGCGGTCGCTTACAGAACCCAGGGCGGGGTTGGGCTGGGCGCCCGCGCGCGTTTTCAAGCCTGCGGCCCGGAGTTCACTGCGAGGACTGAGATCACCCGTTACCCCGCCCTGGTCTACAAGTGTTTGCTGATATAGAAACGGAATAACGGCGCTGTGGGCTGGGGAGGACGGAGTTGCCTTCAGGCTTCTGGTCTCCAGCCGCGGGGCACTCACAGCTGCCGCTATGAAAATGCAGACCTGTGGGGCAGGAATTCCGAGTCCGGGGTGGAGCGCGATGTGGAATCTGACTCGCTTGAAACAGCACCGCGGTGGATTCGGATCCGGGTGAGTAGGGAAATGCGCCTCAGCCCCTCCCACGGGCCGCCCACGGATTCCAGGATCCGAAAACGCTTCCAGCTGCTCCGCCACCCCAGGAAGGCAGCGCCTGCCTCTGGGCGGTTCTGACGGAAACTGGCTCCTCCGCCTGCAGGAAAACTCACAACTAAGGGGCCAGGAGAAAGCCTCTCAGGGTCCCGCCCCTTCAGTGAGGATCCTAAATTTACATCCCGAGTGTGGCCCCATCAAAGACTGGAGCGACGTTCACTGAAATGATACAAGACCAGCAGGGGCGCAGGGCGCTGCGGCCCTCAGAATGCGGTGACAGCGCCGCCTCGCGTCCCTTCCCCGACCTGCCCCAGGCGGACGCGGTGACGTGTGTTGGCCTCGAGGCTGGAATACACCGGGGATCAAGTGCAGAGAAGGGAGAAAGTAGGGAAGGATGGCTGGGGGGTGGGGGTGGGGGGAGCGTGTTGAAGAAAAAAGGGAAGAGAGAGGAAGGAAAGAGGAGAAAAAAGGTGAAGAAGAGAATAACATTTAAAATATAGAGTTTTATTATTTCTAACTTTTATTTTTGGTTTTTATCTAGTTTTGGTATGTATGAATATTCTTAACATAGCTTTATCTCTGTCTCTCTCTCTGAATCTGTAAATATACAGTAATATATATACACGTAAGCCTCTACCTGCCGATGTGTCAGGGTGTGTCTCTTGGGCACAAAAACAAGGTTTTTGTTTTGTTTTGTTTTACATAAGCAAAGTACAAATCTCAAAGAAGATATATTTTAAAAGCCATTTTATTGGGACTTGCTTTGCATACAATAAAATGTATCTAAAATGTATCTATTTGAAATGCATAGCTCGTTGTGTTTTGGCTGTTGTACACACCCACATCTCCACTACCACAATGAAGATGTAGAACATTTCCATCGGACTCCAAAGAGCTGCTATGCAATACAATTTTATAGGGTCAATAAAAGAGGTAAGATCAGTTTTAAGTATTGTTATGAGAAGATGTGTGCGTCTCATACTTTTAACCATTTTTTAAAAGATGAGGATACACTGAATTATAATGCCAGTAATACCACTTCCATAATGTATATTTTAAGTAGGGAAAAACCTGGAAGATTTCTCACCAAAGTTTTATTTATTTATTTATTTTTTGAGACAGAGTCTAGCTCTGTCGCCCAGGCTGGAGTGCAGTGGCGAGATCTCGGCTCACTGCAAGCTCCGCCTCCTGGGTTCACGCCATTCTCCTGGGTTCACGCCATCCTCCTGCCTCAGCCTCCCGAGTAGCTGGGACTACAGACGCCCGCCACCACACTAATTTTTTGTATTTTTTTGTATTTTTTTTTTTGGTAGAGACGGGGTTTCACCGTGTTGGCCAGGATAGTCTCGATCTCCTGACCTCGTGATCTGCCCGCCTCGGCCTCCCAAAGTGCTGGGATTACAGTCGTGAGCCACCGCGCCTGGCCTTTTTTTTTTTTTTTTTTTTTTTTTTTTTCTGAGACGGAGTTTCGCTCTTGTCGCCCAGGCTGGAGTGCAGTGGTGCGATCTTGGCTCACTGCAACCTCCACCTCCAGGGTTCAAGTGATTCTCCTGCCTCAGCCTCCCTAGTAGCTGGAATTACAGTCACTCGCCACCATACCCATCTAATTTTTTGTGTTTTTAGTAGAGATGGGGTTTCGCCATGTTGGACAGGCTGGTCTCGAACTCCTGACCTCAGGTGATCCACCCGCCTCAGCCTCCCAGAGTGCTGGGATTACAGGCGTGAGCCACTGAGCCCTCACCAAAGTCTTGACAGTGACTCCAGGGACTACAATAACTTGGTGATTTTCACTTTCTCTGAAATGTTGGAATTTTATATTACAGTATTAACTTGGATTTGGCTTGGCCCGGTGGTTTGTACCTGTAATTTCAGCTCTGGAAGGTGAGGCAGAATTGCTTGAGACCAGGAGTTCGAGGCTGCATTGAGCTATGATTGTGTTACTGCACTCCAGCCTGGGTGACGAATGGAGACATTGTTTCAAAAAAAGAAAAATAAATGCAATTAAAAATAAAAATAAACCTGAATTTGTATGGAGGTTAAGGAAGAGTATATCTCAGTTTGAAACATTATGAAGCTAAGCCCCAAACCCAAATAGTTAGAGATTTTTAAATACCAAAGTGTTAATTAAAACTCAACACCAGAAACTCTCTTTTAAGAGTATCCTTCATATTTTCATGGCATTGACTCTTTCTTAGTGTCTT
The DNA here is from genome assembly GCF_000001405.40 of Homo sapiens. Classification (NCBI taxonomy): domain Eukaryota; kingdom Metazoa; phylum Chordata; class Mammalia; order Primates; family Hominidae; genus Homo; species Homo sapiens. The sequence continues at coordinate 29,755,168 of NC_000006.12, forward strand.
TGACAGAAATGTTTTTAGTGGAGTAGAGATACATGTAATAAAATTTACAGAAGGGCTATAATAAAGAGGGAAACGCAAAATCGAGTCTGACACAGGAGACCCTGTTCCATTTATACTCAAAGCAACTTTGAAAACTGCGCCGTCATGGTGTCTTTGGGTTGAGACAAAGTCGAAGCAAATTTTGTTCCTAGAGTATTGATTTCCCCTTTCCAATGGCTAAAGGCTTTCGGAACTAGTCTGAAAACTCAGGCTCTGACTTTGGATCTAAAGAAGTGTCAAGAATGTGCGGGCAGTGGCGCTGCATGAATCTAGCGGGTCTGGGCGATGCTCTCTCCGGCTCTACCCAGTAGCAACTGCGGTAAGGACAGGACGCAGCGAAATTGTACCAGTGAGTCAGAGGCCAAAGGAGGAATCCTGGCCCAACAGCGCAGAGTGTGCTTTGTTAAGGTGGGGATCAGGTAGCGGAGGGAAGGCAAGGACACTCAGGGAATAAATGGCAGAGGAAGAAGGCGCGCGAGGGAAGACCCAAAGCCTTCCGACCCCTCCTTCCTTTCCTTCCTGTTGGGGTTGAAGGGCACCAGCCGGTGGGGTGCAGAGAATGGGAACAACTAGAGAGGGCGTGCCCCACACAGGCGTCCCGGCTCCCTTCTCCCAGCTACTACTGATGAGTTCAAACTAGGAGGACACTAAGACGTGTCTTTTGCAAGGTAGACTCCTTATCTCGCACTCTGTCTGGTTTTCTAAGTCCATCCTAATGAAACACAAAAACCAAGAGCCAAATTCTGCGTGTGACTTTTCTGACCACTATAAGGTCCTCCTCCTCCCCATTTCTTGCGTGCTTCCCCCTTGCCTCGCCCCCTCCCCTTTGTCTCCACTTCCCCGCTCCTAAGTATCTCCTGCTTTCTTCAGAGGACTTCTCATGAAGTACAGACTCCTCCACCTCCAGGAAAAAGAGACAAAGTCCACTGAGAAGGACCTGAGGGATGCCTGTGACCCCGCCCCTGAGGTCAGCCCCTCCCGCATCGCTGGCTTTGGCTCTGTATGTGTGTGTGTGTGTGTGTGTGTGTGTGTGTGTGTGTGTGTTTGTGTGTGCGCGCGCGCTTGTGTGTGTGTCTGTGTGAATGTTAATGGAGAGTCAAAGTGCTAAACTCGGCATCTATCATAGGAAACTTTCTCACCTTGGCACTGCATGCAAGAGTCAGTGTATTTATGTGCACCTGTGCCTTTATTTCAGGAGCTGGAACAATTTTATTCATCAGATCCGCAGAGTGCCAACGCCCCCACCCCAGAAAGCTTAAGGGACTCTGCATTAGAGAAGAGGGTGAGATTGGAGGGGCCCCTGACTCCAAATCTCCTGATCCCCCCTCCACAAAGAGATGCTGAAAAAAAGTGCTGGACAATCCATTCCCTCCTGGGACCAGACAGGAAGCCAGAGGCACCGTGGATGTCAAATTCCAGCAAAGAAACAATTACAGCAAAATCTCCATGTCACATTTTTAAGCTTACACAATGGCTCAAATAGAACCAGCATCAAAAATCCCGAATTCCTGGTTCAGGTGGGATCACTGAAGTCTGCTGTTAGGCTTGGCAGGACCTGCAGGTAGAAAGAATGGCATCTCTATTTAGAGCTGCAGCCCAGTAGCCCCTGCTTCTTGGGCTCTTTGAAAAGACCCTCTCCCTTCAGCAGTGCACAGTGAGGCCATTTCTGGGGAAGAAATGTAGACTCTCCTTGGGGGAGGTTTTATACTTAGTTACTGACTTTGCATTCGTTGACTTCATCTTTGAACATCTTACAGTTACGT